>NC_000001.11:43190198-43493228 GCF_000001405.40 Homo sapiens
TCAAATATCAGTGATGAGTGCAGATCCTTGTCTTGTTCCTAATCTTAGGGAGAAAGCATCCAGTCTCTTTTTTTTTTTTTTTTTTTTTTTGAGACGGAGTCTCGCTCTGTCACCCAGGCTGGAGGGCAGTGGCGCAATCTTGGCTCACTGCAAGCTCCACCTACCGGGTTCATGCCATTCTCCTGCCTCAGACTCCCGAGTAGCTGGAGCTACAGGCGCCCGCCACCATGCCCAGCTAATTTTTTGTATTTTTAGTAGAGACGGGGTTTCACCATGTTAGCCAGGATGGTCTCGATCTCCTGATCTTGTGATCCGCCTGCCTCGGCCTCCTAAAGTGCTGGGATTACAGGCGTGAGTCACCGTGCCCGGCTGCATCCAGTCTTTAACGATTAAGTTTGATGCTGTCTGTAGGTTTTTTTGAAGATACTGTTTATCAGGCTGAAAAAGTTCCCTTCTATTCCTAGTTTGTTGAATGTTTTTATCATGAACGGCTGTTGGATTTTGTCACATTTTTTTTTTCCTGTGTCTATTGAAATTATTGTGTGAGTTTTCGTTTTTTACTTTATTAATATAGTATATTATACTAAGTGATTTTCAGATGTTAAACCACCCTTGCATTCTTGGGATAAAATCCACTTGGCCATAGTATATAATCATTTTCATATTAGTATATTCAATTTACTAGTATTTTGTTGAGGATTTTTGTATCCATATTTATAAGAAATAGTGATCTGTAGTTTTCTTGTGATGTCTTTGACTGCTTTTGCATCAGGGCCTCATAGAATGAGTTGGGAAGTGTTCCAGCCTCTTCTAATTTTTTGAAGGTTTGTGAAGAATTGGTATTAATTCTTCTTTAAGTGTTTGGTAGAATTCACCAGTGAAGTCATCTGGGCCTGGGCTTTTCTTTGTGGAAAGTTTCTTTTTCTAATTAATCTCTTTACCTATTTTCATCTATTTAGATTGTCTATTTCTTCTTGAGCCAGTTTCAGTTTTTGTGTCATTCTAGGAATTTGTCTATTTGTCTAATATAGTGGCATGCAATTGTTCATAGTATTCCTTTATGATCCTTTTTATTTCTGTAAGCTTAATGGTAATATTCCCTCTTTTGGCCGGGCGTGGTGGCTCACGCCTGCAATCCCAGCACTTTGGGAGGCTGAGCCAGGCAGGTCACGAGCTCAGGAGATTGAGACCATCCTGGCTAACACAGTGAAACCCCGTCTCTACTAAAAATACAAAAAATTAGCCAGGCATGGTGGTGGGCGCCTGTGGTCCCAGCTACTCGGGAGGCTGAGGCAGGAGAATGGCGTGAACCCGGGAAGCAGGGCTTGCAGTGAGCCAAGATCGTGCCACTGCACTCCAGCATGGGTGACAAAGCAAGACTCCGTCTCAAAAAAAAAAAAAAAAAAAAGTAATATTCCCTCCTTCATTTCTGATTGTATTAATATGATTTTCCTCCTCCCCCCATTTTTTTTTATCTCTTTAAAGAATCAGCTTTCGGTTTCATTGATTTTTCTCTATTGCTTTGCTATTCTCTATTTCATTAATGTTCACTCTAATCTTTACTGTTTCCTTCCTTTGGCTTGCTTTAGGTTTAGGTTGCTCTTTTTTTTTTTCCAGTGTCTTAAGGTAGAAGATTAGGTTATTTATTTAAGATCTTTCTTTTTTGAAAATGTAGGTATTTGCAGCCAGAAAAAAACTCCTCTTAATATTGCTTACCATAAATTTTGCTATGTTATGTCTTTATTTTCATTAATCTCAAATATTTTGGAATTTCTCTTTTGATTTCTTTTTGACCCATTGGTTTTAGGAGTGTGTTGTTAAATTTCTGCTTATTTGTGAGTTTTCCAGTTTCTTTCTGTTTGTTATTAATTATTAATTTAATTACACTGTGCTTAGAGAATATATTTTGTATTATTTCTATTCTTTTAAATTTATTAAGGTTTGTTTTTGGCCTGGCATATAATCTATTCTGGAGACTGCTCTATATGCACTTGAGAAGAATGTATATTCTGTTATTATTGAGTTGGGTGTTCTATATACGTCTGTTAGGTCTGGTTGGTTTTTAGTGTTGTTCAGATCTTCTGTTTCTTGTCATCTTCTGCCTACTTGTCTTGATTGTTTTTGAAAGTGGTGTATTGCATGGCCTGGTGTGGTGGCTCACGCCTGTAATCCCAGCACTTCGGGAGGCCAAGGTGGGCAGATCACCTGAGGTCAGGAGTTCATGACCAGCCTGATCAACATGGAGAAACCCCGTGTCTACTAAAAAAATACAAAATTAGCCAGGCGTGGTGGCGCATGCCTATAATCCCAGCTACTCAGGAGGCTGAGGCAGGAGAATCGCTTGAACCCAGGAGGCAGAGGTTGTGGTGAGCCAAGATTGTGCCATTGCACTCCAGCCTGGGCAATAAGAGTGAAACTCCATCTCAAAAATAAATCAATAAAAAAGCCGGGAGTGGTGGCTCACACCTGTAATCCTAGCACTTTGGGAGGCCGAGGTGGGTGGATCATCTAAGGTCGAGAGGTCGAGACCAGCCTGACCAACATGGCGAAACCCAGTCTCTATTAAAAATACAAAAAAATTAGCTGGGCGTGGTGGCACATGCCTGTAATCCCAGCTACTCAGGAGGCTGAGGCAGGAGAATTGCTAGAACCCGGGAGGTGGAGGTTGCGGTGAGCCGAGATCATGCCATTGTACTCCAGCCTGGGCAACAAGAGTGAAAACTCCATCTCAAAAAAAAAAATAAAAAGAAAGAAAGTGGTATATTGCAATCTTCAACTCCTATTGTTGAGCTGTCTATTTTCCCCTTCATTCTTGACAATTTTTACTTTATACATTTGGGTGCTCTATTTTTAGGTGCACATATCTTTACAATTAATATATTTTCCTGATGGGTTGACCATTTTGCATTATAAAATATGTCTCTATTTCTAGTAACATTTTCTATTTTGAAGCCTATTTTGCCTGATCTTACTGTAACCACACCAGCATTTTTGTTGTTGCTGTTTGTATGGTATATCTTTTTTCATCCTTTTACTCTCAATATATTTGTATCTTTGATTCCAAACTGTGTCTCTTATACACATCATATAATTTAATCTTTTTTTATCCAGTCTGACAATCTCTTTTGATTGGATTGTTTAATCAGTTCACATTTAATGTTATTACTGGTATAGTTGAATTTATGTCTACCATTTTTGTGTGTGTGTATCATGGGGTTTTTGTTCTTCTGTTCCTCTCTATGCCTTCTTTCACATTAAGTAAAATTTTAAGGTAGTGTTTTAATATCTTTAATTATTTTTCCCTATATACTTTTAATTATTTCTTAGGGCTTACCATACACACTTTAACTCATTATAATCAGATTCAGTTTGATTCAATTTCATACTAACTTAATGCTAGTAACATATAGAAATGTTATTGCCACATAGCTACCTTCCCTTTCCCCTTTTTAATGGTAATATTGTTATATATATTACATCTATGAGTGTTACAAACCCCAATGACATATTCTTATAATTATTACCTTATATAATTTTATATATTTTAAAGAAGCTGAGGTTAGAATGGGGAGCAATTATATATTTATAGTCTTTTTATGTTAACCTTTACTATCATTTCTGGTTCTTTTCATTTGTTTCTTGAGTTTGAGTTACCACTGAAGTCATTTCTTTAATCTGGTACACATTTGTTCCCACCCACCATTTGTGTGCTATTACTGGGAAATATATTACATTTCTATATGTTATAGCAACAACAGTATATTATATGCATATTGTTTCCTACAATTGCTTTTTAAATCAGCTAAAAGATGATGAAATATATATTTATATTGTCTTTTATAATTACCTTTACCAGTGCTCTTTGTTTTGTGTGGATTTGAATTACTATCTGGAGTAACTTGCTTTCAACCTAAAGGATTTCCTTTAGTATTTTCTGTAAGTCATATCTGCTAGCAACATATTTTTTCAGTTTTTTTGGTAATTTTTTTTCACCTTTAGTTCTAAAAGATAGCTTTGCAGGATTTTTGTTTGACAGCTTTTTCTTTAAGCACTTTGAACATGTTATCCCATTCTCTTCTGGCTTCCGTTGTTGTTGCTGAGATATCTGCTATTAATCTTATTGGGACTCTTTTGTAAGTGATCAGTCATTTTTCTATTGATGCTTTCAAAATTTTCTTCTCATCTTTAGCTTTCATTATTTTTGCCAAAATGTGTCTGTTTGTGGAACTCTTTGTGTTTTTCCTACTTGGAGTTCATTGAGCTTCCTATATGTGTACACTGGTGTTTCCCAATAAATTTATAATATTTTCAGCAATTATTTATGAAAATGTTTTTTCTGTTCCTTTCTCTTTCTCCTCTCCTTCTAGCATTCACCTTATGCATTAGTTGGTGTGCTTAATGGTGTCCCACATTTTTCTGAGGCTCTGTAAATTTCTAATTCTTTTTCCTCTCTGTTCTTCAAATTGCTAATCTTTTTTGATCTATAAAGTTCACTAATTCTTCTGCCAGTTCAGATCTATTCTTGAGCACCTCTAGTGGATTTTTCATTTCAGTTATTGTAGTTTTTAACTCTAGAATTTCTATTTTCTTACAGTTCTATCCCTATATTGATGGGATCCTTTTATTCTTCTCTATTTGATGCATATCATTTCTACCTTTACTTGTTTAATCATGGTTTCCTTTAGTTTTTTGGACACACTTGGAATGGCTAATTTCAAGCCTTTGGGTGCTGCCGTAGGGAATTTTGTTGCCTGTGAACAGAAAAATGCAAATTAATACAACTCTGAGATGCTTCTTTATAAGAAGTTTCATTACTATATTGTCAAAAATTAAAAATCCACTTATTACCAGAGATTTCTGAGGACAGGGGAAAATGATAACCCTAATATGGTGATGATGGGAGTGTAAACTGATACAGCCATTCTAGCAAGGAATCCGATAATTCTTGGTCAAATAGAGAGTGCATGTACCTTGTTATCCAGTAGTCTGCACTGGATACACACCAGGAATTTGACCCCACAGAGCCATTAAAGAACATGGACAGGCCAGGTGTGATGGCTCACACCTATAATCCCAGCACTTTGGGAAGCTGAGGCGGGTGGATCACAAGGTCAAGAGATCGAGACCATCCTGGCCAACATGGTGAAACCCCGTCTCTACTAAAAATACAAAAATTAGCTGGGCATGGTGGCATGTGCCTGCAGTCCCAGCTACTAGGGAGGTTGAGGCAGGAGAATCGCTTGAACCTGGGAGGCGGAGTTGCAGTGAGCCGAGATCACGCCACTGCACTCCAGCCTGGCATCAGAGCGAGACTCCATCTCAAAAGAAAAAAAGAAAAAAAAAAAAACATGGACAAAGATATTCACCATAGTGTTTGTAGCAATGGACGGTTGAAGACAATCCACATGTTCATTCCTAGTGGTAATGAAGAAGTAAAGTAGCTAGATGCACACTGTAGAATATCAAACATCAGTTAGAAGCAAATTATACATACTGCAACATAGATGATTCCTTAAAAATTTCGTGTTGAGAAAAAAGTAAAAGTACAGAAAGAGATCTGAAGCACAATATCATTTATAGAAATATAAAACACATATGTATATAGTCAGTGACATACATGAAATCCTTTTGTTGGTGCCTACTTATCATAGGGAGGAACAGAAGTAAAAATTGAGAAAGAAAGGAGCGAAATAAAATAAAATTTGTCTTATATGAATTTATGATGAATCTCTGCAAGTCTGCTTCTGAGATACAAAATGAAAACAAAGACACAGAAAGCAAGGAAATATGAGATAATGTCATCAGATGAGATTTAGAATTGGAAGAAAAAGGTTGGAATGTTTGAAAAGGAGAATAAACAGTATGAAATACTTATCTTGGATATTTAGAATGTGAATTTATTGAAAAAATATGGTAGAGTTACCAGACAGGGTTAAATGCCCACTGGAGGTTTGTGGTCATGCATTTGCAGTGAAACCGGTAAGCCCACTTGTGTGATTCCCCATCATTGCATGACTCCTCAGGCAGAGGGGGAAGAGAGAGCATTGCTTTTGTTTTTAAGACAAGAGAGATTTGAGTGTGTAAAAGCTAATAGGAATGTGCTCATAGAGACAGGCAGGTTGAAGATATTGGAGAAAGAAAGCGTAACAGATGGAGAAGAATAACAATAACCTGTGCCTGCCTACCCAGCATAGCATCTCTTTCTCTGAGATAGTAGGGTCTACAGCCATAACACCGTGAATGCACCTGATCTTGTCTGATCTCAGAAGCTAAGCAGGGTCAGGCCTGGTTAATACTTGGATGGGAGATACTAGCGTAGGATAGAGTGGATGCAGATAAATTTATAAGTGGCAGAGGGGCAGAATTTGAAAAAAAAAATCCATTTCAGCCTTTGTCTTGGCTTGCGAACAGACCTAAATATGTACATCTCATTAAATTTCCCAACGATCACTCCTCATTCAGGTGTTCCAGAAACAATGCCTCTGATGACAGACATCTGTAACCTACATAACCAGTGCAGTAGGATGCATTTCAATTTAAAATCATCCATCCAACTCTCATTTGCTACTGGTGATAATTAGTGCAGTCTCTCCAGAGAGAAACTTGGCATTATTTATCCAGATCCTTAAAAATCATTCATACAATTTTTCCCAGTATTCCACTTCTAGAACTGTATACTAAGGAAATAATCAGAGAGATACAAAGACTTGTGCAAGGATATTTAGTCTAGTGTTATTCCTATAATAAATAACAAAAATTGGAAGCCACTTAAATGTTCCTACAGCAGAGGAAGGGTTAAATTAAATTCTAAGATATCCATTGAAGAAAATATTTTATTGCCATTAAAATAATGTTTAAAAATAATATTGGCTCAGCCAAGCATGGTGGCTCACGCCTGTAATCCCAGCACTTTGGGAGGCCAAGGTGGGCGGATCATAAGGTCAGGAGATCGAGACCATCCTGGGCTAACATAGTGAAACCGCGTCTCTACTAAAAATACAAAAAAAAATTAGCCGGGCATGGTGGCAGGCGCCTGCAGTCCCAGCTACTCGGGAGGCTGAGGCAGGAGAATGGTGTGAACCCGGGAGGCGGAGCTTGCAGTGAGATGAGATTGCGCCACTGCACTCCAGCCTGGGGGACAGAGCGAGACTCCATCTCAAACATAAAATAAAATAAAATAAAAAATAATAATAATATTGGCTCAGGAAAATATGCATAATATTCAAACAGTTTAGCCACAGCCTGATTTCTGTGCACCCAGGCTAATTAATGTTCATGGGAACTAATTAGAGCTGACATGTACAGCCAGCCTTTTGCTTACTCTGCGGGATCTTGTTCTGTGTGATTTCTCTAGGGGGAGCCTGCTCACTTTGAGTATTTGATGTATCCATTGCACTCAGCACCCATCACCGGTCTAGCTACCTGCATCCGCAAACCCCTTATAGCCACCTGTTCTCTGGATCGATCCATCCGCCTTTGGAATTATGAAACAAAGTAAGGAATGAAAGGCTTGCCTACTTTATTATGCAAGACCCCAGTTGTGAATTTATGTGAATTATTTTAATTACAGTGTTCCAAACTTTAATTATTTAGAAGCTTTCAGTTGGAAAAGATTTTTAAAAAATCAAGTCAGTCAACCTACCTGTTTCTCACTCTTGCGTGGGCTAGAAAACTACTTTGTGGTTTATTTAATGCTTACCACATGCTAGACACTGGGGACATGAAGAGATGAAGACAACACCTCAGTCTCTCACCTTCTTACATAAACTCCTGGGTCCCTCCAGCTCTCCTATCCCCTTGTTTCCCACAGGAACTGCTCTTTGCTTCAGGGAGCTCTCCAGACCCTTTCTTCCTCATCTTTCTCCCAGGACATCACTATCTCAACCACCCCCAACTCCCTCCTGACTTTACCTTCCAGCACAGCTTCCCTGGGAAGCTCCAACCCTAGGTGGACCCCCACCCCCTACTGTTTTCTTTGTTCTTATGTACAACTTCTGGGGCTTCTGGGGAAAAAATACTTGGACAATACTCATGAATTTTGGAATATAAACAGAGCTATGTCTTCAGCATCGCTAGACCACACCTTGACCAGTCTCCCTATCTACCATGCTCCACGCTGGACATTATCCCCTAATAACCAAGATCTAGAAAAGAGAGGAACCAACAATTGCAAACAGTAGTGTGTCTCAAATACGATGATAACAATATATATCAGATACAGTAGATGACTGGAAGGATTTAGTGAGCTAAGCTTACAATTCAGTAATTGATCTTTTTCACAGCACCCTGGAACTATTTAAGGAATACCAAGAAGAGGCATATTCCATCAGCCTTCATCCATCTGGACACTTCATTGTAGTAGGGTTTGCTGACAAACTACGCCTCATGAATCTACTCATTGATGATATACGTTCTTTCAAAGAATACTCTGTTAGAGGATGCGGAGAGGTAAAAAAAAAACTGCTGAAGACAAAAGTCCAGTTTCTTAGAAAGCCACGGCTGAAATATCAGGAACTAACATGATCTGGGGAGGTGGGACCAAAATCTGTCTTGGAGAACTACAGTGGCTTAAAAAAAGGGGGAAGGAGGAAATCCAGTTATTTTCCCAGCAACCTTATTGAGTATATGGTTCCATCCCCATATTCTTATGTCCACCAGACTATTTCATTGAACCTAAAACCTTGTGAGATCCCCGCTATGATAAGTCCTGTCTGTAATTGTGGAATATTAACAAATATTTTAAAAGAAAAGTAATCTCAGAATCAGAGTCACAGCTAAGAAGGTGAGGTTGGAGACGGAGGAGCCAGGGAAAAATAAGCATCAATGGTGAGAGGTAATAAAGAGCGCATCAGCTTTCCCTGAGGTGTCTTGCAGAAACAAGGCAATGATTTCAGGAATTACTTCCCCGGCTCTGAAACATGCTTCTACAGGCAAAATGATTGCTTGTGGTCCCAACGGCTTAATGATTTGTGGGCCTGACAGTGTCAGCATCTGGCCACTATGAGTTACAGGAATAATGAAAGTGTCTGAAAATGTCAGCCACTCCTCAGTCTCATTTGCACCTTCCCCCCACTCCCACCCTCACACGTAGTTTCAGTCTGAACTCGTTGGGAAAAGCACCTCTTGACTGTAACCTCTAATTAGACTGCTCACTTCCTGCTTGCTTGCTCTCTTGCTGTCTTTCCCTATAGTGTTCCTTTAGCAATGGAGGTCACCTGTTTGCTGCAGTCAATGGAAATGTGATTCACGTTTACACCACCACGAGCCTAGAGAACATCTCAAGCCTGAAAGGACACACAGGGAAGGTAAGTGAGTGAACAGTCTCTGGGGAAACAAGGGGCACGGAGCCAAGTATGCCGCCAGCCAGTGGGATACAGGTGAACAAAAGAGAGATGGTTCCTTTCCTCATGGGTTCACTGTCTACTTGGGGAAAGAGACAATAAAACAAATGCACAGACAAATGTAGTTACTAATTGCAGTTCCACTGAAAGAAAAACATGGTGTTGTTGTGAGAGAAATAATGAAGGGGGCGGCATAATTTAGGTGGCTGTATTTGCAAAGGCTTGGTCCTATAAGAGTGAGTAGGAGTTAATCAGACACAACTGGTGGGGATAATCACTGCAGATAGGGATCCAAAGGCCAGAGATGGGAGACTCATAGGGTGTCAGAGAACGTGAAAGTCTGTGGGCCTGGAATGTGGTGCCAGGATAAACCGTGGGGTAAAGATGGGCTGAGATTGGAGAGGTCACAAGGGCCCAAATGCATGGAAACTTGTAGGCCTTGTAAGGATTTATCCTTCTTATTTCTTGAAATCATGGAAGACTTTCAGGGCAGAGAATATGACCGGATTTGCATTTTGAAGGATTACTTTGGCAGCAGAGTGAAGACTATTGAAGGGGGCGAGGGTAGAAATGGTGAGGAGGCTATTGTGGATATCTACACCATAGATAATAGTGGTGGTGATACAGTTAGGGAGAAGTGGATGGATTCAAATGATTTTAGAAAGTAAAGTCGTGGTGGCTTATGCCTATAATCTAAGCACTTTGGGAAGCTGATGTAGGAGGATCGCTTGCACTCAGGAGTTCGAGACTAGCCTGGGCAACATAAGGAGACCCTGTTTCTACAAAAAGTAAAAAATATTAGCCAGGTGTGGTGGCACACACCTGTGGTCCCAGTTACTTGGGAGGCTGCGGTGGGAGGATCACTTGGGCCCAGGAGGTCAAGGCTGCAATAAGCCATGATCACACCACTGCACTCCAGCCTGGGTGACAAGAGTAAGACCCTGTCTGAAAAAAAAAAAGAAAGAAAGAAAGAAAGAAAAGCAAAAGAAAAAAAGAAAGTAAAATCACTAGGTCCTAGAGTAGTAGATTAGATGTGAGGCATGATTAAGAGGGAGAGGCATAGAAAGGGTAAGAAGTCAGCAGATGAATTTGGAGATAAGAGGCCATTGGAAAAGAGAGGCATTCTAGGCAGAAGGACTTGTTGGAGATGATGAAATGGAGGTATGAAATAGGACAGTGCTCATTGGTTCATATGGCTGGAACACTGGACACATTTGAGCAATGATAGAGGGAGTAGGAAAGGTTGGCTGCATCGCAGAAGGTAGTGTATGCCATGCCAAGGAATTGGACTTTAGTCTCTAGGTGACGAGAAACAACGGAAAGGATTTAAGCAAGAAAGTAATGGGATCAGAAAGGTAACTCTCTGAACAGTATTGAGGAAGGATTAGAGTGGAAGGAAATTGGAGTGATGGAGAGCAGTTAGGATGTGAAGGTGAAAGCTGGGTTAGGAACTAAACCATGACTTTAGTAGCGGAGGCAGAGAGAAGAAAGAGATGAAGTTCCATTTTGGCCATGTGATATTTGACGTGCCCAGAAGTGTGATGTATGTGTGTGGAGGTCAGGAGAGAAGTCAGGGCTGAGTATGAAGATTCGGGGAATTAGAAAGTAGAGGAAGTCAGAGGCATAGATTAGATCACCAAGGGCCTATGTAGAATCTGAGAAGAATATTGGACAGCAGAGGGAAGACCAACATTTAAGAGACTGGTGAAAGAAGAGGAGCCGATGAAAGACTGAAAATAAAGATACAAAGAGAACTTGGAATCAGATAATTATCTCAAAGAAGCCAAGGAACTAAACAATTTCTGAAAGGTTGAAGTGGTCAGTGGTACTAGATGTCAGAGGGAGGTCATGTAAAGTCCAAAACTGACCGTTGACTTTAGCAAATAACAGATCATTGGAAGGAAAAGTAAAAATGTGTGGAAAGTGAAAGTGCTATGTAAACACAAGCATTTTTGTTTGTTTTTGAGACGGAGTCTCACTCTGTCACCCAGGCTGGAGTGCAGAGGCGTGATCTCGGCTCACTGCAACCTCCACCTCCTGAGTTCAAGCGATTCTCCTGCCTCAGCCTCCCAAGTAACACAAACTCTTTTTTTGAGACAGAGTTTCGCTTTCGTTGCCCAGGCTGGAGTGCAATGGCACAATCTCAGCTCACCGCAACCTCCGCCTCCCAGGTTCAAGCGATTCTCCTGCCTCAGCCTCCTGAGTAGCTGGGATTACAGGCATGTACCACCACACCCGGGTAATTTTGTATTTTTAATAGAGACGGGGTTTCTCCATGTTGGTCAGGCTGGTCTTGAACTACTGACCTCAGGTGATCCACCCACCTCGGCCTCCCAAAGTCCTGGGATTACAGGCGTGAGCCACCGCGCCTGGCCCACGGACATTATTAATGAGAGCTGCTGAGCCTCCTCAGCTTCAGCAATATAATTAGTCTTCAAGTGACTGTGGAGATGCGGATGAAAGTACAGAAAGTGATTCTGATGCCCAAGCTCACCAGTCCAGGAAAACAGCCATTTGTTTCATCACTTTACAAGTACTTAAAACACTGGTCTCTAATTAGGGATATATGTTAGAATGACATGTGTAACATTTTTTACAAATACAGATACAGGATGCAGCTAAAGCTATGCATACAGGGAAATGTATAACCTTAAATACATATACTGTGTTAGAAATGAAAAAAGATACATAAGCATCCATCTCAAGAAGTTAGAAAAAGAACAGCAAATTAAATTCAAATAAAAGGCAGGAAATAAAGATAAGAGCAGAAGTTAATAAAATAGAAAACAGACAAAAGATCATCAAAGCCAAAATTTGATTCTTTGAAAACACGAAATAGACAAACCCTTGGCATGACTGATGAAGAAAAAATTAAGAGTGTGGAGATACCAACAACCAATATGAGGATTAAAAAGGGGATATCACTAAAGGTCCTATAGACATTAAAAAGATCTGAAAGGGGTCCGGGCGCAGTCACTCACGCCTGTAATCTCAGTACTTCGGGAGGCTGAGGCAGGCGGATCCCTTGAGATCGGGAGTTCGAGACCAGCCTGGCCAACATGGTGAAACTTCATCTCTACTAAAACTACAAAAATCAGCCGGGTGTGGTGGCACACACCTGTAATCCCAGCTACTCAGGAGGCTGAGACAGGAGGATCGCTTGAACCTCGGAGGCGGAGGTTGCAGTGAGCCGAGATTATGCCACTGCACTCTACCTTGGGTAACAGAGTGAGACCCTACCTCAAAAAAAAAACAAAATGAAAAAAAAATTGAAAGGATATTATGAACTTTATGCAAATAAATTTTAATATATAGATGAAACTGACAAATTCCTATAAAAATTGAATCTGTAGGCTGGGCGCAGTGGCTCACACCTGTAATCCCAGCACTTTGGGAGGCTGAGGTGGGCGGATCACGAGGTCAGGAGATGGAGATCATCCTGGATAACACGGTGAAACTCCGTCTCTACTAAAAATACAAAATATTAGCCGAGCATGGTGGTGGGCACCTGTAGTCCCAGCTACTCGGGAGGCTGAGGCAGGAGAATGGCATGAACCTGGGGGATGGAGGTTGCAGTGAGCCGAGATCATGCCAGTGCAGTCTAGCCTGGGCAGCAGAGTGAGACTCTGCCTCAAAACAAAACAAAACAAAACAAAACAAGAAGAATCTGTAACTTAAAACCTTTCTACAAAGAAAACTCTAGGCCCAGATCTTATCACTGGGGAATTTTATCAACATTTAAGGAAAAAAAAATAACACTATCACTAATCTTGAAAAAAACTCTTCTAGAGAATTGGAAAAAGAAGGAATACTTTCCAGTTATGTTCTATGAGGCCAAAATAATTGTGATACCAAAATCTGTCAAAGACACCACAAGAAAAAAAAATAAGCTAGTCTTTTTCATGAGCACAGATAGAAATATATATTTATATATATATTTTAGACGGAGTCTTGCTGTGTCACCAGGCTGGAGTGCAGTGGCACCATCTCGGCTCACTGCAACCTCTGCCTCCTGGGTTCAAACGATTCTCCTGCCTCAGCCTCCTGAGTAGCTGAGATTACAGGTGTGCGCCACCATGCCCAGCTAATTTTTGTATTTTTAGTAGAGACAGGGTTTCACCATTTTGGCCAGGATGGTCTCGATCTCTTCACCTCATGATCCACCTGCCTTGGCCTCCCAAAGTGCTGGGATTACAGGTGTGAGCCACCGTGGCCGGCCAGCTTTCAAGATTTTCTTATCTTTGGCTTTCAACATTTTGTTTTTGATGTGTCTGGATCTAGATTTCTTTGCATTTATCCTACTTGGAGTTTATTGTACTTCTTGGATGTGTAGGTTAATGTTTTTCAACAAATTTGAGATTTTTCAGCATTATTTATTTGAATATTTGTTGTTTTTCTCTCTTCTCCTAGTGCTCTCATTACAGTACCATACGTGGGTGCATTTAATGGATGCCCACATTTCTCTGAAACTCTGTTAATGTTAATTTTTCTTGATTAGTGTTTCTCTCTGTTCTTCCAATTGCACAATCTCTATTGAGCTATTTCAAGTTTGCCAGCTCAAATCTACTGTTGAGCCTTCCAGTGAATTTTTCGTTTTGGTTATTGTACTTTTCAACTCCAGAATTTCCATTTGATTTTTGAACTAATTTCTGTTTTCTTATTATATTCTTTATTTGATGAGGCTTGTCATCCTACCTTCCTTTAATTATTTAAGCGTAGTTTCCTTTAGTTAATTGAACTTATTTGTATTAGCTACTTTGAAGTCTTTGTCCGCAAAATCTACCATCTGGGCCCCTTCAAAGGCAATTTCTATTGCCTGAATGCTTTCTTTCTTTCTTTTTCTTATTGGTTACACTCTTTTTGTTTGTTTGTTTGTTTGTTTATGTTTCAATTTTTTGTTGGCTGAATATTTTAGACAATATATTGTAGCAGTTCTGAATATGTGTCCCCCCAGGGCATTGTTGTTGGTTGGTTGGCTGATTATCTGTTTCGTGACTTGGCTGAGCTAATTCTGTAAAGTCTGTTTCCCCTGTAGTGAGCAGTGTCTCATATCACTACTCAGATCTATTTTTCATCTTTTCTTTTAGCCTGGCTACCTAGGGTTGCCCATGAGTTGCCTAAGCTGCTTATTAGTTACAGATGGTGCATAAACCCCCTTAGACAATTAGGTTTTTACCTTTTACTACCAGATTTATGTGTGGCTTGGAAAATGCTATCACAGTTCAGAGAGTGATGGCTTTTGCATCATGTTCAGCCAGAGACTGGTAGTTTGGATGACCCCTTTCTGATTGTTCATAAGAGGGTACAGCCTTGGGCATGCACAGAGTCTTCCAGGCTGCGAGGGATGAATATGATTTCATTTTTAAGCCTGGCTTCCTAGGAGATGCCCCTGGGTCGGGAGAGCTTAATGTTCCGCATTTGGTAGACTGTTGTGTTTGGTAGGCCCGTTGTGCCAGTGAGACTCTGCCCTATGTTAACGGGTCTTTGTGTAGCTTAGGAGATGCTTTCAAGTTTTCCTCATATCCCACTCTGACTGCACCTGAATCAGTACAGTCTAACACATACACAAGACCTTCCAGCCTCTAGAGTTGTCTGTTATCCCTGAAGGACTCTTCTTCTCTGTCCCTTTCCCTTGTTCTATCAAAATTCCACTCCTCTATATCATTTTGCTTACATCCTGGAGTTATCAGCCTCCTCTTAATCACTTTCCACCAAGATCTCCACTGTTTTAGACAATGCCCATAGGCATGGACTTTTCCATGTTCTATTCCAAATAAAGTCAGCCCCCTCAAGCAGAGCTGTAGAGCTCCCTGTCTTAGCACCTGACTTTCCCACAGACAGAACCTTTGCTCCACTGCACCAGAGCTGGGGCGGGGACCTGCTTTTCCAGGAGTAACATCCTCACTTCTGTGAGTGACACTTGAGGTGTGTGCGTGTGTGTGCACATGCGTGTGTATGTGTGTGTGCACGTATGTAAGCCCCTGGTCTTTTTGGCTTGCCCTTCATGGCTTGGAACTTTCACTCTATAAGCAAACTGGGTCAGGAATCATTAGGGCACAGTTATTCTCAGTATGCTGAGCTTAGAGTGGAGTTTCTTCCAACAAGTGACAATGGGCCGAGGGGAAGAGAGTCTGAGCCCTCTTGGCCACACCTGCTTGGAATAGAGCTTCTGCAACATGGGGCTGGGGTAAGAATAAGAAATCCCAGCAGTTTCCCTTTCCAGACCGAAACCATAGCCCAAGATCAGGAGCTATGGGGAGAGGGAGTCGCTTATCTTGGCCACATCTGCCCAGAGTGCACAGCAGTGAAGTTTCTGGAGCTGAGGCCGTAACAGAGCGAGTCATGGCTTAAATGCAGCAGACTCTGTTCTTACTGGGATTGAGTAGATTTTCTTGAATAAATGTTTTTCCATTTGCTGTATTCCCTGAGGACAATTTCCAGAGACATTTTATTTATTTTATTTTAGACAGGGTCTCACTCTGTCACTGAGGCCAGAGGGCAGAGGTACACTCATAGCTCACTGCAGCCTCAGCCTCCCCAGTTCAAACCATCTTCCTGCCTCAGGCACATGCCACCATGCCCAGCTTATTATTTTTATTTTTATAAAGACAGGGTTTCACTATGTTACCCAGGCTATTCTCAAACTGCTGGGCTCAAGTGATCCTTCCACCTCAGCCTCCCAAAGTGTTGGGACTACAGATGTGATCCACTGCACCCAGCCTTCTAAAGACTTTAAATGATTATTTTTTATCATATTTACCAGTTAACCTACATTGTCAGAGAGAAGGTCAAGTTGAGGTTCTTACCGTGCCATTCCAGAAGTCCACTCTCTCTGTGCTATTTTTGCAAGTTTCTGTGAATACATAATTATTTCAAAAATGTTTTGAAAAAACAGCAATAATTGGTTGGTTCTAGCCTTAAGAAACCTGTAGGATTCAGTCTTTACGTTCATAAAGTGAAAAAGAAATGAGAGTGTTTCATCTTCAGTAATTTGCAAGCGTCATAGAAAACAGAATGTGAACGTTCACAAGAAGCTATGTTTTGTGCTAACAGAAGGGCCTACAGCAGGAAAGGACGTTCTGCTCAGTCTAGTGGAGCACCTAAGGAGTTTGCACCCTTTTCTGTGTTAGGGTGTAAGTGTGTGTACACTCTTCACTGGATATGTCTTCCTCTCCTGCAGATTCGCTCAATTGTGTGGAATGCAGATGATAGCAAACTGATTTCTGGTGGCACAGATGGTGCTGTGTATGAATGGAATCTGTCCACAGGAAAGAGAGAGACAGAATGCGTGCTCAAGTCTTGCAGCTACAACTGTGTTACTGTCTCCCCCGATGCCAAAATTATCTTTGCTGTTGGATCAGACCACACCCTCAAGGAGATTGCAGATTCCTTGGTGAGTCTGCCCCTGCCCCGCCTCTGGGCTGGTGCACGGATCTGCAGGGACAGCTTCCCGTGCTTACAGCACAAAGTATGCACGGAATGAGGGCCTCTGCATACAGGGCCCCTTCTTCCCAAGATAACATCAGGCTCCTCATTCCTTTTAGATTAGCTCAGTTATCGTCACTTCCTGAATTTCCTGCCTAGTTTCCTTCCTGACTGGGTGAAATTGTAAATTGCGGGGCTCTTTTTCATTTCCCTTTTACTTGCTGTCTGTAACTTCTCTCCCACCTTCCAGGCATGGAGGTCATGTCATCTCTAAACTGTACTCTTACCCTTGGTCTGCACTTACATTCCTGGGGTAAAAACCTAACTACGGTATGCACTGAGTAACACCAATGATGGACCACATGGACTGTAAGATTGTAATGCCATAAGATTATAATGCCAAATGTTCACTGTACCTTTTCTGTTTAGATACACAGATATTTTCCATTGCGTCACAGTTGCCTACAGTATTCAGCATAGTCACATGCTGTTCAGGTTTGTAGCCTCGGAGCAGTAGGCTCTACCACATAGCCTAGGTGTATAGTAGGCTGTCGCAGCTAGGTTTGTGTAAATACACTCCGTGATGTTTGCGTGACAAAATAGCCTAACCATGTATCCCATATCAAGCGATGCATGACTGTGCAGTGAGCTGCTCTCACCTAGGCTTGCCACTGTATTCTTTTGAAATCCCCAAACTCTGAAACCGTACAGTTACATTGGGCTCCAAATAGTGAAGGGAAAAGAGAGGAGCTCAGCAAGGATGCATCATACAAACATGGGCTGTGCGCTCCTCCAGCTGGTTCCTCCCACTTTTCCTGTGACTGGTGCCTGGGAAAGTGCGTAGATACCACGGCAGCAAGCTAGCCCAAGGCAGATCTCCCGTGGCTGGAACACAGCTGACAGTATGGTGACTCTCCTGTGTACCCCCGAGTAGCCTGGTCCTAATTCAATGGCAGCTATCAGTGCTGTGCCAGAATAAAGCCCCTTTAGGGCAGGGCCATCTTTTGCTCCTCTTGGCAGCCCTACTAGCTGGCACATTGTGTGGTGCACAGCATTCAATAAATGTGTGTGTAGGCATGAAAAAATGCTCATCATCACTGGCCATCAGAGAAATGCAAATCAAAACCACAGTGAGGTACCATCTCACACCAGTTAGAATGGCAATCATTAAAAAGTCAGGAAACAACAGGTGCTGGAGAGGATGTGGAGAAATAGGAATAATTTTACACTGTTGGTGGGACTGTAAACTAGTTCAACCATTGTGGAAGACAGTGTGGTGATTCCTCAAGGATCTAGAACTAGAAATACCATTTGACCCAGCCATCCCATTACTGAGTATATACCCAAAGGATTATAAATTATGCTGCTATAAAGACACATGCACACGTATGTTTATTGTGGCACTATTCACAATAGCAAAGACTTGGAACCAACCCAAATCAATGATAGACTGGATTAAGAAAATGTGGCGCATATACACCATGGAATACTATGCAGCCATAAAAAAGGATGAGTTCATGTCCTTTGTAGGGACGTGGATGAAGCTGGAAACCATCATTCTCAGCAAACTATCGCAAGGACAGAAAACGAAACACCGCATATTCTCACTCATAGGTGGGCATTGAACAATGAGAGCACTTGGACACAGGGTGGGGAACACCACACAACGGGGCCTGTCGTGGGATGGGGGGAACAGGGAGGGATAGCATTAGGAGATATATCTAATGTAAATGACGAGTTAATGGGTGCAGCACACCAACATGGCACATGTATACATATGTAACAAACCTGCACGTTGTGCACATGTACCCTAGAACTTAAAGTATAACAATAATAATAATAAAAGAAAAAAAAAATATGTGTGTAGGTGGGTGGGTGAATGAGTGCATGAATGAGTGAGGGAATGAAGGGGCGCTCTGATAGTACAGTAGTCCCACCTTACCCACAGTTTCAGTTACCTGTGGTCAACCAAGGTCCAAAAACAGGTGAGTACCATACTGTGAGTAAGATATTTTGAGAGAGAGAAATCACATTCACACAGCTTTTATACAGTATTCTTATAACCGTTCTATTTTATTATTAGGTATTATTTATCTCTTACTGGACCTAATTTATAAATTAAACCATATCATAGTTATGTACGTATAGGAGAAAACCATAGTATATATAGGGTTCAGTACTATCTGTGGTTTCAGGCACCACTGGGGATCTTGGAACATATCCCTCAAGGATAAGGGGAGACTAATGTATGGTTTTGCTTATGTAATGAGCATTAATAAATGCTTGCTGAATGCATTTATGAGCAATAGCCCATTCTCATTTTGAAATGCACCCATGCATAGCAGTCAAAGCAGAGACTGGAGCCCACCCAGGTACATGAGTTGAAGCAAATGCCTTTCACACAGATGGTCCGTCATCCATAGACTAGGGATAACAGTAACTGCCTCAGAGGGTTTCGTGAGGATTGAATGAGTTGCAACATGGAGAAGGCACAGAACAGTGCTTGGCACATAGTAAGTGCTATATGAATATCTCTCTCTATTAGTATTATTCCTAACTCATGAACCTGGTTATTTACCAGCAACACAACAAGGAATATCTAGTTTGCGCCTTTTTTTGTGCTAGGCACTATACCGGATGCCAAAAGGGGATAGAAAAAGCATTTTTTAAAGACAAGCCCCTAGGGATCTGTTAGAGCAGAGGGCGAGAGAGTATGGCACTGGGACGTGGGGGCCACAGCTCGACCCCTCACACTGAGCAGAGCTGCCTGTGTCTCAGATCCTTCGAGAGATATCGGCGTTTGATGTCACCTACACCGCCATTGTCATCTCGCATTCTGGACGCATGATGTTTGTGGGCACCTCGGTGGGAACCATTCGTGCCATGAAGTACCCTCTGCCTCTGCAGAAGGAATTCAATGAGTACCAGGCCCATGCCGGTCCTATCACCAAGGTGAGCAGGGCCCTCTCCCCAGGAACCCAGTCCCACACCTGCCTGCTACGTGCCTTGTTCATCCCTTCAACCTCCCAATGTCTTTTCTCTCTCCTTCTTCTCTCTTATTTATTCATCCATCATTCATTGAATCACCATCTATTGACTATGAATATACTCTTTGTTTAAACTACTTCCAGGAATTTAGCCTAGGAAATCATCAGAGATACACCTAAAAATGTATGTACAACGTTTTCACCATAATATTATGCATAATAAGGGGCCGTTTGGTGGATGCCGTAGCTGCCGTGAGTGTGGGCTGCACTTGACCACAGCTGCCTCCTCCTCCAGAGAATGCCCCAGACTGAAAGGAGCCATAGCCCTGAAGATTGGCCCCTACCTCTCCCTGAGGGTACAAAAGGCCACCCCAGGGGCAATACCATGAGTACACATTTGTAAATTGTCCTTCCATTCACCCTTCTCATAAAGTAGTATCTATGTTCAACAGTCAAAATGTGGAAGCAACCAAGCATCCATCGACAGACGAATGCATAAGCAAAAGATGGTATATCTATACAATGGAACAATACCCTGCCTAAAAAGGAAGGGAATTCTGCAATGTGCTACCACATGGATGAACCTTGAGGATGTTATGCTAAATTAAATAAGGCCAACCACAAAAAGATAAGTACAGTGTGATTCCACTTTTAGGAGATACTTGGAGCAGTCAGAATCACAAAGACAGAGTGGTGGTTGGCAGGGGCTGCAGGAAGGGGGAATGAGGAATGATTGTTTCATAGGTATAGAGTTTTGGTTTTACAAGACAAAAGGATTATGGGGGTAGTTGGTGGCAATGGCTGCACAACATTACAAATGTATTTAATAACATGAACTGTACACTTGAAAATGGTTAAGATAGCAAATTTTACAGAATATGTATTTTACGACAATTTTAAAAATGAAATAAAAAAGAATTATCTTGCACGCGAAATGGTTGCCAAGAAATCATAGCCAATAGTAAATTAAAAGTTATTCATAGTGCAAAAAAAAAAAAAGTAATGTCTATACCTACACTGGACCCCCCAAAAAACAGGCACTGGGAAGGTATGTGTCTCTTCTTCCTTACTCTCTCTTTCTGCAGATTGAATGACACAGCACCTGAGGTTTTGAGTTATATCCCAAACTCCTTAGTGGCTTACCTGCAACACTAGCTGTATTAAGAAAAGGTTTCTCATTATAAAACAGAACATTTCTGTACCAAGCCTGGGCCTTGGGTCCAAAGTAAATTACTACAACATATTCCACCTCTTCCCTTCAGATCTGCTAAGTTTTGTGGATAACATATTTATTTTTCTGATTATAGAAGCAATGCATATTTATTTTAAAAATAAAAATCCTTGCCAGGCGCAGTGGCTCACGCCTGTAATCCTAGCACTTTGGAAGCCCAAGGCGGGCAGATCATGAGGTCAGGAGATAGAGACCATCCTGGCTAACACGGTGAAACCCTGTCTCTACTAAAAATACAAAAAATTAGCCGGGCGTGGTGGCACGTACCTGTAGTCCCAGCTACTCGGGAGACTGAGGCAGGAGAATCGCTTGAACCTGGGAGGCGGAGGTTTCAGTGAGCCGAGATCGCACCACTACACTCCAGCCTGGGCAACAGAGCAAGATTCTGTCTCCAAAAAAAAAAAAAAAAATCCTCATAATGGTATCATCATTTCTTTGATGCATTTCCTTCTACATTTCCATGTGTGTGTGTTTTAAATAAAATTAAGATCATACTGTGAGGCCAGTCTCGTGGCCTGCTAGTTTTTAACTTCACACTACTGTAAGCGTTTGTCCATACAATTAAATATTCCTCAGAAGCATGATTTTAGTAGCTACACAAATATCCTATCCTATGATGGACTGTAACTTACTATTCTCTTGCAATTAGGCATTTAAATTATCTTATGATCTATAGTGAACAGCCCAGTTTACAAATTTATATGTGCATCTCTGATTCTCTCCTAAGACTAAATTCCTAGAGAGAGAATTCCTGAATTCAAGAGTATTGCTATTCTCAAGATTCTTGACACATACTGCTGATTGTGAGAAGACATTTTTCACAGTTAATCCTTTTGTTTTAACTTTTTATCTTGAAATACTTATAGGTTTAGAGGAAATTTTAAAGATGGCACAGAGTTCCCGTGTATCCCTCAATCAGTTTCCCCCAGTAATTACATCTTCTAGAACTGTAGCAAAATATCAAACCAGAAAATTGACATGGTCCACAGTGTATGTAGTTCTGAATTATTTCTCACATGTACAGTCTGTGTAACCACCACTACAATCACACTATAGAACCGTTCCATCCCCACAAAGATCTCCATCTGCCCTTCAGAGTCCTACCACTCCTCCCGACTATCATCCCGAATCCCTGCCTACCACTAATTTGTTCTTATTTCCATAACTTTTGTCATTTTGAGAACTGTATATGGAATTATACTGTATGTGGCCTTCTGAAAATGGCTTTTTTATTGATACGTAGTATTTGTACATATTATGAAGTACCTGTGATGTTTTGTTACAGTCATAGAGCATGTAATGATCAGGTCAGGATATTTAGGGTTTCCATCCATCTCGCGTATTTATGATTTCTGTGTGTTGGGAGCATTTCAAGTCCTGTCTTCTAGCAATTTAAAAATATACAATATATTGTTGTTAACTATAGTCACCTTACTCTGCTATCAAACATTAGAACTTATTTCTTCTTTGACCTGGCACGTGGGTCATGCCTGTGATCCCAACACTTTGGGAGGCTGAGGCAGCCAGATCACTTGAGGTCAGGAGTTTGAGACCAGCCTGGCCAACATGATGAAACCCCCGTCTCTACTAAAAATACAAAAATTAGCCAGGCATGGTGGTGCACGCCTGTAATCCCAGCTACTCGAGAGGCTGAGGCAGGAGAATTGCTTGAACCTGAGAAGCAGAGATTTCAGTGAGCTGGGAGATCGTGCCACTGCACTCTTAGCCTGGGCAACATAGCAGACTCTATCTCAAAAAAAAAAAAAAAGAAAGAAAGAAAGAAAAGAAAACTGATTTCTTCTATCTAATGTTTGTATCTGTTAGCCAATCTCTCTTTAGCACCCCACCAACCCATACACTCTTCCCTAGTATCTATCATGCCACTCTCTACTTCCATGAGGTCAACTTTTTTTTCTTTTTTTTGAGATAGAGTCTCACTCTGTCGCCCAGGCTTGAGTGCAATGGCATGATCTCCGCTCACTGCAACCACCGCCTCCTGGGTTCAAGCGATTCTTCCACCTCAGCCTCCCAAGTAGCTGGGATTACAGGCACATGCCATCATGCCCGACTAGGGTCAACATTTTTTAGCTCTCACATATGAATGAGAACACACAATATTTGTTTTTCTGTACCTGACATATTTCACTTAACTTCACGACCTCCAGTTCCATCCATGTTGCTGCAAAAACATGATTTCATTCATTTTTTACGGCCAAATAGTATTCCAGTGGGTATATATACCACATTTTCTTTATTCATTCATCCACTGATGGACACTTAGGTTGATTCCATATCTTTACTATTGGTGGTACAATAAATATGGGGGGGGCGGTGGAGCGCAGGTATCCTTTCAATCTGCTGATTTCCTTTCCTTTAGAAAAGTATCCAGTAATGAGATTGCAGGATTGTATGGTAGTTCTATTTTTAGTTTTTTTGAGAAGTCTACATACTGTTTTCCATAGTGGTTGTACTAATTTACCTTCCCACCAACAGTGTATAAGAGTTCTCTCTTCTCCACATTCTTGCCAGAATCTGTTATTTGTTGTCTTTTTGATAATACCTACTCTAATTGGGGTAAGATGGTATCTCATGGTGGTTTTGATTTGCATTTCCCTGATGATTAGTGATGTTGAGCATTTTTTCATATACCTGTTGGCCATTTGTATGTCTTCTTTTGAGAAATGTCTATTCATGTCCTTAGCCCACTTTTTTTTTTTTTTTGAGATAGAGTTTTGCTCTTGTCACCCAGGATGGAGTGCAATGGTTCAATCTCGGCTCACTGCAACCTCCCCCTCCTGGGTTCAAGAGATTCTCCTGCCTCAGCCTCCCGAGTAGCTGGGATTACCGTGCCTGCCACCACGCCCAGCTAATTTTTGTATTTTTAGTACGGATGAGGTTTCACCATGTTGTCCAGGCCGGTCTCAAACTCCTGACCTCAGGTGATCCACCCTCCTCAGCCTCCCAATGTGCTGGGATTACAGGTGTAAGCCACCACGCCCGCCCCTTAGCCCACTTTTTAATGAGATTTTTAGATTTTTTTGTTTGTTTAATGTTGAATTGTTTGAGTTCTTTGGTATTCTGGATATTGGTCTTTTGTCAGAGCAATAGTTTGCAAATATTTTCTCCCATTCGACAGGTCGTCTCTTCAGTCTGTTGATTGTTTCCTTTGCTGTGCAGAAGCTTTTTAGCTTAATGTCCTGATTGTGGCTTTTTCCACTCAGCTAAATCTTCAAATCCATCCAAGTTGTGTTGTGTATCAATCATAGTTTATTCCCTTTTATTTCTGAGTAGTATTCCATGAAAAACAAATCACAGTTTGTATAGCCATTCACCTATTGTAGGATATTTTTAATTTTTTCCAGTTTTCAGCTATTATAAATAAAGCTGCTGTGACCAATCATATACAGGCTTTTGTGTGGAAATAAGTTTTCATTTCTCTGGGATAAATGCCCAGGAGTATAATTGCTGAATCATATGGTAAGTGTATATTCAGGTTTGTTTTTTTTTAAACTGCCAAGCTATTTTCCAGAGTGGCTGTACCATTTTACATTCTTACCAAGAATGTATGAGACCCAGTTTCTCTGCATCATTGCCAGCACTTGGTGTTGTCACTGTTTTTTATTTTAGCTGTTCTAATGGGTGTGTAGTGATATCTCATCATGGTCCTAATTTTGCATTTTCCTAAATGGCTAATAATGCGGAGTATCTCTTCATGTGCTTACTTGCCATCTGTGTATTTTCCCTGGTGAAATGTCTCCTTATCTTTTGTCTACTTTCTGATTGGATTGTTTGGCTTTTTTACTGTTGAGTTTTGAGAGTTTCTTGTTCGTTCTAGATAATAGCTGACTCTTCAGATTCCAAATCCACAGAGAATGTAGACGTAACCTTACTTCTTCTATTCATTAACAGATGCCTGTGAGGGCTCCTCTCTCATTCTTACCTGGGATCAAGTTTACCTCCCTGTGAGGCTGTGCCCAGGATTGCATGGGGGGAAGCCTTGCGCAACAGCTGGCTCAGCCCTGGTCATCTGTGGCCTTGAAAGCTTCCTGGCCATGACCCTTTTTCTCTTCAGATGTTGCTTACCTTTGATGATCAGTTCCTGCTGACTGCTGCTGAGGATGGCTGCCTGTTCACCTGGAAGGTCTTTGATAAGGATGGCCGGGGAATCAAGCGAGAGAGGGAGGTGGGCTTTGCCGAAGAGGTGCTTGTGACTAAAACAGACATGGAAGAAAAGGTAAGAACTGGATCTAATGAAGAGGGATATGGAATTACTTACCAGACTGCATTCAGATGCAGGTCCAGCACTGGGGCCCTCTACAGCCTGGCTACACCCTATGCCCAGTGCAGACCCCCACGGCTCCCTGCACATCTGCTGTCCCCACAACCAAGCTCTCCTCCTCATTGCCACTGTCCACCCGACTCTGCCTGTCTTTCTGCCATGTGATCATCTTGACTTACACTGTGCTTTGCTTTTATTCTGTGATCTGGTTTTCTCTTCCTACTCTTTGAAACCAAGAATAATGAAACATACAGTTCTCTTATGACCAACAGTTCCTAGCACATGCTGGGCACATGGAAGACAATCAATAAATATTTACAAAAGTAAAGTATGTTCTCATTTAAATCTCACAACATCTCTATGAAGAAGATACTGTCATTCTCCCCATGTTTCAAAAAACAAGTTAGGAGAGCTTGAGGGATGTGTTCAAAGTCAGTGTGCTAATAATTAATAGGACTAGAGTTCTAATCCAGATTTAATCCAGAGCCCCCTCCCTTAATCACTATACCAAAGGGACATCCCTTCCTTCCTGTTGATGCAGTAAACATTCCATAAAGGTGTGTTTTGCAGAGATATGAGTGCATAGCTCTGTGTTACGCTTCCTAAGGGAGAAGCTGAATGGATGATAAACACACAAGGCTCATGGAGGATCGCAAAGCTACACAGTCATTGCTGTTTGTCCAGAATCTTAAGTGTGTTTATTGAACACCTACCATTTGCTAGGCACTGGGGATGCACATGTGAAAAGACAGTTGTGGGCCCTGTGACATGACCAGGAAGCTTACAGTCAAGTGAGGGATAGAAACAAGTAAAGCCATCAGAGCAGCAATACAACACTGCCACAAAGCACGGTGACAAGCCCCTGGCATTCGCTGGAGATCCCTTCCAGAGCTCCCTAGAATTTTCTGCAGGAAAAGCAAAGAGGGAGAAGAGGATGAGGGAGGGGCCCGTGAGAGTGGGGGCCTGACCTGCTGCAGAAGGGACATTTCCTTTTCTCTGTTATCTTTTCTGTTCTTCCCAGAGGGTAGGGGAAGAGGCCAAATAGGAGACAGCAGGCTGAACCAAAGGCCTGAAGGTGCCCAAGCTGGCTTCTGACCACAGCCCCCAGATGGGCCTGACAGTACCGCTGCCAGGCTGGAAATGACTTGTGCATATACCGCTCCTTCTTGAAACTCCCTTCTGTCTTACCATCCTTGTGACCACACTCTGTTCCCTGAAAACCTTTCTGACTCCTCCTCCCCGCTTCTGTCCTGGCTCTTCCTCCGCCTGTCCCTTAAAAAGCATGTTCCCAGAATTCCCAACTCTCTTTATATTCCATTATAGTCTAAGTAACTCTCAGGCCATGATTTACCTTCTCTGCCTAGGATTTACAGAGGGGTCTGCTGTGTACCTGACACTATACTAAGGTCTGGGATTACAGAGATAAAAGACATAAAGCATCCTTTAGCTGATAGCCTGGGAAGAGGGCAGAGTATCACAAAGAAGGGAATTAAACGTGCAGTGGAATGAAGTGTCATGAAAGAACGATGCTGTGGGAGCACAGGGGAAGGAACTTGGCTCAGGCCAGGTGGTGCCAGAGGACATGAGCCTTGCTCAGATCCTTCCAGGACAAATGGACAAGGGCCAGTGAGCAATGAGCAGTGAGTGTGTGCAGAGGGATGAGGGAGTGGTGGTCTGCAAAGCTGCTCCTAGTTAGGTTGTGCCAGAGAGAAGGGCTGAAGATGAAGCTGGAGAGAAACAGGTCAGGGGGGCCTTTTACACCCTGCATTAGGCTGGACATTGTTCATAAGGACCATTCATAAATTTAAGCTGGGGAATGACTTAACATGATTCGCATCTCGGAGAGAATAATCTGCAGCAATGTGAAGAATAGATGGAGGAAGGACACTGAACAAGGACCTCAAACACAGCATGTCAAAGGCCGGGTCATTCCCATGGATAAATATATCCCACTAGCCAGGGCAGACCCCTGGGATCATTGATAAGTATTCATTCAGTGCTGACCATGCTGCTAGTTTTATGCTAGGTTCTGGGGATAAAGCAGAGAAGCAAGACAGGCCAAGCCCCACCCTCAGGTACCGGTCCTTCTACCTAGGAGACAGCCTTCATCCATGATCCTTACCTCTCCACCCCACACCCAGTCAGGCACTATCCTCTCTAAACTCACTCTCTCCAACCTCTCCATTCCTCTCTGGTCCCCTTCCCTACCTCAGTCCAAACCCTGTCTGTCTCTCGCCTGGTCTATGCAGTTGCCGCCCACCCACCCCAGCAACTCATCATCCTGCCTTTGGTCCTTCCTTAATCTAGTCCGTGCTGCGTACCGCCATTGGAGAGATCTTTATAACACCAAAGTCAGCCTGATCGGGTTCGATGAGGACCTTTGGAAGCCCTCTAAGATAAAATCCAAACTTCCTAGCATGGTCTACCGGGCCCCTGATGGTCTGACGCAGTCTTGGCTGCCCCTTCCTATACATCCAACCTGTGCCATATCACATGCAGTGAGTGCCCTGGCCAGGCATTCCTGCTCCATCCTCTCTGACTTTGCACGTGCAATTTGTGCTTATCCTTCTTCTCAGTACTTCCTGTGCACCAGATCCTCACTAGTCTGCTGGCCAGGAATGCAGAAATGTGCGTAATCCATTCCTTGATGTCAAGTCGTTCACAGGTGGTAGAGGAGACAGACCAGAAATGATGAGATAGGGATGCACGGGGTGTCCCCATAGGTAAGCAAGAAGAAAACACTGCATTCTGACCCACTCTGTCATCAACATTAACTTTTTAAGGAAATGAAGGGTGTGTGTATTATAGTATTTTTAGAAAACTTTGGCATCATTGAGTACGATGGGAGAAGACACTAGGCCGGGTGCGGTGGCTCAGTCTGTAATCCCAGTACTTTGGGAGGCTGAGGCAGGAGGACTGCTTGAGCCCAAGAGTTCGAGACCAGCCTGGGCAACATAGTGAGATCCCCATCTCTACAAAAAATATAAAATATAAAAATTAGCCAGGTGTGGTGGGGCATGCCTGTAGTCCCAGCTACTTGGCAGGCTGAGGTGGGAGGATCACTTGAGCCCAGGAGGTCAAGGCTACAGTGAGCCATGATCACACCACCGCACTCCAGCCTGGGTGACAGAGTGAAACCATGTCTCAAAAAAAAAGAGAAAAAAAGGAAGAATAAGAAGATACTAGGCATAAAAACCAGCAAGACAGAAGAGTTAGGACCTATATTAAAGTATTAAAAGTGAGTCTAAGAAGACATCAAGAGGGACAGATTGGCAGTACTGAGAACCACCCAGCTTTGGGCACTTACCACAATTTGTAATAATGTGTTTGTCTGGCTGCCTCAGTAGACTCTAAGTTACATGGGGACAGCCATCATGCTTCAATAAATATCTTCTGAGATCTTACTCTGTGTTAGACATTGTTCCCGTACTTGGGATATATCAGCAAACAAACCCTACAAAGATTCTGGTCTATGTGGAGCTTAAGTTCTGATGGGGAAAGAAGAATAAAAACAATAAACAAAATAATAAGTAAATTGTAGAAAGTGCAAGATCTAAGGAAATAAGAAGTAGAGCAGAGTAAGAGAGGTGATGGGTCCTGGGAATGGGAAGGGGTTGCAGAATTAAACAGTGTGGTGCAAGTCAGCCTCGTCAAGCAGGAGATGCTTAAGCCGACTTGAATGAGATGAGCGCATGACTAGCACAATGTAGTAAAGATTTTTTGAGGATAGAGGAGGAAGCTCATATGTCTCCTCATTTTTAGCTGATGTGCCTTCTGGGGAAAAGATGACAAGTTCTAGTTGAGACACATTGAGTTTGAAGCTAGGCAGAGCTGCAGGTCTCAGGTCAAGGCCGCAGGTTTAAATATTCTGAGTCACCCTTACTGTCAGTGTTCTTGATCCTTCTGTCCTTCTCCCAAAGGCTCAGGTTATGTTGGAGCTAAAGACTCGTGTGGAGGAATTAAAAATGGAGAATGAGTATCAACTCCGACTAAAGGACATGAACTATTCTGAGAAGATTAAGGAGCTAACAGACAAGTTCATCCAGGAAATGGAGTCCTTGAAAACAAAAAACCAGGTCTGTTTAAGAGACTGACCAACAAGCACAAATAACAAGAAATTTCCACTTTCAAGACAGGACTGGCATATACTGCCCAAGCTATGCTCAAACAGTAAGATATGTGAAAATGTCCAATTTTAAAGCATAGTCGTTGATATCAGAAATGCTTACAACTGGCCAGGCACAGTGGCTCATGCCTGTAATCCCAGCACTTTGGGAGGCCAAGGCGGGCAGACCACTTGAGGTCAGGAGTTCAAGACCAGCCTGGCCAACATAGTGAAATCCCATCTCTAGCCAGGCATGGTGGCACGTGCCCATAGTCCCAGCTACTCGGGAGGTTGAGGCATGAGAATCATCTGAACCTGGGAAGTGGAGGTTGTAGTGAGCTGAGATCGCTCCACAGCACTCCAACCTGGGCAACATAGACTCTGTCTAAAAATAAATAAATAAATAAATAAAAATAAATGCTTACAATCAATTGCTAAGTGAAAAAAAGCAGAATATAAACCACTTTATGGTGAATGGTATTAATCGGTATTAGTGGTATTAACAGATTAATTAATCTGATCTATAGTAGTAAAATACATATAGAAAATAGATAACAGTATAATTATCTCTGGAAGTTGAGATTACAGATAATTTAAATTTTGTTTTACATACTTTTTGTAATTTCCAAATTCTCTACAATGAGAATTATGATTAGGAGAAACTTATTTTAAAACAAAATGAAACGATAAGAAAAAGCAAAAAGATAAGAAAATCAAAGCATAGATGGAGAATAACTAGCAGAATACTGATTCCTGGATTGTCAGGAAGTTAAATAAAATTAGTCTACATGGCCTTTACATAGTTAGATTTGGTCTGGGACTCTCCCAGATTCTTTTCTTTGTTCTACACAAATCTGGACTCCTATCTAAAATCCCCACTGGGCAAGGTGGCTCACCCCTATAATCCTAACACTTTGGAAGGCCTAGGCAGGAGGATCGCTTGTATCCGAGAGCTTGAGACCAGCATGGGCAACATAGTGAGACCCTGTCTCTATGTAAAATAAAAAATGAGTCTGCCATGGTGGCATCTGCCTGTAGTTCTAGCTACTTGGGAGGCTGGGATGGGAGGACTGCTCGAGCCTGGGAGGTGGGGACTGTAGTGAGTCATGATCTCTGCACTGCACTCCAGCTTGGATGACAGAGCGAGGCCCTGTCCCTCACCCCCTAAAGAAATCCCCAATTATGTCCTTGAGGGATATTTGTTTCTTTAATGTCTATGGGTCATAAAGTTCGGCTAAAAAAAAAAAAGAAAGAAAAACCTTGGCTATTAATTGTATTAATTAATTCACTTTATAATTTTATTCATTTAGCCAACAAACATTTATTTGGTGCTCTATATAAGCCAGGCGCAAAGTTAGGTCCTGAAGATGGCACACCACCTCCAACTCGCCCCCCAAGCCTGAAAGCTTTCCTGCTCAGTTAAAGAAAACACTTCCTCAGAAGCTTACCCATGAGCACAGCCAAGGATTTTGTTGACAGCAATGTGCTGGCAACAGAGGATTCAAATGAATCCCTACTTTTTCACCCAGAAGTCCTTTTGACACGTGTCCAAAACTGAACTCATCATTGACAAACCCATTTAGTAGCAAGAATAGAAATAGGAACAGTATAGAGCTTTTAGAGCAGAATATAACATAAATGAAAAGTGACAATGTGGTTGCTGCTTCATAGAACAGTGCTTGGTGCAAAATGAGGGCTTGAGAAATGTTTGTGAGTGAAGGAGGGTGTTACTTGTAAAATCAGTTCTTGCCCTAGTAGTGCTTTCAGCAGATGTGTGTAAATGAGGAAATGTGACTCTGTTTTAGGTCTTAAGAACAGAAAAAGAGAAGCAGGATGTTTATCACCATGAGCACATAGAAGACCTCCTAGACAAGCAAAGCCGGGAACTGCAGGACATGGGTGAGCCCACAAGTAGAGGCCTCGTTGGTTAGGGTTGGAAGAGCTAGGTTATGGGGAAACACTCAAGAGTCCCCCAGACACAGTAGAAGTCTCAGGGAATATGGCTCTGTCTAAAAACAGGCTACATGTATCCCCTGGAACTCACTGTGGTTTTCACTTCTGTGTTTTTACTCATTCACTAAGCACATTAAACACCTATTGCATGAAAGTAGGAGGCACGGAAAAGGTCAAGTTTGGAACCTGATAGTCTTGCCTTGGGTCCCAGGCTCACCACGTACTTGCCAGGTGCTCTGGGGAGTCACCTAACCTTACCGAGCCTCACTTTGCTATAAAGCAGGAGTCCTAATACTTATTTTTCACACTCAGGATATTCTTCTTGGCCCTGAGTCCCCAAATACCACTCTGTGCTTTCCTGGAAACTTTTCTTCCCAGAGCAGGCAGGCAGGGAGTTTGGCTACCTGATGAGATGATGGGATGAGGGGTTGGCAGCAAGGAAGCTAGGCAGGCATTTGAATCTTGGCTCTGGAGGCAGCTGCTCCAGCTGGTGCTGGAAGGGATGGGAGAGCGCCCAAGGCTCCTGGGTGTCCCTGAAGCAAGTGCTGCTCTCCCACCTTAAATACCATCCTTGCTTCTCTCCAGAATGTTGCAACAACCAAAAGTTGCTTCTAGAATATGAGAAGTACCAGGAGCTGCAGCTCAAGTCCCAGAGGATGCAGGAAGAGTATGAAAAACAGCTCCGGGATAACGATGAGACCAAGAGCCAGGCCCTGGAGGAGCTGACTGAGTTTTACGAGGCAAAACTGCAGGAGAAAACCACCCTTCTGGAAGAGGTACTCACAGGAAGCCATGCTGTGCCTCCCTTTCACAGAGAAAAGCCACCCATTCACTCAGATCTCCATGGCATAGCCACTGTATGCCAGGATGTGTTATACACTGGGTCAGACATGGTTTCTACCCCCAAGGAACTTATATCAAATGGGAGAGACAGCCAAATAACATCGCAAATAAATATAACATTATGACTGTCACAAGTTCTGTGAGAGAAAAATATAGGAAGGCTGGGTGTCCAGTGAACAAGACCAAAGGAGAACAGGGATGGGGTGTTGGTAAGATTGGGGTTGAAGTGGTGGAGCATGAGGCCTGATTTGGTAGGAAAAGAGGGGAGGCAGGAAGACAGGACAGACGGGAAGAAGGTGGACAGGTCAAGGGCCCTGTGGCCATGGTCTCCGTTTCTGGAATGACACTCGCCTTTGACTCCCTGGGACAGGTCCCCATGCTCATCTCACCTCAAGCCCTGTTGGCACAAAGATGTGTGAGTCCCTTCTCCCCTGACCACACGCCCACTCTCTCTGAGCCAGGCACAGGAAGACGTCAGGCAGCAGCTGCGGGAGTTTGAAGAGACCAAGAAGCAGATTGAGGAAGATGAAGACCGAGAAATCCAAGATATCAAAACCAAGTATGAGAAAAAGCTTCGGGATGAAAAGGAATCAAACCTGCGGCTCAAGGGAGAAACAGGCATCATGAGGAAGAAGGTAGCAGGCTGTTCTCCAAGAGACCTAGGGTGGGCGAGGGTGTTGCAGAGAAAGCTGGGGTGGGTGGACTGACCGGCCTGGGGGTGCTGGCCAGGGTCCTGCCTGTCCCCATCTTCAGCGAGCAGGCTGGGAGAAGAGCACCAGCCAGTGCACCCTCACGCAGATGGACCCTCCCCACCTCGTCCTTGGAAAGGCAGCTGCACGGGCTTCCCTGCTCTCCTTTTCACAGGATATTGGGGTTCCCTGTGTGCAGACAGAGGCTTTCTAGTTTTCACTTACTGGCAAGTAGGATTCAGTTAATGTTTTCTGAGATAACCCTCCGATGGAAATGGAAATGGAAATAAGGTCTTCTGGGGATGAGATAGATGAAGTCTTGGCCGGGAGGCATCCTCGGGCTCTTGGTCCAGGGAGTCATGGGCGGCTCCTGTTCAGCACCACAGGTGGGAGAGGGAATGGGGGTGTAGGATGCTTAGTTTACAAAGTGGGGAAGATGTTTTTAGTTCACTCACCATCAGGGGTGAGGGAGGATTCAACTCAGTTTCCCCAAAACATTTAGCCCTGGAAAAGCTAAGTTCAAAGCAAGCTGAAGTTTCTTCCTATTAGAAAGCACACTAGTAAATCCAGGGAACAATCAGTCTTCCCTTCTTGGTCATGGCTAAGATGGCTCATCAGTTAGGGCCCACTTTCTGTGACCTTGATGCAGTGTGGATCCCAGCTTTTCAAGATCAGTGTGGTCATAGAAGTCTCTGGTCCACTTGGTGTACCGGTCTCTGGAACCTCTTGTGAAGACAGTCAGTCCTCTCATATGGAGAATGGGCCTGGATGTTATGGGACAGAATACTACATCATCCATTTGGCCTGGGAAATTCCTGAACCGTCCCAAATGCTCCAGATATTCACTCCTAAAATCCCAGAAATGTTGAATGCTAAGTGTTTTCAGTCCACAGAAGGTGGCCAGTGGTGGGGAGCCCCTTACACTGAGACAGTGGGAGGGATGGAGATGAGTTCTGACTTTAGTGGTCTTTGTTGTTGCTGTTCGCTTTTCTAGTTCAGCAGCCTACAGAAGGAGATTGAAGAACGAACCAATGACATCGAGACCCTAAAAGGAGAGCAGATGAAGCTGCAAGGAGTCATTAAGTCTCTGGAGAAGGACATCCAAGGCCTCAAGCGAGAGATCCAGGAAAGAGACGAGACTATTCAAGACAAGGTGCAGCTCTCCTTCTGTCCTCCCTCAGCTACGGCCAGATGGGCCAAGGCGAGGAAGGCAAAGCTCAGGGGAGAGAGGGTCCCTAGCTTCTCAGGACGCATTTCTTTAACTTGATGGGGGAACCAGCCGTCAGTGAAGTGCCTGTTGTGTGCTTGGCACTGGGCTAATCGCTGTCAACACATCACTTTCAGCTCTGCCAACAACCCAGGGGGCCTGAGAACCCAGTGTTATGGTTCGGGAAGCTGAACTCCAAGAGGCTGGGTATCTTGCCCAGGGTCACACACTTCAATAGGTGACAGGCTGCAATAAGAACCGAGTCAGCTGACTCCACTGCTCCAGGCATCCTTGGAGGCGCTTCCCCATGGGCTGGGGACAGCTCACTTGCCGCACTGACCACATGGTCCCCCTGTCGCAGAGGGACTCTCCTGGGATTGACCCTGTCCAGGAGGCTGCCTCCACTTTTGGGATGCCTTTCTTACAAAACACTCAGACGTCAGAGACATCACATTCTGTGGGGCAGATACCTCAATACCCAGTATGTAGTATCATCCTCCTGAGCACATCCAGATTCCGTGCCCTCCTCTCCATCTCCCCTGCCACTACGGCCCAAGGCAGGTGGAATTCTCCAAGGGCCAAGGACGTGGGCTTCAGTGTTAGGGAACTAGGTCTGGCACAGGTTCCATTTATTGACCATTGCACCTCGAGCAACTTCTCTAAGCCTTCATTTTCTCACCTATAAAATGGGGATGATAACCACCTCAAGGGGTCTTGTAAGGATCACATAGGATCATGGGATCATGCCTGGATGTCATTTCTGCATGTGAGTGTCGGTGTACATATCCAGGGTTTTGTTTGTTTGTTTGTTTGTTTGTTTGTTTGTTTGTTTTTAGGGAAGATCCAAAGCTCTGTTCAGATTCTCAAAGGGGGCTTTGACAAGAAAGAGACAAAGGCCTCCTCACCTAGAAAGTGGCAACAGCCTCCTAAGCAGTCTAATGGCCTCACTTCCCATCTCCCACCACCATGGACTGGCAGGGTACAGGTGCAATGCTGCCACTCTCCTGCTCAAAGCCCTCACAGCTCCCCATTGCTACAGCAGGGGTCAGCACGCTCTTTCTGTAAAGACCTAGGTAGTAAATATTTTTGGCTTTGGAGGCCATGTGGTCTGTCTCAACGAATCAACACCGCTGCTGTAGTGTGAAACCACCCATAAACAAAACATTAGTCAATTAACTTGGCTGTGTTCCAATAAAGTTTTACAGAAATAGACAGCAGGCCCAATGTGGCCCACAGGCTGGAGTTTGCCAACCCCTGGCCTAGGAGATAAATTCTGAACTCTTTCCCCCAACATGAAGACCCTCACCTCCCTCCTCTATTTCCCCAGCCTCACCTCTCACTTCCCCCATGAACCACCGCTTGGCTCTCAAGCCAGTCATTCTCAGCACCCTCAATATATACTTTGCCTTCTGTGCTTTACAACATTTATCACATTTTAGGCTTAGATTTGCTTCTGTGTCTTCTTTCCCAACTAGTGTTTTCTTTTAAGGGCAAGGGACTGTGTTGTATTTATATTTGGAAACCCAATACTTGACAAAAGATCTTCATTCAGTAAATGTTTGATGGATGGATATACTTATGTTCTGATTACTATCACCGTGCAACAAATTAACCTTAAAACTTACTGATTGAGGCCAGGTGTGGTGGCTCACGCCTGTAATCCCAGCACTTTGGGAGGCAGAGGCAGGTGGATCACTTGAGGTCAGGAGTTCGAGACCAGCCTGGCCAACATGGTGAAACCCCATCTCTACCAAAAATATAAAAATTAGCCAGGAGTGGTGGCACATGCCTGTAATCCAAGCTACTCTGGAGGCTGAGGCAGGAGAATCGCTTGAACTTGAGAAGCAGAGGTTGCAGTGAGCCAAGATCGTGCCACTGCGCTCTAGCCTGGGTGACAAAGTGAGACCCATCTCAAAAAGAAAAACTAAGTGATTGAAAGCAACTATTTTATTCTGCTTACAGGTGCTACAGATCTGGAATCTGGACAGGGTACAAAAGGATGGCTTATCTCTGTCCCCGATGTCTGGGGCCTCAGCTGGGAATACTGGGGGTGACTCAAAACAGCTGGAGGCTGGAAGATCAACATCCAATGTGGCTTCTTCAGTCACATGTCTGGCACCTTGGCAGGGGTGTCTGGGAGGCTAGGCTCAGCTGGGTCTTTTGATCAGAGCCCCTAATGTGCCCACCAGCCTGGATGTCTCAGTGTAGTTGGACTTCTTACATAGCAGATGCCCTCCCCCAATGCAGGTGTCCCAAGAGAGCCAGATAAAAGCTGCTTGGCCTTTTTTGGCCTAGCCTTGGAAGCCACACAGTCTCCCTTCTGCTGCATTATTTGGGTTACGAACAAGTCACAAGTCAAGGCAAATGCAAGGGAAGGGGATTCGCTTCCACCTCCTGATGGAGAAGCAGCAAGGTCACGCTGTAGAACAGCTGGAGTGTGGGGCGGGAGATGCTGTGGGGGCCATCGTTGGAAAATACCGCTGTTCACAACCTAATATGAATGAGTGAGTGAATGCATGAGAGTCCTTGTACAGAGGCTGAGGGGTCTGTGCTGTAGCCCCATGGGGGGAGTGCCAGCCTCTGTACTGACGAAGGGAGGAGAGGAGTCTCCTGGTTGACCTCTTCAACCAGGAGAGTCACAGGCTTCGTGCTCTTTTGCCCTAAAGGGCTGCAGTATACCAGGGCCTTACAATATCTCTCACTTCTCTCTCATCTCACCCCCAGGAGAAGCGAATTTATGATCTGAAAAAGAAAAATCAAGAACTAGGGAAATTCAAGTTTGTGCTTGACTACAAAATAAAGGAGCTGAAGAAGCAAATAGAACCTCGAGAGAATGAGATCAGGGTGATGAAGGAACAGATTCAGGAGGTAAGAAGCCATTTGCAACACTCTGGCCTCTCAGACCCTCTGTCTCTTCTTCCACAATTGGCTAGCTGGCCTCAGGGACTGAGGAGAAGCTCTTCTCACAGTCCTCTCTGCTCCCAAGGTGTGTGCAGCCTCCAGTCCACAGGGGTGCAACAGGGAAGGCCGTGGCCCCGCTGCAGGCTCAGCTGACCGAAAGCAAATCGCTTGGGAGTTAACTTGCCACGGGACCTGGAGATGGGCTTTGGCCCTACCCGTGCCTCAGTGTGCGGTGTACTGTGCCCTCCTAAGGGAGATGCAGCTATTGGGCATTTGGCCACCAGAGGGCAGTGTGTACTCAGCCAACAGGCTATCCTTCTAGTTCAGCATTTTTTTCTCAAACTGGAAATGTTGGTTGAGACCCCAGGTGAGGCCATGGTGTTTGGACTTCATCTGATAAGGAATGAGAAGTCATCAGAGGCTCTTGAGCAGAAGAGTGGCATAATTAAGAATATGTTCTGGGAAGCAAACAGGATGAAGGTAGAGAGGCGAGATTAGAAGCAGGATCAACTGGACAAGGGTTTCTGAGAATCCTGTGAGGTCCCCCATGCCCCCCACCACACGCCACCTTTCCCTGCAACGTGTGTTGCCCCATCAGCCTCCCCTGCTGGGCTGACAGTGGCGTCCATGTTGATCTAAAACCGAATTCTTGATTTTTCTCTCCCCCTTCCTCCAGTTTTCCCTCTCTCAGTTAGTGGTCTATGATCCACCCAGTTACTTAATGCAGAAATGCAGAAGTCTTTCTTGATTCTTCACTTCTCTTAACTCCTTATCCAAATCATCACCAACATCTGTCTGATCAATTTCCAAAACATATCTCACATCAAACCCTCCTTTCCCGCTGCTGCTATCACCCTGGTACAAGCAGCCACCATCTCTTATCTGGACTGGACTCCAGCCTCCAGTCTGGTCTCCACATAGAGGCCTGAGTGAACTCCCCAGTGGGGTCCCATCCCACCTACAGTAAAATCCAAAGTCCCAGTCAGGCCCACAAGGTCCTGCGTGATCCAGCCTCTCCCTGCCTCTCCAGCCTCCTCTCACAGCTCCCCCTCCCTGCTCCAGCCCACTGACTTTCTGACAGTTCCTGTAAGTCACGCTTTTCCATCTCAGGACCTCTGCAGTGCTGCTGCCTCTGCCTGGAAGGCTCTTCCCCCAGATCGCCACATGGCTGGCTTCTTTGCATCTTTCAGGTCTCAGCCTATATGCCTTCCCTGACCGCCCTAGACAAAATAGGCTTCTGCTCCCTCCTCCATCTTCTCTAATTGTTTGTGCTGAGCCGGGATAACAGATACAAGGGTGTCAGACAGCACTGATGACCCAACTAGAAGTGCCAGAGCCATGGGGGTGCCAGTCTGCCCGGTGACGCCTGTACTCTGGTAAGCCCAGTAAAGAGCCAGGTGGAGATCAGTCCAGGGCCAGGGGGCCCAGAGAGGGTATGTCCTTGTGACAATGACTTTTTCCCTGGCTTCTGGGATGAGAAAGGATGCCCCCAGCTGACCACAGACCTGCCTCCGCTGGGCCTCCTACCATTCTTGAGTGCTTTCAGGGCCCCAAAATGGCAGCTGTCGTCCTTTCGGGGTGCTATAACAAAATACTTTAGAAGGGATAATTTATGGCCAACAGAAATGTATTGCTGAAAGTACTGGAAGCTGGAAAGTCTAAGACCAAGGCTCCAGCAGATTTGGTGTCCAGGCCTGTTCCTCATAGATGGCACCTGCTATGTGTCCTCATGTGATGGGAGGGCAAAAGGGGGCAAACAAGCTCCCTCCAGCCTCTCGTACAAGGGCACAAATCCCATTTGTGAGGGCTCTGCCCTCGTGACCTGATCACCTCCCAAAGACCTGACCTCCTAATCCCATCACTTTGGGGGTTAGGTTTCACCATTGGAATTTGGGGTGGAGGGCACCAACGTTCATCAGACCATAGCAGCCTGAGAAGATGAGAGGAAGAGCAGAGGCCCCACCCACCTGGAGGGCCAGCACACCACAGGCCCCTGGAAATCACTGCCCCCTTTCTCCTTCCTCATTTGACACATTTGTCAGCTGCATTTCAGGTCGGGTCCGTTGTTTGCTAATGGTCAGCTTACTTTCCCCACCAGCACACCTGGGGGGACCATTCATCTTCTCTGGCAGTAACAGGGGCCAACCGTGGCCTTGATGCTCAGCAGGGAATACACTTGCACCTTGGGAGTGATTCCAGCAGGATCCCTCCTACCTCCTTTCGCTGGTGCCAGTTGCTGTCAGGACTGATACCTGGGCCTGGGTGCTTCTGGGAGCCTCTGACCTTGGGGCTTCCCTCTGGGGGTCATAGACACCTTTGGTTCATGCACTGTGGATCTCCTGTAAAGGTCTTTTTCTCCCAGGAAGGAAGCCTCAAGCCCTTGGCTCATTTGTAGAGCTGCAACTTCTAATAACACTTCCTGATTCAGGTACCCGCCCTCACATACTCTTTTTCCAACTTGGCTCTGATGATCCAAGGGTCCCTTTGCCCTGCCTAGGGGAGAGGTTTCCCGAGGCTTGTCGTTTTAGTTTACACTCATTTACTAGGGCAGGGTTTCTCAAGCTCAGCACTACTACTATTTTGAGGTAGGTAATTCTCTGTCATGGAGGGTCTGTCCTGTATATTGTAGGATGTTTAGCAGCGTCCCTGGTCCCTACCTGCTAGATCCCAAAAACACCCCCTATCCAGGATGTTAAAACTAAAAAATGCCTTCAGACCTTGCCAGAGGTCCCCTGGGGGGTGCAAAATGCTTTCTACCCTCCTGCCTGAGCCCCATTGAGAATCTCTGAGTGTGATGAAAAACACATGGAAAAGTAGATGGATTTTCCACACTGGGAAAAGATGCTTGTTTCCACATAAGGGGCTAGGCTTCTGGCTGTCCAGCCAGCTACTCAAATTTGACCTATTTCCCAATTTTTCTATAAACAGATTATTTTTATTCTCAGAGTAGTATGAGTCTTTGCCTGGGGGAAAAAATGAACAGAAGTAAACAATATACTCCTGTATGCCCTCTCTGCTAACCTCATCTGTCACTGCTGGCCTGAGATTTAGAGAATGAGGCACTCAGACATGATCTTCGGGAGCCCCGCAAACAGAAGCCCCCTTTCTCTCTTCCAGCTGCCATTGCCTTGGCCTAGGACGCTATCATCTGCCTCCTCAGCCAAACTGGCAGCCTCCTGACTGGTCTGCCTGGCCCCCGTCTTGCTCTTTTCAGCAGAACCTCTGCATCAGGCCCTCTAAGATGCAAATTACATCATTCCACTCCTGGTCTAAGCCTTCAGTGGCTCTCTGAGCTTTCAGGATAAAGGCAAACTTCTCACCATTTGAGCCTCTGCCCTTGGATCCTGCATGACCTAGCTCAGCCAGCCTCTTCTCCCTCCCCTCTCCCCCCTCTTCAAATCCCTGCTCCTGCAGCCACCCTAAGCCACTTGCAGCCTGCAGAGATGCGCCAGGCTGCCCATGCCTCTGGTCCTCTCTGTGTGCAGGCTGTTCTGTCTGCCTGGAATTCTTTCCCCTTTTGTCCTCTAATACTTATTCTTCCTCCCAAATCCAGTGGACGCATCCCATCTTTTTGGGTGCTGCCTGCTCACCTCCTCTGTGTACACACAGTGCTTTCTGCCTTAACTGCAGTGTTTATCCTACTCCACCTGAATTTCTGATTTACTTCTTTCTTATCCTTGCAGACCTGAGGCCTCTTGAAGGCAGAAACTACTTCTTAATCAGCCTTAGATCTCTAAGTCTACAACAAGCTGGGCGGCCCTTTCTAATGGGCACATTCTTTAGCTGTGCAAATACCCACACTCAATGTGTATCCCCTACAAGGTGGTTCTATATAACTCTGCCAACACTGCCTTCTTATCTTGTCATTCCTCTTCCAGAAGCAGGGTGTTTCAGGCTCTTTTCGTGTCCCTCACTATTGCTCTCCTTTGTCCACCACACTTGCCATTATTCGTTCATTCATCAAATATTTGAGTGCCACCTTTATGCCAGGCTTTGGGTCAGAGGGCTATTCTGTCTATACAAAATGCTTCCAGTAATGAGGAAAACCTTCTAAAAGCTGCCCTTTTGTGTCTAGAACATGGATGTGTTCATTAGGGCCTCCTGGCACCCCCCAGAAGGTTACCAAGAGCCTTGAAATTTGACCAAAGGGCCTGGGATAGACTAGAGGGGGAGGGTCTACTCTACCTAGCCGTGAAAAAATCCAGTGAATGATCCCATTCTCCCAAAACAGTCAGCAAACCTCCCTCTTATCAGAAATACTAGTGTCCACCAGATATAGTCCATAAGTCATTAGGAGTTAGGTCAATGAAAGCTCATGCACAGCTAGTCTCATCCTAATTGGACACTCCAGTTGTCATTCCCATGACTTTGGTTAATATAAATGCAAAAATGAATTTTTAAAAAATCTTTCAGCCCGGGCGCAGTGGCTCATGCCTGTAATCCCAGCACTTTGGGAAGGCGAGGTGGGCAGATCACTTGAGGTCAGGAGTTCAAGACCAGCCTGGACAACATGGTGAAACCCTGTCTCTCCTAAAAATACAAAAAAAAAAAAAAAAAAATTAGTTGGGCATGGTGGCAATTGCCTGTAATCCCAGCTACTCGGGAGGCTGAGGCTAGAAAATTGCTTAAACCCGGAGGCGGAGGTTGCAGTGAGCCAAGATAGAGATCGCACCACTGCACTCCAGCCTCGGCAACAGAGCAAGACTCCATCTAAAAAAAATGTATTTCAGAAGCTCACTGGTGGTTTCTTATTTTTCTTGTGAAGACAGGACACTTCTCAGTTGTACTTTTTAAGACCTTTCAACAGAATGATGAGGCTGAGGCCCCTTCTCAGCTTCCCCTTTCCTGTTTTATGCCTTAGATGGGTGGTGCCCACATGTTGGTCCCTCCAAACTTTCTGCTTTAGAATGACCCCATTCTAAAGTGGCCCCAGAGGGTCGAGATTCACTTATACAACTTCAGAAAGCAGGTGAGGAAGGTGCTTCTCTGGGGAACCCTGCCTCAGGTGAGAGTTGAGGTTCTAGTGCTTGGGTGTCACCAATTTATAAGGAATTCAAGAAAATAAAATAATCAGCATGGTTGAAGGAAAGGGAAAGTGACTCAGAGGGAAAACTTCCCAGCCTGGCCGTGGAAACACGTGATGCTGGTTTAGCATATCAGTCTAGGGGTGGGGAGCTGTTAGGAAAGCAAGTAGAAGAAAGGTTTTGATCCAGAGGACACAGAAGGGGATGAGAAAAGAAATGCCCGGGTGTCAGGGGTGGCATCCCCACTGAAAGACTACAGTTCTCAAATACAGTTTTCATTATCTAACTTTCTTCTTCTTGACTCTTTTCCCTTGTTGTCTACAGATGGAAGCTGAACTGGAGAATTTCCATAAGCAGAACACTCAACTGGAGCTGAACATCACAGAATTGTGGCAGAAACTGAGAGCCACCGATCAGGAGATGCGCAGAGAGAGACAGAAGGTGTGAGGGTTTCAGAGTCTGGCAGTTCTTGGATTCGGGATCTGGCACCTATCTGCAATGGGCAGCTGGCTTCCAAGAGGCAGAGCCAGCCCACTGCGAGGATATGTTTCCCATTTTAACTCACATTCTTTACTTGCTCCCAGCCCTGCCTGATTTCAGGCCCATGTAGATTTACATCACTGAACTCATCTGAGACTATAAAATGACTTTGGGTAAGTGATCAAGGAGGTGGGAAGCCAGCATGGCAGGAATATTTGTAGCATTTGGCTTCTTTGGAGGAGGAAAGTACGTGCTCAGAGAGGCAATTTGTCGCCGCTGGTTTAAGGCTTTGATGACCGAAAAATTGCCAAGGCCAGGGGAACCTCAAAGGTCATTGATTCCCATTTCTCCATGTTATAAATAAGAAAAATTAGGCCCCAAAAATTGGGAGGTTAAGAAACTTCACCCAGCACCCACAGCTAGGTAGTACACACAGGGCTAATAATGGAATCTAGGTTTTCTGGATGTGGGCCAGGACACAGTTGTGCCCTCCTGCCTAGCACAGGCCACTCCTTAACATTTGTTGAATAAGATTGGAACTTTCCGTCCAGGCACAGTGGCTCATGCCTGTAATCCCAGCACTTTGGGAGGCCGAGGCAGGTGGATCACGAGGTCAGGAGTTCGAGACCAGCCTGGCCAACATAGTGAAACCCCGTCTCTACTAAAAATACAAAAATTAGCCAGGCATGGCGGCACACGCCTGTAGTCCTAGCTAACTGGGAGACTGAGGCAGGAGAATTGCTTGAACCTGGGAGGCGGAGGTTGCCGTGAGCCAAGATTGCAACACCGCACTCCAGCCTGGGTGACAGAGCAAGACTCCGTCTAAAAAAAAAAAAAAAGATTGGAAATTTCCATCTTCTGCAGTAAGCATTAACTAACTCTGCACTAGGTAACACCAGCAGCTGCAGAGCTATAAACGAGAACTGATACAGATCCTGCCATTTCCATGCTGAAGAGGATGACTGGTGATTTGTGGCATGTGCATAATAGTTATATTGAGAGGTAGAAAACGATGGAACATGTAGAAAGGGCCATGGGAGCAAGGAGAAATGACTTTCTCTAGGTCAGGGTTGGGGAAGACAGGTAAAAGCATGATGAAGAGGGGACACTAGCCCAACTGTGTAGATGAACCAACCTGCCCACTCACAGCAGCGCTCCTGACTATCGGGAAGGGTAAGCACTGGATGAGCTAACACGGGGGACGTGGAAGCCCTGGCCAGGAATCTGCAAGAGAGAAATGATGCCATCTGTCTTGGCTCTAAAGGGATATGGGTGACCACATGAGCTTCCTTTTATCTTTTAAGGCCTGTGGTCCTGAAAGGGAATCAGAGTCAATAAAGGAGCCCATCTGTGTGGCCTCTTAAGGATGAAGCCCCATGTAGGCTGTTCAGGCTGGGTGTCCAGCCGAGGGCAGGTGCACAAGACTTTTCGTGCCTCCACCTGTTGGCTGTGTGCCCGTCTAAGTTTCTATGCCCAGTATGGCCCCTGGCAGTCAGCTGTAAGTCCCAGATGAGGCATCTCTTTTCCCTTTCTGTGCCATTAACCTCTGCCTGCAGCCCCCGCCCCTCCACCGAGAGCACCCTACAGCACCAGAAGGAAACGTCTCTGATTGCAGGAGCGAGACTTGGAAGCGCTGGTCAAAAGGTTTAAAACAGACCTCCACAACTGCGTAGCCTATATTCAGGAACCGCGGCTGCTGAAGGAGAAGGTTCGAGGTCTCTTTGAGAAGTACGTGCAGCGAGCAGACATGGTAAGCTCAGCCTCCCCTCCTGCCATGCACTGACCTCCGGGGTCTCCTCTCCCTCACTGAGAATCTCCTGGGCCCCGTCAGGTGGAGATCGCAGGGCTGAACACAGACCTGCAGCAGGAGTACACCCGGCAGCGGGAGCACCTGGAGAGGAACCTGGCCACTCTCAAGAAGAAGGTGGTCAAGGAGGGCGAGCTGCACCGCACAGACTACGTCCGCATCATGCAGGTACCTGCATGCTCCCCTCAGCCCCTGTGGAGGCCAAGCCATCCAAGATGAGAGATCCCATCAAGGGTCCCTCTGAGACCACCTGTCTTCAGGGCTCCCCAGGTGTCTGGGGGCCCAGTAGCTCCCCCTAAAGTCTTATTTTGGCTCCTCTCCTCTGAGCTCGTCTTGGCTGTGACTGTGGCTGAGAGCTCACCTAGGAGGTTTTCTAGGCACTTCCATGCTGCACCCTGGCCTCCACCCCACCCAATGCCCACCTCCCTTCTCCACATACCCGATTCCTCTTTTCTACACCATCTTTATCCAGAGCACACCTGTGTCCCCTGCCTCACTCCTCTCATCAGCCCCTTGGCCCTCTAGACCTTCATCCACATCATCTTACCTCTCCTGAGCCACTTTCCCTTCTCTCTTCCATTCCCAACTCTCATTTCACCTGACTTTGTTTTGCTCCTTTGTATTCTGCTACCCATATCTCGTGGCCACGCCTCATCTGATTTTTCTGGTGCCTCAGGTCCCTACCCTTATCTCTTGTGTCCCAAGTTAGCCACAACGTCCCAGAGCTGGCCTCACTCTGGTTTAATAAGCGCCTCACACCCACCTCCCTGGATCCTTCATAGGCTGTTCAGAGAGCCTGACCCCATTACTGCCGCCTCCACACAGGCACGTTATCAGGACTGCCAGTCGGGATTCTTCTGCCAGATTTCTGTTTGGGTATCAGTATCATCTGAGGCAATTAATGTGAATTAGTATCAAAAGGGAACATCAGAATCACATTTATAAAGCACGTACCTTTTTATGTTCACATTTCTTTATTGCCATAATTAAAATACTGGAATGGGAACAGGTTGCAGTTAGATTGAAACAAACCAGTTCCCAGCTTGGCCAGTTCATACACAGCTGGGCAGAGCGCACTGTGATTCAGGCCAGACCCAGGCAGGGCTGGTCTCATGTCATCTTACGACCAGTCCCTGCTGAAAAGCAGCCCAGTCCATCTACCCTTTGCCCTACTCCTTGGCCATGAAAGCCATCGGAGGCCCAGAGATAGAAGTGCCTCCAGCTGGTGGAGCCCTGAGACACCAGCAGCCGCACACTGAGCCACTGCTTAGGGCCTGGAGTACCTAGAGCATGGAGAGCCCCCTGGGGCTCTGGAGTGCAGTGAGCAGGGAAGGGAAACCAGGATGACAGCAGGAGCAGTTGTCAGCTGCTGACATCACCTAGCACCCTCTGTGCCCTGTCACCAGAGTACAGGCCTGAGGAACTGGGTCCCTCTCTCCATGCCAAGCAGCCAAAGCAAACATCGATGTAGGAGGAGGAAGATCACAGGCTAGCCAGAGGGTGTGAGCGTCAGCATGAGGCTGCTGGGGCGGGCATCCTGTCCTCTTCTGCTTCCCTATGCCCCGGAGGGTGCTGGGCCAGGGTGGGGTAGAAAGCAGAGGAGACCCAAGCGGCCTCCTGCCCAGCCCTGCCACTCCCTGATGGCTGGCAGAGGGAGCCATCAACAAATGAAGTCCCGGGAAGAACATTTTCTCCAGCAGCATTGTAACCTATGTGCTAGGGAGTCCTGTGGATCCAAATAAGTAACTCCAGCAACTGCAGGGAGTAAGAAGGGGCCCAGGGTGGGGGGTGTGTGGCAGGGGGTGCGGGTCTCCGGGTCCCTACCCCTTCAACCAGAAAGAGACTGCTTGCTGCTAACAGTGGAGCTCTTTTTGTTGGAAAAAAGTCTGGAAGATTTAAAAAAAAGAAAAGTTTTCAAAACCACTGTGCCGACCCTGGTTTACCCTGCTCCACCACTCCTCTGCCAGGAGACCTTGGGTAAATTCCTTAACTCAAGGAGCCACCTTGCCTATATGTAAAACAGGGAAGAAAACACCAACCTGAGAGTGGGGGGTTCCTGCAAGATTGAATGGGACAACCACATAAGGCACTAGGCACTGGCCTGGTACAGAATAAGTGCTAAAAAAAAAAAAAAAAAAAAAAAAAAAGGCAATTTCCAGCCGGGCGCAGTGGCTCACGCCTGTAATCCCAGCACTTTGGGAGGCCGAGGCGGGTGGATCGTGAGGTCAGGAGATCGAGATCATCCTGGCTAACACGGTGAAACCCCATATCTACTAAAAATACAAAAAAATTAGCCGGGCGTGTGGTGGGCACCTGTAGTCCCAGCTACTCTGGAGGCTGAGGCAGGAGAATGGCATGAACGTGGGAGGCAGAGCTTGCAGTGAGCCAAGATCGGGCCACTGCACTCCAGCCTGGGCGACAGAGCGAGACTCCATCCCCCCCCAAAAAAAAAAGGCAATTTCCATCCTCTTCATCCAAGCAAAGGACCTATCCAAGAACCAAGGTAGAAATCCAGTGGGAAAGCCTAGAAGCCCATCACAGGATGGGCCACGGGTGCCTGTGGACTGCAGGTGGCAGGGGTGGAGGGTGGAGGGTGGATGGCACAACTGATTCCAGACCCTCAGTTGGTGACCTTGGTGTGTGCTGGTCAGGAGCCAGCTGGACCTCATCTTCAGTTGCCATGGCCCTGGCACTTCAATCCAAAAAGGCTGAGGAAGGCCACAGCAAACATGGCATCTAAGAGTAACTCATTAGAAAATAACAGAAAATGAGGTCACTGTCTCATTTGTTTATTCAGACAGGAGCTCAGCCTCCCCACTCCATTCCTCAGCACACTGGCAGATATGAAAATAAGAGTTGCTATGAGATACAAACATCTAGGACATGCATTTTATTCATTCAGTACACATTTTTTGAGGGCTTCTTGTACAGCAAGCTCTGTGTCAGTCACTGAGGATTCCAAGATGAACGTGATAGTGTTCCTACTCTCAAGGAGTTAATCATTGGGAACCTGGACCAGATACAAATAATTACTGCTCAACTCATTGTATGCAGTGCTGTGGGCTCATCCTGGAAATGGGGTTCAGTGATGCCTTCAGGACTTGTGGAAGGTTTCTGGGGCAAGGGGCATTTGAGCTGAGCCTTGAAGGGTGAGTAGAGGTTGATCGTGGAACAAGTCAGGGAAGAGACTTCCAGGCTGTGGGAACAACCTGAGAAAAAGCAGAGAAGAGTGAGGCCTGTGAGGTGCTTGGAGACCCAAGAGTCCACGAGAAGAGAGTCCAAGTGGAGAAGAACCCACTGAAATGGTTGGTGGCTGAGGGTCATGTTGGAAAGGGCGTCCATGCCATGCCAAAAAGTACAGTTTGTCCTGTAAACAGGCTCCACCCAAGGTTTCTTAAGTAGGGGTGTCTTTGTTTTGAAAAGACAAAACACTCCATTGGCAAGGTGGGAAGACTGGTGGGGAAAGAGGCAGGTGGCAGAAAAACCCATTAGGAAATGACTGTCATGTTAAGGGTAGATGAGAAGTACTTGGAAAGGGGAAAGTTGTGGTGTCAAAAGGCATTTCAGAGTAGAAATGACAAATAGAAATGTCAGGTTAGACATGGGAGGAAGGTTGAAAGAACGGAGAAGGATTCCAGGATGGCTCATTTGTGCAGTTAGGCAGATGGTGAGCCCACTGACTGTGGGTTCCAGAAAGATGTCACTGATGCAAGGATTCCAAGTCCATGGAATAAATCTGTTGCCTGCTTTTTCCAGGCTGTGAGGTACTGCCATATTCTAAAGGCATCGACTCAGGCCATGCCATTAGGGGGTGCTGTAGGCATTCCCTTCTCTTCTCTGCTCAATACGGAGGTCGGAAAGACCTGCCAGGGTCATCAGTCAGTTCCAAAGGCCAAAGGCAGTCCTGGACAGCTTGGCAGAGCCCCTTTGCTTAGAAAGCTTTTTACATAAACAGTTTCACATCCCCCAAGACTTGGCACGTTGGTGGACCCCAGGTCAGATTTCCTCTGCAGCTGTGTAGACCTGGGTGGGGGTCTGGAGGATTGGAGGGGATTTTGGAAGTCAAACTGACAAGGGAGAGATCAGGAAGAGAAGGCTCGGCAAACCCATTGCATTCACATTTTTAATCCACAAAGCCATCCAAAGCAAAAACGGTCGACCTCAATGTGACCTCGGGACCCCTCGGAACACAGGCCACCCCAGAAAACATTTTGCAGGTAGCCCAACTTATACTTATTGGGAGTGTCCTTGGCCATCATACTATGTGAGATATTGGAATGGAGGTGACATAAATGTGAGGGGGGACAGCAGAGCCTGGAAAGCAGTAGTCACGGAGGAGCAGGGCTCTCTGGATGGAGGCACGACAGGGTTCAGACACCAGCTCTACCACTGAGATACGGCCTCAGTTTCCTCACAAGGTTGGTGTAAGGATGAACTGAGGGACTGTATGCATGCTGTTTGATACATTTGCAGTGATCCAATCAACCCTTGCAATTGTGGTTACTCTTATTATCGTTATCATCAAGCTCTTCCTGCCTTAGGTTCTGCTTGCCGCCTCCTGGCTCTGGGCCTGGAACACTCTTCTCCTCTGTCTCCCCTGGGGTTGCACACTGTCACACTGGGTTGGGCAGGGGCCCAACCATGCTTCAGCCTCTCATGGCAGCTCTGCAGTGGAGCCAAGCGGGACCTCCCATGCCTGGCACAGTGACCAGTATAAGCTTTCAGGAACTGGTTCTTAGATTACTTTTCTTACATGAATACGTGAATGAATGAATGAATGAATGAACAGAACAAGAGAGTCAGGCTGCACTGAGTGGTGGGCCTCAATCATACTCCAAAAAGGATCAAGCCCTGGAGACCCATTTAGGTAAGGGAGCATCATGAAGATGTCAGAGGTTGGCAGGGGGGTCAGGAACAGGCATTCACACCAACAGGTACCAGGAGCCAGAAATCCCAATCACAGTGACAGGGCTGTAGAGGGTGGAGGGGGTGGGGAGAAGCCAGGGCAGGGCTCCACTTGCCGGGGGGCCTTTACAGCAGAACAAGGGAGAACACTGAGAGCTGGTGACAAACCAGCAGGAAGGATGAACATCAGAATCAACTCAGACACAAAATCAATAGGACTCAGTGACAGAATGGATGGAGATGACCAAAAAGAGGAAGCAGCTAAAGATGCAAACTGTGAGAGAACTCGAATTGTGCTTTCAGTTTCTAGTGCTTATTCTGATGATTGTTATTGAGTTATTTAATGAGGATCAGGAGAAGTGAAGCTTAGCGAGGCCTACTGAAGGGAGAAATGGAGAGAGACCTCAAGCAAGCAAGCTTCCCCCTGTGGCTCTAAGACCTTCCCTTCTGTTCTGGTCTCTTTCACCTGTCCCTTATCCCTTGGTCTGTAACTTCCTTATTAGTAAGAATCTCATCTTATTCGGTTTGGTATCCACTGCATTAGTTATACATTTTCTCATCCATTTCACAAATATTTAATGAGCACCTCTAACATGCAAGGCAGGGTCCAAGGTCCATAACCCAATAAATATGTATTGAATTGATCATGTCATGATATAAAGTCTGCAAGGAGAAGGTCCATGGGAGGATCTAGCAGAGTTTTACCAGGCAGCATCTGGAAAGGAAATGCGGGAAACCTATCACTGTTATGAGACAATTTGGAACTGTAATGTTCCCCACCCTCCCTCCCAAACTGGGGAGACCGAAGAATGACAAGTCCAGCTTGGTGAGTAGATGAGTTTATTTAGGTCTTCCATGTGGGGCACTCCTGGGCAGCAGCAGGACAGCTCTAGAGACCTGCTTTGCCTCACATCGCTAAGCTGCTTTTAAGCTAATTTTCTGGCTCTTCACCTACTGTGTATGTGCCATGGGACTGTTTTCCTTAGTAGGTTTTCAGATATCTTCTAGGATGTTTGGATTCTCAGGGACACCTGCTCCACAGCTGGGCACCATGGCCTTGACTAACTGCCTGGCCTTGAGGGTTCAGACAGTGAACATACACCCTTAAGTAACCTGGTGGGGGACCCATCACACTACAATCAGCAAGGCCTGGGTTGGTTCAAAGGGTAAAGCATTCGATGGAGAAAACATCTGATTCAGAAACACAAGTACAAATCCTAGCATGAAGAATGAGGGGTTGACAATGAGGACTGGGCATTTCATCCGAGACAGAGAGATTTCATTACTATAAAGGAATACCTGAGGCTGGGTAATTTATAAAGAAGAGAGGTTTATTTGGCTCACAGTTCTGAGGGCTGTACAGGAAGCATGGCACCAGCATTGCTTCTGGTCAAGACCTCAGGAAGCTTTCACTCATGATGGAAGGCAAAAGAGGAGCAGGCGTGTCACATGGCGAAAGAGAGAGTAGGAGAGGAGAAGGGGCCGGTCTCGCTCTGTCGCCCAGGCTGGAGTGCAGTGGCACGATCTCGGCTCACTGCAAGCTCCGCCTCCTGGGTTCATGCCATTCTCCTGCCTCAGCCTCCCAAGTAGCTGGGAGTACAGGCACCCGCCACCACGCCCGGCTAACTGTTTGTATTTTTAGCGTAGACGGGGTTTCACCATGTTAGCCAGGATGGTCTTGATCTCCTGACCTCATGATCCACCTGCCTCGGCCTCCCAAAGTGCTGGGATTACAGGTGTGAGCCACCGTGCCCAGCCGAGGCCAGGTTCTTTTAAAACAACTAGTTCTTGCAGGAACGAATAGAACAAGCACTCATTACTGCGAGGATGGCACCAAGCCCTTCATGAGGAATCTGCTCCCATGACCCAAATACCTCCCTCTAGGCCCCACCTCCAACACTGGGGATCAGTTTTCAACAGGAGATTTCGAGGAGACAAACATCCAAACTATATTGTAAGGAATACTGAAATTAAGTAATATACTGGAAGTCTAAAGGTGTAGATCTGTGCTTTAGATGAAGCATTTCTGGAGGAAAAGAATCATTGCGGTGTCTCTAGCCCGACCCCTGCTCCCTTCTGGGTTCCACAGGTACCTCCCCACAGCAGAGGACCGTTTGTCACAGCTCAGGGAGAACAGTGCTTAAGACCATCCTGTTCTCTGGGCTCTGACTCCGTAGCCACCACTCGTGAGATAATGTCCCAAGTAGAAGCACAGTTTGTTCCTGGCACAGGTCCATTTTATGTAGATTTGGCCTGCAACTGCCTTTTCTGGTATACAGACCCTCAGGTGCTTTGCAACTGAAAGTGTGGTCTGGCCTGCAGACCAGCAGCAGCATCTCTTGGAAGCCCAGTGCAGGATTTCAGGGCCCATTCCAGACCTATGAGTCAGAGGGGCATCTAACAAGGTGGTCAGGTGATGTATTTGTATGGTCATACACGAGGAACTGCTGTAGACAAGCTGACTACTGTGGCTGTGGGCTCTAAGAGCAAAGTGGCCAGTCTCTTTGGGCCCTTGGGGATGGGGCTCCTCCTTGGGGTACTTGTGCTGGGTGTGAAATGGAAGGCAGAGATTTGAGGTGTGGGAAAAGAGGAAAGAGACTGTTTGGTCCCAGGGTGCAGAGCCTGCACCACCTGGCCCCCAGCAAGCTTCGTCCTCACTCCTGTCGACTCCCCTCCTTTCACTCTGCATTCCAGTGATGCAGGACTGTTGCAGGTCTCCCCCACCCCCATCAGCTGTGTCACATTCTGTGCCTTTGCTTCTGCTGTTCTAGTTGTCTGGGACACCCTTTACCCTCTCCTTGGTGACTCCTTCAAGCCTCAGCCCAGGGGTCAATTCCTAGGAATCCACCCTAGTCATTCAGGCAGAAGGAAGCATCTTTCCTCTAGGCCCACTCCTCCATCACAGCAAGGTGGCCACCATGTTAAACTGTACCCACACCCCGCACTAAACTGTAAACTCCTCAAGAGCAGAAGCTAAGATTTACACTCTCTATACTCTAGGATTAACATAGTATCTCCATAATATTGGATGACTACATTATAGGTACTCAATAAACATTTATTAGATGAATGGTTGGTTGGATGGATGGATGGATGGATGGATGGATATTTGTCAAACACAAATAAGAGAAGTGAGCTTCCAATGGATGCAGCAGATGTTAATTATCCATTTACTTTTCTGTTTTACTCACTAAATAGCATGCTGCTAAGGGCAGACCATATCCTATTTCTGTTTGCACTTTATGGACTTACCAGATAGCCTATAAATGTGGGTTCAGCAAATGAATGAAAAATGAATGAAGTATAGCACAGTGCTTACGAACTCTGGAGCCAGACTGTTGGGGTTGGAATCCTGACTCTACCACTTGCTAGCTGTGTAACTGAGCAAGTCATATACCTCTCTGTGCCTCACTTTTCTCTTCTGTAAAATTGTGATTATAATAACAATTTATAATTGTTTTTGTGATTATAATAGCCATATAATTATATATATATAATATAATAGCCATATAATAGCCAATAATTGTGATATAATAATAGCCATAGGGTTATTATGATGCATTTAAACTCATATAAAAAGTGCATGGAAAAGCATTGTTGTTGCTGTTGACGTTGCAACAAGCATGGGTGGATGTGAATGGTGCTGAGTCTACCCGAAAGTAAGTTAGCTGGTTCCTTAAGAGGCTGAGCAATAGGCTGGAATAAAGGCTCAGGCCCCAATAGAGGATCCAGAGTTCTGGATCCAGACCTAACCCTGCCCATTCCCCATACACTCAGCCCAGGAGGGTATGCCTTGTGCCCACTGACCACTCATCCATCCACCCTCCCTCTCTCTTCCCCCTTTTCTGCAGGAAAATGTCTCTCTGATCAAGGAAATTAATGAGCTCCGCAGGGAGCTGAAGTTCACTCGGTCCCAAGTCTATGACCTTGAAGCAGCTCTGAAACTGACCAAGAAAGTCCGACCACAAGAAGTTTCAGAGACAGGTAATATCACCAGTGGCCAGGGGAGATGGGCACTGGGACGAAGGGATTGATGGCAGCTGCAGGCAGGTCTCCCTTTGGCTTCCTTCTGTATCAGGTCCCATCTACACATGGCCTTCTGGGATCCTGTCCGGGGCACACACCTGCTCTTTGAGGAATCCATGAGGGCCTTCCCACACTCCGACACACACAGGTCCACAGTCCCCTGGCTGACATCCTTGAGGTTAGCTACCGTTCAGAATGCAGACTCTTTTAGATTTTAGAAAGCGAATACTTTATATAACATTCCCAGAGGGGTCTGGGGCAGTGCCCTAAAATCAAACACTTTAGTATTTCTGTAGTGACATATGAATATTCACACTAAGCTTCCTGAATTTAAAAAAGCACTCTGTTTTTAGATCTTCTTGCATTTTAGAATAGTGAATAAGGGATTGTGAACCTGTACAATTAAAATGAAGACAAAAAGCAAGATGAGGAGCTATTTAAAGGAAGAGGGGAAATAATTACATAAATATTAAATGAGTCAGTTACTGCAATTATATCCTAAAGTTCCTCTGAATTTCTGACGGCCAAGGCAAAAAGAGAAACAAAGAAATATGATCGTTTATATCATGCTCATTGTATGGCAAAAGGGAGCTTTTTTTCTGGAGAAACAAACGTTTCCCTGGCAATAAATTCTCTGAGAAACTTACCACATGGATCCTTACAAAAGGAATGTGGAGTAACAATGAACAGCCTTTAATTACATATGCCGCTTTCAGGCCCCAAAGAAGCATTTTTCAAGTATCCACTCCTTATCTGGACAATCGATAAAAACCAAGAGATTAAGGCATCTCTATGGCAAATTAAGCCAACATGGTTCAAGTTTTTGTTTTCTGGTGGTTTACATTAAGGAATAAAGATTAGAGGCTTGAACTGAAACATCCCATAGCTATGGATTGGGTCTCTGAAGTGTCAGTTGTCTCTTGTCCCATGGTCACATAAGCTTATGATGGGGAAAAGTGGCTGAAAGGTACACAGGAACCTTGTACTATTTTTGCAACTTATTGTTAGTCTTCAACTATATAACTATATACATTTAATTACAAAATTAAATACATATATAAGATTTTATGTATATGTATATAATTTTGTTGTCTTGTGCACTTTTGGCTAGGGTTGAAGTTGAAACAAGAGTAAACCCTGAGTAGTACCTGAAGTGGCAATACCAGGCCTACAGGGTTGATGTGAGAGCATAGCGTGTGTCATAAAGACTGAGATACTTGGGGCCAGGTGCGGTGGCTCACATCTGTAATCCCAGCACTTTGGGAGGCCGAGGCAGGCAGATCACAAGGTCAAGAGATCGAGACCATCCTGGCCAACACTGTGAAACCCCGTCTCTACTAAAAATACAAAAATTAGCTGGGCGTGGTGGCGCGGGCCTGTAGTCCCAGCTACTCGGGAGGCTGAGGCAGGAGAATCACTTGAACCTGGGAGGCAGAGGTTGCAGTGAGCTCAGATTGCACTACCGCACTCCAGCCTGGACAACAGAGTGAGACTCCATCTCAAAAAACAAAAAACAAAAAAACAAAAAAACCTGACATGCTTGACTTCTCAGAGGTGAAACCATCTTCTCTTGAAAATAAAGCACAGATGTGAACAATTGCAAAACTTCTCTTAAAAAATGTTTCAGGCCAGGCGCCGTGGCTCACATCTGTAATCCCAGCACTTTGGGAGGCCAAGGCGAGCGGAACGCTTGTGCCCAGGGTTCAAGACTAGCCTGGGCAACATGGCGAAACCACATCTCTACAAAAAATACAAAAATCAGCCGGGCATGATGGCATATGCCTGTAGTCCCAGCTATTCGGGAGGTTGAGGTGTGAGGATTTTAGAGTAAAATTGATCACCTGAACCTCAGAGGTTCAAGGCTGCTGTGAGCCATGATCACGCCACTACACTCCAGTCTAGGTGACAGAGCAAGACCCTGTCTCAAAAAAAAAAAAAAAGTTTTAAATATGTCCAAGTATCCTAACAAATATTCATTTGAGACCTCCTCAGGATGCCATGTGATATAGCCAGGGTCTTCATATTACTATCTTGGAGATTTCCAGACATATACAAAAATTGAGAGAGAAGTCTAATCAATTCCTGGGACCCCAGTCCCCTACTTCCAACAAATATCAACTCCTGTCACTTGTGATTCATCAACATACCCCCACCCCGACCCAGAAGCCAGAGTGGTGAACCTAGAAGAAATCCAATGTATGCCACAAAACCCTCAAAAGGCTCAGGAATGATCAGAAGCAGATATCTCTGGAGGTGGAAGTGAAGGTAGGGCTGAAAACAGAAAAAAATCTGTTTAAGAAGCTGTTAGATCCACCTACTATCCAACACAGTGGCTAAAAACAGACCCACATCAAGTCCATCATCTTGAAATTTCAGAACACCAGAGTATGAGGAAAGAACTCCTCCAGACTTCCAAAGGAGTTAAGGAAAATTTTTATACAAAGGATCAAAAATCACAATTACAGGATACAAAATCAATGCACACAAAAATGTTGCAATTTTTATATACTAACAATGTACTATCCAAAACGGAAATTAAGAAAACAATTGCATTTACAATTGCATCAAAAAGAATAAAATACTTGGGAATAAATTTAACTGAAGAAGCAAAAGACTGAACACTACAAAACATTGCTGAAAGAAATTAAATACCAGTAAGTGGTGGATTGGAAGACTTGTCGTTAAGATGTCAGTACTACCCAAAGTGATCTGCAGATTCACTGCAATCCCTATAAAAACCTCAATGACATTTTTGCAGAAACAGAAAAATCCATTCCAAAATTCATATGGAATATCAAGGTACCCTGAATAGCCAAAACAATCTTGAAAAAGAAGAACAAGGTTGGAGGTCTCATACTTTCTGATTTCACAACCTGCAACAAAGCTATAGCAATCAAAACAGTGTGATACTGGCGTAAAAACAGACATACAGACCAATGAAATAGAATATAGAGGCCAGATATAAACCCTCAAATAAATGGTCAAGTGATTGTCAACAAGGGTACCAAGATCATTTAGTAGGGAAAGGACAGTCTTCTCAACAAGTAGTGTTGGGAAAACTGGATATACACATACAAAAGAATTAAGGTAGACACTTACCTTACACCATATACAACAATTAACTCAAAATGAATCAAAGATCTAAACAGAAGAGCTAAAACTATAAAACTCTTAGAAGAAAGCATAGAGGAAAAGCTTCATAACATTGGATTTGGCAATTATTTATTTGGCGAATGACACAAAAAGCACAGGCAACGAAATAAAAAATAGATAAGTTGTTTGTGAGATTTGCAGCAATGTAAGCAATGCAGGCATGTATGTGAGATTTGGCTCCATACTAAATCTGGCATCATGCTTAATTGTATTAAAAACCTGAACATATTTTGTTTTCGAGTACATACATGACGGCCCATCAGTGATAAACAGCTTGAGATTAAAAATTACTAGAAAGTCTCACCTTTTTTATTACTACTTAATCCAAGTGAATGTCACTTTAAATTAGTTTGAGAGAAATTCTAATCAATATAATTTCCTTAAGGACAAGGCCAATGTTTCCTGAACATTAAAACTTTGTACCCATATCACAGTTCTTCTTCATTAAAGGAAAAGATCTAAAACCAACACAAACTATTGATTCAAGTGACTCACACTAGAAACAAACACCACTCAAACAGTTCCACTTTCATCCACCTCTCCAAACAACAATATATAATGTACTATTTCTGTTCAGAACTTATAAAAGCCTTCCACTAGAAACTAAAGAACATGGATGATTTTATACATATGCATACACAAGCAAAACACAAAAGAGAACAAACAGCAAACAAATAAAAATTAGAAGCAAAACAAACAGGAAACCAACCCCAACATTTCCCCACTCAGTCTACCCTGGAGACTACCATGTTACCCAGAGCCCAAAAAACCACATGATGAATATTTTATTCTTCATACACAATTCAATATCCTTAAGTCCACCAATATCACCATACATCCTGTGCAATCAAGAAATTCACCCTAGGTACATGACCTATTAGTAAGTACTCCAGTGCCAGCACTATTGATGCAAAACAGCAAACATAGTGTGAAGCAATACAGGCATGTATGTGAGATTTGGCTTCACACTAAATCTGGCTTCATGCTTAACTGTATTAAAAAAGAACTGCCAAACCGCCAATGCATTTGTTTAAAATATTTCTTATTTTGCCTTCATCAAGACTAAGAATTTTAACTATGAAAGTGTTAATTATCCAAATTTCTCCAATTCTTTATAAGGTTTTAAAGAATATTTTATTATCTAAACTTTCTAATTTCTCTGTATGTGCAAAGAAACAAACAAACGAAAACTACATATGACTTACACAGACCATGCGTGACATGCTTAAGCTTTCCATCCAGTCCCAGATTTTATTCTTCTTCATTTTTCTTTAAAGAACCAGTCATTTGGCCAGGTGCGGTGGCTCATGCCTGTAATCCCAACACTTTGGGAGGCCAACGTGGGTGGATCACGAGGTCAGGAGATCGAGACCATCCTGGCTAACATGGTGAAACCCTGTCTCTACTAAAAATACAAAAAATTAGCCGGGCGTGGTGGCAGGCACCTGTAGTCCCAGCTACTCGGGAGGTAGCCACTCAGCTACTGAAGCAGGAGAATGGCGTGAACCCAGGAGGCAGAGCTTGCAGTGAGCCAAGATTGCACTGCTGCACTCCAGCCTGGGTGACAGAGCAAGACTCTGTCTCAAAAAAAAAAAAAAAAAAAAAACAGTTATTTTGCTCCAGGACAAAAATTCATCATACAAAATTCTTTCTCATACAAACTTACTATCTTCTCTTTATAACCTTCCTTACCAAAAAATATATCTTCATATCCATAACTTTCTTCACATCTCTCTCCCCTACATTGTTTCATAAAAAAATTTTCTTTTTTTTTTTTTTTTGAGACAGAGTCTCGCTCTGTCGCCCAGGCTGGAGTGCAGTGGCGCAATCTCGGCTCACTGCAAGCCCTGCCTCCCGGGTTGACACCATTCTCCTGCCTCAGCCTCCCTCGTAGCTGGGACTACAGGCACGTGCCACCAGACCTGGCTAATTTTTTTTTGTATTTTTAGTAGAGATGGGGTTTCACCATGTTATCCAGGATGGTCTTGATCTCCTGACTTCGTAATCTGCCTGCCTCAGCCTCCCAAAGTGCTGGGATTACAGACATGAGCCACAGTACCCGGCCATAAAAAAATTTTCATGTCCATAATTTGAATTAACTTTTAATAACTTCTAAATTAGACAAAATTATTTTTTTCTCACTAATAACATCTTTTGGCCCATTTCATATACAGAATTATATATTAACTATAATTATTATCCTTAATAACCTTAAATTTTAGTGAAACCCTAAAAAGCAAGAAATCCTGAACTATCAGATATGAGCATTTTATACATGAGAACAATTCCACAACTTTTAGAAACATATTTCTCCATATCATAACCTTTTTTTAATTTTATTTTTTGAGATGGAGTCTCACTCTGTCACCCAGGCTGGAGTGCAGTGGCGTGATCTCGGCTCAGTGCAAGCTCCGCCTCCCGGGTTCATGCCATTCTCCTGCCTCAGCCTCCCGAGCAGCTGGGACTACAGGCACCCACCACCACTCCCAGCTAATTTTTTTTTTTTTTTTTTTGTATTTTTAGTAGAGACGAGGTTTCACCATGTTAGCCAGGATGGTCTCGATCTCCTGACCTTGTGATCCACCCACCTCGGCCTCAGCCTCCCAAAGTGCTGGGATTATAGGCGTGAGCTGCCGTGTCCAGCCCATAACCCTTTCTTAATTGGAAATGACCCAGATACCCACATAGCCAATGAGCATCAAAAATAATTTTAAGATTTTAAGTTACACAAAAAGTTTACCTAAAACATTTATCCCATTGACATGTATTTGGTTTCTTCATTTTTAACAGTTTATCTAGATTACTTCTGAAAACTGAGATATTAGACACAATTATACAAAGTTAGTTATTTCCTTCTTAACCATTTCTTTTTTTTTTTTTTTTTTTTTTTTTTGAGATGGAGTCTTGCTGTGTCACCCAGGCTGGAGTGCAGTGGCGCGATCTCGGCTCACTGCAACCTCTGCCTCCCGGGTTCAAGCAATTCTCCTGCCTCAGCCTCCCGAGTAGCTGGGACTACAGGCACACGCCACCACACCCAGCTAACTTTTTTTTTTTTTTTTTTTTTTTTTTAGTAGAAATGGGGTTTCACCGTGTTTGCCCAGACTGGTCTCGAACTCCTGAGCTCAGCCAATCCGCCCACCTCGGCCTCCCAAAGTGTGGGGATTACAGGTGTGAGCCACTGCGCCTGGCCCAACCATTTTCTTAATAGCCAGTGAACATCAGGTGCTCACCTAAATAAGAGGCTCAAAGTTAAATACATAGATATTTTTGCCAATAACTCAGAAGATTCACCTAACAACATTAAATTAGTCTCATCTGTCAAAGAAGGCATACCAAAATCATTTTGTTTTGGCTAGATTAACAGCTTTATAACCTTCTATGCCAAACACTGAAACCTCAAAATATCTAGCAGAGACATATATAAAACCCAAACAAAAATGTATGCTGACAATTTCATTCTACCAATAATTTTAAAGCCGGTTTGTTTAGTAAAGATTTACATAAGTCACGTGAACTTGAAAATTGCTTGGACTTTTTCACCTAACGTATGAGTGCTCTTTTACTTATAAGCCAGTTTGGTAGACACAACATGTAACAATAAGTGTACATACAAATAGACACATACAAGTAGACACACACACAAACGAAAATCCAATAATTTTACCTTAGAACTCTAGCCATGAAATGCCAATACAAGCGTACTGGTTTTACATGGTTATACGTTGTTTGCCCCAATAGTTAATCCAGTGAAGAATGTGAACCAAAATTTTGGGTAAAGCAGTGTCCATGGCAGTTTGATTTTTAAAGGCCAAACTTCCCCGGACTCCAAAGAACACTGGGGCTAAACAGCACCGAAGGAAAACATCACATATTAACCAGGCCCAACTCTGCTTAGAACAGCAGCACAAAAGCCTGGATCCATGCAACTCCATCCCACTTTTCCATTCAGCAGCAAAGTCCAGATTCCAAACAAGATTGGGGCCAAATAGTATTGCAAAAGAATATCAAGTTGGCTAAATTCTGATTTCCCATGACTATATCAAACACACACAATCACCAAAACACTATCCAACTGCTGCAGCAACAAACAAGCCCCTAGTGTCCAAACTGAAACAGCCAGAGTGCACCCTTTCTCTACTGGTTGGGCTTGATCGACCTGCAAATGGAAATTCCATAAAGAATTTCCCAAATTGAGAGGAGCTGATCCCACTGTCTGGTACCCAAAAGAGACACTCACTTGCCGGGACACAACACACAATTACAAACAAGTCCTCAAGAGTGTCCATACTGAAACAGTCAGGGTGCTTCCCTCTCAGTCAGTTGGTCTTGTTCCACCTACAAATGGAAATTCCTTTAAAATTTTCCCAAATTGAGAGGAGCAGATGCTGCTCACCTATCTGTGTACAGATGTCAAATTTCAAAGGCAGTTCTTCCAAGGCAATCAGGAACAAAGTTGGGGCTGGCTGTGGCAGGGCCAGAGAGAGACGGAAATTCACCTCCAGCCAAAATTAGGTGGGCAGCTGCTTAGGAGGGCTTCTGAGACTCCCAGACCACAGCAACCGAGCTGCCATGAGCAAGACATTCCCGGTCAAGGAAACAAAATATATTGCTGAAACACCAGGAGTTTGGTCAAGGTCCTGGTGCTTGCAGCATAGAAAGCCAATCACTGGGAGGACAAGTATTACCAAGGAAGAAGGCTTTAATCAGGTGCTGCAGCCAAGGAGATGGGAGCTCAGTCTCAAATCCATATCTCTGACTGACTAAAACGGGGAGGGTTTATATACCAGGGAAGAAATATTACATGGGTAAGAAAACAAGAACTAGGGAGGGGCCAAGGGCCACCCGGTGCAGTGATCTGGTGAGTTTCAGTTCTTTGACATTTCCTTTTTAAGGAGCCTGAAGGTCCTTTCCTGAAGAACGAACTCAGATAAAACAAATACAGGTTTCAGGCTTTAAGAGAAGAAGGGTAAATTTCTATGTTTATTCAAAAACAACTGTCTATGGAACTATTGAGACAGTTTCATTAGCAATATGGACATATAAAATTTCACAAATGAAAAAACAAAGCAATTATTAACTTTAGGAAACACAAATTATTGTATGGAAAAGAGAAATGAATCATTGTATACTACATGGCTCAACTGTGACCAGCAATTATATAAATCATAATTAAATTCTGACTATTGATCTACTCAAAATTAGGAGGATGAAAGGACGGGAATTTGCAGGGGCAGGGGAAGGTGCTGAAGGAAAGCTAAATCCTCGTCTTTCATAGAGAGAAGTCAATAGAGAATGCCTAAAAATGATAAGTCAAAGAGGCAACGTAAGTACATTAATCAAAGCAGAGTATGGAAGTAGATATAAAGGAATTAGCTAAACTAATTGAAATTGTTGCCTCTGAGGATTGAGAAATTGAATGGAATGTAGAATAAGAGATACTGTTCTTTGTAATAAGCCTTATAGAGTTATTTGACTATGAGCATATATAATTTTCATAAATAAATTAATAAAATATTAGGAAAACTTTGCTTTCCTTCCAGTTTACTATTGCAGGCACATTTTTATTTTTCTCCCCTTATGCATATGGGAAAACTGACAAGGATATCTGTTTTAAAAACAAAGAAAAGAAAAGAAAGAGTCAAAGCAAAATAGAACGAATTAAGAAACTAAAGGTTGACTAGAGGAGAAAACTTATCTTGCATAAGAAGATGGGTGAGAAACTGTTTGTGTCAATCTTGGCTCTGGATGAAGGAAAGAAAAAACTTCAGACAAGGTCTCTGCATGACAATTTCTAACCAAAAGTCCCTACTCAGACAAGTTTTAGTCTAGAATTTGCATTCAATTTGTGGCTTAAGGCGATCTTGGCTGAAAATTTACCTTAAAAGGACCCCACAGTAGTAGTGTCCCTAGGCCCCAAGCAGAAGCAAATGCAAATTTTCTCTGGAGGAGTACCTTTTAAATATAGGCTTCAAAGAATTCCCATAAATAGTGTTCTGAGGAACATGAGCTCACAATCAAAAGTCATTAAATACTTGAAAAAATAAACCACCAGAAGTGAAAATCAACAACAACAAAAAAATCAAACTACAGAATAAAACCAACAAAGACTCATAGCTAGTATGATTATTAAAATAAGAAAATTTCATGTCTGAAAAAATAAAAAAGGAATTTGAAAATAAGACAAAAAAGCAAAAGTCTTCCAAAATTGCATAGGCAGATTTGAAAAGGAACCAAATAATACTTCTAGAAATGAAAACTATTATAATTAGAAGCTCAATGGACAGATTGAACAGTAGATTAGACACATCTGAAGGGGGAATTTGTGAGCTAAAAGAATAAATTGCCCAGATTGCAGCCCAGAGAGATAAAGATATAGTAAAAGACAAAGAGGAGGGAGTGGGATAATGCAATGTATGTCTAATTGAAGTTTGAGAAAGAAAGAATGAGGAGAGGCAACATTACAATAAGGTACAGCCAAGAGTTTTTCCAGAATTGATGAAAGATGCCAATCATCAAATCCAGGAAGCCCAGTGGATCCCAAGCAGGGCGCATGGGACAGGAGGACAGGGCAACTAGAACACTGAGGGTGCTGTTGGGAAGATGGAGGAAGAAACTCACTGGGGTCTAGCTGGCCAGAAAAGGGAGTAAATCTAAAAGGAGCCAATTTGGTAGGCAAGAAATTGAGTTGTCCAGGAAGAGAGGGTTCTCAGTTCAGTCCAAGATCATGTGTGTCATGCACAGAGCAGTTACAGCAGTTGTGGTCAGAGAACAGTGCTAGAGTGAAAGACCTAAAGCATGGCATCAGGGGAAGCCACAGGAGTGGGTGCTGGCATGGCGTGGAGGCCAAGGTCACTAATGCTGCAAGTTCAGCCTTGCGGGGCAGGGGTGAGCCGTGGACCCTGGTGGACACTGCCATTGCCCAGGATGATGCCAGCACCTGAGACAGGGAGGATGACTCAGGGGAGAAAGTTCTCAAGGAACAAGGTATGAGTGGACACACCTGGAGAGGCACGAAGGGGTCTGTCTCCAGGAGCAGGGGTTTTGCACAAGGAGAAAGACTGGCAGTTCAGAAGCCAACATAGGTCAGGAGAAGAGTGCCATCCTGCTAGGATGTGGAGAATGGGAGAAGGGGCAGCCTCCATGGGTGGGGGCCTCTGTGCAGGCGGATCTGGGGGCTCAGGAGAGGGGCTGGGCTGGGGTGGTTCTCAGTATTCACCTCATCACTCTGAAGTATGCTGCTTCACTTCTCCATCTCTCTGCGAGACAGCAAAATGGCTTATCACTGTACCTCCAGCATCTGGGATTGAGTGCTCCACAGTAGGTGCCCAATAAATGTTTGAGGAAGCAGGGAGGGAGGAGGGGAGGATCGGCTCTGCAGCAGTGCAATGGACAGGCCCACATGAGTCCTGTTGTCTCTTACAGAACCCAGCAGGGACATGCTCAGCACAGCTCCCACCGCAAGGTTGAATGAGCAAGAAGAAACTGGGAGGATCATTGAAATGCAGCGCCTAGAAATCCAGCGCCTCAGAGACCAGATCCAAGAGCAAGAGCAGGTCACAGGGTTCCACACCCTCGCTGGAGTTCGGCTTCCTTCCCTCTCCAACTCCGAGGTAGACTTAGAGGTGAAGACCAACTGACCCCCTCTGGTGAGCCATCTCCAGCCACAGCCAGAAGAAACACAGCATGTCTGTCCCCAAGCCAGACTTGCGGTTGGAGTCTGTATGGTCCCTGCAGCACTGACCCCAGCAACCTCTTTCTCTTGCCCTGGGGAATTTGGGACACAGAATAAAGGTGTTTGCCCACACCTTGTCTAACTTCTGCTTAGCTGGGGGGCCAAGGCCAGAAGAGGGAAAGAGAGGAGGCTGAGGACTGGGGGCTCCAGCTCATCTGAAGCCACCTCTGCTTGTCCCTTTCTGGGCACAGGACTGCCTGGCACTGAGAGATCACACTGGACTTGGGCTCTCTCCTCTGCCAGCTCAGGCAGGACCAAAGCCTGTTCATTCCTATCTCCTTCAGGAAATGCAGCGAGGCTTTCTAAGGACTTTTTTTTTTTTTTTTTTGAGACGAGTCTCACTCTGTCGCCCAGGCTGGAGTGCAATAGCGCAATCTCGGCTCACTGCAAGCTCCACCTCCCAGGTTCACGCCATTCTCCTGCCTCAGCCTCCTGAGTAGCTGTGACTACAGGCGCCCACCACTACACTCAGCTAATTTTTTGTATTTTTAGTGGAGACGGGGTTTCACCATGTTAGCCAGGATGGTCTCCATCTCCTGACCTCGTGATCCGCTGGGATTACAGGTGTGAGCCACCGCACCCAGCCACACTCAGCTAATTTTTGTATTTTTAGTGGAGACGGGGTTTCACCATGTTGGCTAGGTTAGTCTCGAACTCCTGACTTCAAGTGATCCACCTGCCTTGGCCTCCCAAAGTGCTGGCATTACAGGCGTGAGCCACCATGCCCAGCCTCTGAGGGTTTTTTTTTTTTTTTAATCTGTGTAAAGAAGAAGGAAAAGATGACAGTAAAATAACAGACATGGGAAGTGTTGGAAAAATTCCCCAAAGTCTTACATTATCTGCTGACCCTGTTCTTGGAACTGTAAGTAGAGCCCTGCCCTCATTTCCCTTGCCTCCATGTCATTCTAGACTTGTCATCTTTGTTCTGCAGGGTCCTGCTCTGCTCCTCCATTTCTGGAGTGAGAGAGGATGCACTTCTCCCTCTGGTTATTCCTCTCAGGCGCCATCCTGGGAGACCCAGCCACACACAGGTACCAGGAGAGATAGTTCTTTATGCATTAAAGAGCAAAAGAATATAATCCAATGTCCCTCTCTTCTCCCACATGCAGAAGCCAGATGCCCCTCTAATACCCAAATAAGAAATATTTAAGCCCACAGTCCCTGCTCGTCCCTGCTGGTCACCTATGGCTGTCTTAAACCTGGCATTGTCCCATCTTTCCCTAATCACTTTACTGAAAGTCTGGGCACTGCTCATGGGTTGACTTTCACAGAGAGCTGAGGCTTGGCAGTCACATTTGGCAAGGTCTCCCAAAGGCTGGTGTAGCAGAAGGAGCATGCAGGCAAAGGCCTTGGAGCAAAGGGTTCCACAGGGTCTGCAGGAGACTCTGTCTGCTGAGCAACAACCCCGACCCAGCCTGCACCCTGTCACAGCAGCCAGCCCCTTCCCCCCTGCTGGCATGTTCTTCACATGTACTCGCCCCACTGGGAAGCCAGATCCAGAGAGCAGGGAAGGATCCAGGCACCCCCAGAGAGGTTCAGCTGCAAAGATGACAGCCCATTACATTATTATGATGGGTAGGTGGGATCTTCCAGGACCCAGATTCCTCCACTCCAAACTAGCATGCTGGCTTCACCTTTGAAGAAGAAACGGACTTGAAATGAGACTGGGGATGAGGGGCCAGCAGGGGCAGATTGTGCAGGACCGTGAAGGCACACAGAAGCTGTGGGCCACCCAGAGGCCAATGCTAAGCCGCTGGGAGTCACCGCCACTGCTCACCAAGCTCTTGCCACATTGGCGTCCTTTCAGTTCGTACAAGAGGCCGAGGTCTTTCCTGCCTTCATCTCTTTCCACATACAGTTTCCTCTGCCCCCTCTGCTCTTGCCCCCACACCTCACTTTGTGAACTTCTATTTATCCTTTAGATCTCACCTTAAAGGGCACTTCTTCAGAAAGGCAGTCCTTGACTCCCTCCTATCTAAACTGCACCCACCACATCGTTTTTCTTCTTAATCATCACGGTAACATGTCTGTCTAGTTGCTTAATATTTGTCTGTCCTGCTAGGAGAGTTCTACAGGGTAAGGGATGCAGTAGTGGACACAAGGGATGTTGTGGTTGCCCAGGTGAAACAGGACAGTGGCTTGGACCAGGATGATGGCAGTGGGGAGGAAGACACGTGAACTCTTCGGACTTAAGGACTGGTGAGGGTTAGCCAAACCAAGGTGCATGGAGCAGGGGCCTGGGAAGAAGAAAAATGCACTAGAGACTGGAGCTTTCCTGAAGACCAGAAGGAAATTCTTAATGGCTAGGACATATCAATATTCAAGTGATAGATTTTTTAACTGCAAAATGACTTAGAATCGAGATGTCACATTCCACGTACAAGATGGACCTTGGTTCTCAGACAAGGAAATCCAAACCAAAGAGGAGTAAAGTGACTGGCACGTAGTCACACAGGCAGGGGTGGGGCTGCAGGCCAGTCGGCCCAGTGACTCCAAAGGTGCTGCTCTTACGCACTGCACTGGAGAGATGCCCAAACAAAACACTGTAGGCCAAGTGAAGGTTATAGGAACTTGAAACCCTGAGAGTCTAAATCAGAAGTTAAAGGAGTGGAAACTCCCAGGCTAAGCTAACCTAAGCCTAACCTAAACCTGGATGCTGTCCAGCTGGTGAGGAGGAAGTATGGGCCAAGGGAGGGCCCCACCCTAGCAGAACCTGGCACCTTGGCCAGCAGGTCAACAAGGTCTTTTCTTGGCTGCACAGGGGTGCACACAGCTTCTTGTTAGTAAATGTAGGGCCAGAGGTTCAATCTTGCTTATGTCTCCATGTTCTGTCTTCAGTGCTTGCTCCTAATCCACCCATCGGGAGGCATTGGTTCTCTAGCATCTGAGACCTCCCTCTACTTTTGTCTATCCAGACTCCGTGGGGAAACTGAAGGCATTCACCCCATTGGTGCCCCCTTTTCCTTCACGAGTCTCTTCATCCAGTTTACTGCTTCAGCCCCGACAGTGCTGGAGTGGGCCTAGCAGTCACCTCCTCCTGTAAGCAGCCTTAGGGCCCCTGCTGGTCACTCAAGTGACTAGGCATTGGCACACAGACTCCACTCTTGCTCTCCCGGTTGCAGTCCATCATTGAGCTCTAGGTACTCATTCAATTCTGGTGTGATGACTGGTGCCTTTGGGGAGTGCTGTGCCTCTTTGGTATAATAGCCTCCAGAATTCCTCACTGGGCCCTCTCACCTTCTAGAGTTTTGGCATCAGCTGTGGCCAAGCAGTGTGGGCTACCTAGCTGAGGCTCCCCTGGTGTCCTGCTATCTCAACACTGAAAAGCCTGCCCTACAGAAGGTTCTAGCATCACTGTCCTGCTTCTTATACAAAATATGGCCAGCCATTGCTGGTCCCAGGAGGTACCTGAGGGCCTGGGAACATCTGTGTGCCCAGGCAGGACCCCCTTATAATCATTCCTCTGCATTCGGAGTGAGAAGTGAAAGGGAAGACATCTTAGGGCCAGGAACGGGGGTTCACTCTTTCTGAACTCCCATGGGGTGAGCTCTCCTAGACCACTGGGGTTCAAGGGCCTACTTAGGCTTCAAGCATGTCTAAGATGTGCCCAGACTGCCCTGAGCTGAGGTAGGCTGGGGAGCAGATTTCCAAGAAAATAAGCCTGCCCTGTGCACCTGGAAGCAGGAGGGACTAGCATGACTAATCACCTACGATGACCAGTAGAATACAAGAATTTGTATATGTTGCTCGTCTGCTATGTGTCACATGGTGGGATTTGGCAGGGGCTACAAATAGGAATTAGTGCTAGCCACCTAATGCATGTATTAATATATTAAGTGTATTATAAGTGGAACTATGAGAATGTTAGGGAAACACCCGAGGTTTGGTCCAGGTCCTGCTGCTCACCACACGGAAAGCCAATCACTGAGAAGACAAGTATTGCCAAGGAAGAAGGCTTTAATCAGGTGCTGCAGCCAAGGAGATGAGAGCTCAGCCTCAAATCTATCTCCCTGACTAAAACTAGGGGTTTATGTTACCAGGGAAGAAATGTAACAATGTGTAAGAAAACAAGGACTACAGAGGGGCAAGGAGGCATCTGGTGCAGTGATCTGGTGAGTTTCAGTTCTCTGATACTTTTTTTAAAGGTCCTTTCCTGAGGAAGGAACTCAGATAAAACTAATACAAGTTTCAAGCTTTAACAGCAGAAGGATCAATTTCTATGTTCCTCCAAAAGAACAGTCTGTGGGAGTCTTGGGCCAGTTTCCGTGCTCACTTTCTATTTGTCAATTGCTCAATCATGAGGAATCTGGCTGTCGATCTTCCTGGCTGCTTCATGCTGAGGAGGGGTGTCATAGGCAGCTCCATACCATGAGTGACCATGTGGCCACTGAGGAATCAAAGATTAAGCTAATATAGAGTTTTCTTCTGAAACACAATCTTTCTGTCTCCAGTCTGCCACTTCCACCAAAGACGAATCACAGCAGGACCAATCTACCTGCAAGATAGGCTTCGGTCCCGTATGCTTGACCTGATTATCTACACGAAGTGCAGCAAGAATCATTGCCAACATAAGCTCTCCAAAATTGGCTTTGCTGGAACCTATCATAAGGCCATTTCAGTCAAAGCACTGGGAAAATAACCAGTTCCTCCAAGTGTGTCCCATTACAAAAGAAAACAGGTTCTTATTAAATGTATGAAAAGAAACACATTGCCATGAATTAAGAATATTCGGCTGGGCACGGTGGCTCATGCCTGTAATCCTGGCACTTTGGGAGGCCAAGGCAGGCAGATGACGAGGTCAGGAGATCGAGACCATTCTGGCTAACATGGTGAAACCCCGTCTCTACTAAAAATACAAAAAAATCAGCTGGGTGTGGTGGCAGGCACCTGTAGTCCCAGCTACTCGGGAGGCTGAGGCAGGAGAATGGCATGAACCCAGGAGGCAGAGCTTGCAGTGAGCCGAGATCACGCCACTGCAGTCCAGCCTGGGTGACAGAGTGAGACTCTGTCTCAAAAAAAAAAAAAAAAAAAAAAAGTACAAAGAAAGCCGAGCACGGTGGCTCATGCCTGTAGTCCCAGCACTTTGGGAGGCAGAGGCAGGTGGATCATGAGGTCAGGAGATCGAGACCATCCTGGCTAACATGGTGAAACCCCATCTCTACTAAAAATTTAAAAAAAAAATCAGCCGGGCATGGTAGTGGGCCCCTGTAGTCCCAGCTACTTGGGAGGCTGAGGCAGGAGAATGTTGTGAACCCAGGAGGCAGAGCTTGCAGTGAGCCGAGATCATGCCACTGCACTCCAGCCTGGGCAACAGAGCAAGACTCCATCTCAAGGACAAAAAAAAAAAAAGAATATTCACAAATAGTTTCCATATTCTGGAGAAATTAGGCAGCGAGAGAAACATGTTTCAAATTCTGCTTACAAAAGTATACTCAATACACTTAAAGTATATTTCAAGGATATAAATAACTCAAAAGAAAAAAATTCTCCAGACTCTGAAAAACAAAAGGAATCGGCAATATTTCAAACAACAAAAGCCATTAAAAAATTATTTCAGTCCCTTATTAGTTCAGTCCATGCAATCAACTCCTGCTCTGCCTCATATTGGGATATGAACACATTAGCCTTTCAATAAGGGCCCTGAAAGTTTTCTCTCTAATCCAATGGCACAATCTCCAAAGTTATCAGAAACCTGCTTTCAAGAGTGCAGTGTGGCACCATCTTGGCTCACTGCAACCTCCACCTCCTGGGTTCAAGAGATTCTCGTGTCTCAGCCTCCCAAGTAGCTGGGAGGCATACAACACCACACCCACCTAATTTTTGTATTTTTAGTAGAGACAGGGTTTCGCCATGTTGGCCAGTGTGGTCTTGAACTCCTGGCCTCAAGTGATCCACTACTTCAGTCTCCCAAAGTGCTGAGATTACAGGCATGAGCCCCCATGCCTGGTCCCAATTTTCTATTAAAGAGCAGATCAATACTCCAAGACAACCCTGTCATTCCAAAACATGGGCCCAGACGCTGGCCTTGCATCACTGTCCTGAGGATTTGACTGGAATCAATGCTGAAAATTTATTGGGTTGGTGCCTTCTTGAGGCTCAAGAGTCAAAGCCCTGTAACTTAACAGCACAAACATTAATTAATAGGATATTTATACTACAGAAAGTCCTGTCGTTTTCTCTAACATGTTACAAATTAAAACACTGTGATTTGGTGTTTAGGAATAACTGCCTGCAGTATTTCAAACCAGGGTATTAAAGTAGTTAGGTTACTCATTGCATATGTCTAATTGCTAGTATTCTAGTGACAGAACTGTGACCCAAAGTATCAAAAATGTGATAAGCCCTATGCCAAACTTATCAAACTAAGACAACTTTTTCCTCTATCATTGAAATATGGTAAATGCAAATATCAGTTTTGGAAATTCAATATGAGAAATAATCTCCTTTCACTTAAATACTGAGAGGTGAAGCTGGCTGGGCTTCTGGGTCGGGTGGGGACTTGGAGAACTTTTCTGTCTAGCTAGAGGATTGTAAACACACCAATCAGCGCTCTATGTCTAGCTAAAGGTTTGTAAATGCACCCATCAGCACTCTGTAAAAATGTACCAATCAGCACTCTGTCAAAACACACCAATCAGTGTTTGTGTCTAGCTAAAGGTTTGTAAATGCACCAATCAGCACTCTGTAAAAATGGACCAATCAGTGCTCTGTAAAATGGACCGATCAGTAGGATGTGGGTGGGGCCAAATAAGAGAATAAATGCTGGCCACCCGAGCCAGCAGTGGCAACCCGCTTGGGTCCCGTTGTGCACTGTGGAAACTATGTTCTTTCACTCTTCACAATAAATTTCTGCTGCTCACTCTTTGGGTCCGCACTACCTTTAAGCGCTGTAACACTCACTGCAAAGGTCTGCAGCTTCACTCCTGAAGTCAGGGAGATCACGAACCCACTGGGAGGAACAAACAACTCTAGACGCACCACCTTTAAGAGCTGTAACACTCACTGCAAAGGTCTGCGGCTTCACTTCTGAAGTCAGCAAGACGACAAACCCACCAGAAGGAAGAAACAACTCTGGACATGCCACCTTTAAGAGGTGTAATGCTCACTGCGAAGGTCTGCAGCTTCACTCCTGAAGTCAAGCGAGAACACGAACCCACCAGAAGAAAGAAACTCTGGACACATCTGAATATTGGAAGGAACAAACTCCAGACACACCATCTTTAAGAGCTGTAGGCCAGGTGTGGTGGCTCATGCCTGTAATACCAGCACTTTGGGAGGCCGAGGCAGGCGGATCATGAGGTCAGGAGATTGAGACCATCCTGGCTAACACAGTGAAACTCCATCTCTACTAAAAATACAAGAAATTAGCCAGGCGTGGTGGTGGGTGCCTGTGGTCCCAGCTGCTCGGGAGGCTGAGGCAGGAGAATGGCGTGAACCCGGGAGGCAGAGCTTGTAGTGAGCTGAGATTGCACCACTGCACTCCAGCCTGGGCAACAGAGCGAGATTCCATCAAAAACAAAAAAAACAAAAAAAAAAACAGAACTGTAACACTCACCGCAAGGGTCCGTGGCTTCATTCTTGAAGTCAGTGAGACCAAGAACCCACCGGAAGGAACCAATTCTGGACACAATACTATACAACAAAACAAGGACAAAGTAAGAACAAGTACAAAACAATTTCTTTTCAGCTATTTTAAAAGCACATCATCACACTTCCAAGACTGGTTTCCAGACACAGTACTGACAACTGATTAGGTAACTTTTACTGCCAAAATCTTCAAACCAGTGCAACACTTGCACATATTTTGTTTTCAAGTTACACACATGAAGGTCAATCAGTGATAAACTACTTGAGATAAAAACAAAATCACTAGAAAATATCACCTTTTTTTTATTACTACTTAATCCAAGTGAATGTCACTTTAAATTCATTTGAGAGAAATTCTAATCAATATAATTTTCTTAAGGACAAGGCCAATCTTTCCTGAACATTAAAACTTTGTATCCATATCACAGTTTTTCTTCATTAAAGGAAATGATCTGAAATCAACCCAAACTATTGATTCAGTTGACTCACCCTGGAAACAAACACCATGCAAACAGTTCCACTCTTATCCACCTCTCCAAACAACAAAATATATAATGTACTATTTCTGTTCAGAACTTAAAAAAATAAGTCTTTTGTTTTTTAGCTCTAGATCATCAGAGGCAAGCAAAACCAACCAAATTCCAAATGGCTGGTGTGCTCCATCAATTCCTGCAGGCCCAACAAAGGTAGCCTAGGAATTCCAGATAAACAGAATAAATGATGACTTCCTAGAAATGCACAGAAAACAAAATAACTATTCACAGAACAAAGTAAAAGCCTTCCACTAGAAACTAAAAACCATACATTGTTTTATATATATATACATACACAAGCAAAACGCAAAGCAGAACAAACAGCAAACAAATGAAAATTAGAAGCAAAAACAAACAGGAAACCAACCCCAACCTTTCCTCAACTTAGTCTACCCTGGAGGCTACCATGCTATCCAGAGCCCAAAAAAAAAAACACGTGATGAATATTTTATTCCTCATACACAATTCAGTATCCTTAAGTCCACCAATATCACCATACATCCTGTGAAATCAAGAAATTCACTCTAGGCACATGACCAGTAAGTACTCTAGCACCAGCACTATTCATGCAAAACAGCAAACCTAGTGTGAAGCAATGCAGGCAGGTATGTGAGATTTGGTGCAACACTAAATCTGGCTTCATACTTAACTGTATTAAAAAAGAATTGCCAAACTGCTAATGTATTTCTGTGCAATATTTATTATTTTACCTTCATCAAGATGAAGAGCTTTAACTATGAAAATGTTAAGTACTATGAAAATGTTAAGTATCCAAATTTCTCCAATTCTCTACCAGGTTTTAAAGAACATTTTATTATCTAAATTTCTTCAACTTATTTTTATTATTTTTTTTTTTTTTGAGAGAGAGAGTCTCGCTCTTGTCACCCAGGCTGGAGTGCAATGGTGCAATCTCAGCTCGCTGCAACCTCCACCTCCCGGGTTCAAGCAATTCTCCTGCCTCAGCCTCCTGAGTAGCTGGGATTACAGGCACTCACCACCACGCCTGGCTAATTTTTGTATTTTTAGTAGAGACAGGGTTTCACCATGCTGGCCAGGCTGGTCTCAAACTCCTAACCTCAGGTGATCCACCCATGTCAGCCTCCCAAAGAGCTGGGATTAGAGGCATGAGCCACTGCACCCAGCCAAAACTTTTTCAACTTTCTATTTTTCTCTGCATGTGCAGAGAAACAAGAAAAACTACATACAACTTACACAGACTATGCACTACATGCCTGGGCTTTCCATCCAGTCCCAGATTTTTTTCTTCTTGTTTTTACTTTAAATAACCAGTCATTTTACTCCAACACAAAAAATTCACCACACAAGATCCTTTCTCATACAAAATTATTATCTTTTCTTTACAATCTTCTTTGCCAAAAATACATCTTCATATCCATGACTTTATTCACACCTCTCTCCCTTACTTACTGGTTCCTTACTACTTTGTTTCATAAATAATCATTTTCAAGTCCATAATTTGAATTAACTTTACTTTTAGATAACTTCTGAATTAGACATAATTATTCTTTTTCTCACTAAATAGCACATTTGTGGCACATTTTATAGACATAATTATATATTAACTATAATTCTTATCCTTGGTAACCTTAAATTTTAGTGAAACCCTAAGAAGCAATAAATCCTGAACTATCAGATATGAGCATTTTATAGCTGAGAACCATTCCACAATTTCTAGAAACATATTTCCCCATATCATAACCCTTTCTTAACTGAAAATGACCCAGATGTCAATGAGCATCAAAAATAATTTTAAGATTTAAAATTACACAAAAAGTTTACCTAAAACATTTATCCCATTTACATGTATTCAATTCTTTCATTTTTAACAGTTTATCTAGATTACTTCTGAAAACAGTTATTAAACACCATCATTTAAAGTTGGTTATTTCCTTGTTAACCAGTTTTTTTCTTTTTTCTTTTTCTTCCTTTTTTTTTTTTTTTTTTTTTTTGTTTGTTTGAGATGGAGTCTCACCCTGTCACCCAGGCTGGAGTGCAGTGGTGCAGTCTCAACTCACTGCAACCTCTGCCTCCTGGGTTCAAGCAATTCTCCTGCCTCAGCCTCCCAAGTAGCTGGGATTACAGACATGCACCAGCGCACCCAGCTAATTTGTATTTTTAGTAGAGATGGGATTTCACCACATTGGCCAGGCTGGTCTCAAACTCCTGACCTCAAGTGATCTGCCTGCTTCAGCCTCCCAAAGTGCTGGGATTACAGGCATGAGCCACCACACCCAGCCTAACCAGTTTTTTCATAGCCAGTGAACTTCAGGTGCTCACTTAAGAGCCTCCAAGTTAAGGGCCGGGCACGGTGGCTCACGCCTGTAATCCCAGCACTTTGGGAGTCCAAGGCGGGTGGATCACGAGATCAGGAAATCGAGACCATCCTGGATAACACAGTGAAACTCCATCTCTACTAAAAATACAAAAAATTAGCCGAGTGTGGTGGTGGGCGCCTGTGATCCCAGCTACTCGGGAGGCTGAGGCAGGAGAATGGTGTGAACCCGGGAGGCAGAGCTTGCAGTGAGCCGAGATCACGCCACTGCACTCCAGCCTGGGCGACAGAGCGAGACTCTGTCTCAAAAAAAAAAAAAAAAAAGCCTCCAAGTTAAAAACATAGGTATTTTAACTAATAACTCAGAAATTCAGCTGTTTTCATTAAACCAACAACATTCATTAGTCTTACTTATCAAAAAATTTGCACAAAGATCATTTGGTTTGGGCTGGGTTTATAGTTTTATAACCTTCTATGCCAAACTCTGACGCCTCAAACTATGTAACAGAGACAAATATAAAATCCAGACAGAAATGTATGCTGACAATTCTGAAGACATTTATATTTTCATTTTACCAATAATTTTAAAACCAGTGTGTTTAGTAAAGATTTACTTAAGTCATGTGAACTTGAAAATTGCTTAGACTTATTTGCTTAATTTATGAGTGCTCTTATAAGCCAACACAACATATAACAGTAAGTGTACATACAAATAAACACATCTAGGTATGTAGACACATACACAAGCGAAAATTCAATAGCTTATACCTTGGAACTTTACCCATGCCATAGCAATACAAACTCACCGGCTTTACATGGTTACACTTTGTTTGCCCTGATAGGTAATCCAACAAAGGCTATGAGCCAAAATTTTGGGTAAAGCAGTTTTCATGGCAGTTTGATTTTTAAGGGCCAAACCTCCCCAGACTCCAAAGAACACTGGGGCTAAACAGCACCAAAGGAAAACATTACATATTAACTAGGCCCGACTCTGCTTAAAACAGCAGAACAAAAGCCTGGATACATGCAACTCCATCCCACGTTCCCATTCAACAGCAAACTCCAGATTCCAAACAATTTTGGGGCCAAAGAGTATTGCAAAAGATTACCAAATTAAATTCTAATTCCTCATGCCTATATCAAATACACACAATCACCAGAACACTATCCAACTACTGCAGCAACAGACAAGCCCTTAGTGTCCAAACTGAAAAGTCAGGGTGCTTCCTCTCTCTTCTGTGTTTGGGCTTGATCAACCAGCAAATGGGAATTCCTTAAGGAATTTCCCAAATTGAGAGGAGCTGACCCCGCCATCTGCTACCCAAAAAAGACGCTCACTTGCCGGGACATAACACACAAGTACAAACAAGTCCCCAAGAGTGTCCATCCTGAAACAGTCATGGTGCTTCCCTCTCGGTCAGTTGGGCTTGTTCCGTCTACAAATGGAAATTCCTTTAAAAATTTCCCAGATTGAGAGGAGCAGATCCTGCTGTCTGGACCCACAAAGGACACTCACCTATCTAGGTGCCTAGCTTGAGTCGGAGGCTCTGTCTAATCAACTATAGCTGCAGTGGTGGGTCAGAAAACATAATCTGGTCGTTGGGATTCTTCCTTGCAGTGAGGATGGTCATGGTGAATGGGACCAATACTCCAAAAGATGTCTATCTCAGGGAACTGTCACTCACTGAGAAGGGAGTGGGTGCCTGGAGGCATTGGAAGCCTGTAGGTGCTATGCCTTATGCCCATTGTTCCCTGAGACTGTCCTCAGGACGGAAAGAACAGTGCCTCTCCACTTAACACTATATCTCCAGCACCCCCACAACACCTGGTCCACAGGAGGGATACGATCAGTGGATGCTGAATGGATTCATTCTTTTTTTTTTTTTTTTTTTTAAGACGTAGTCTTGCTCTGTTGCCCAGGCTGGAGTGCAGTGGCTCGATCTCAGCTTACTGCAACCTCCACCTCCTGGGTTCAAGCGATTATCCCGTCTCAACCGCCTGAGTAGCTGGGATTACAGGCATGTGCCACCACACCTGGCAAATTTTTTATATTTTTATTAGAGATGAGGTTTCACCATGTTGTCCGGGCTGGTCTTGAACTCCTGACCTCAAGTGATCTGCCCACCTCAGCCTCCCAAAGTGCTGGGATTATAGCTGTGAGCCACCGTGCCCGGCCTAATTATATTATTTAATCCCCTTACAACTATATAAACTAAGTTCTGTCATCCCCATCTTACAAATGAAAGAGACTGAGACACAAGGAGGTTAAGCAATTTTTCTCCGGTTACACAGCTAGAGCTGGGGCTTGAACCTTCAAGATCAATCTAGCTCCAAATCCAGTGTTCTTTCCACCATTTATTCATTCAACAAACATTTATTGAGCACCTACTCTATGCCAGTCCTATTCCAGGAGGTAGGGATAGGACAGTAAACACACACAAATCTTTCCTTCATAAAGCTTACAATCTAGGAGACAACATTTCAGATTGATAAGACAGATATATAGCATGTCAGAGTGATAGTGCTGAGGAGAAACATAAGGAAATAAAACACAAGGGCAGGGGATAGGAAGTACTGGGAGGTTGCAATTTGAGATGAGGTGGCCAACAAGTCTCCCTGAGAAGATGCCATTTGAGAACATTCCTGAAGGAGGGAGGGAGGGAGGGAGCCATGTGGGTCAGAAGCATTCCAGGCAGATGGAGCTGCTGGTGCAGAGGCTCTGAGGCAATAGGAATGAAGCCAGAGAGGGCCTTATGGCGGTGGGAGGACTCTGTTCCTCTGAGGAAGGCGGGCTGCTGGAGGGACTCTGCACCTCCTAACTGAATCACTCGGGCCACTGGGTTGAGAACAGCCTGTGGTGGGAACATGGCAGAAGCTGGGAGACAGCCCCACAGCCTCTGTGTTCTCCCCACAGTACTCCCATTCACCACCTTCTTGTGGATCTGCGGGTGGTTCGTCCGCACCTTCCGCTTTGTGCCCACGGCCACCTCCTCCTCCTGACCTTCACCGTCACCAATCTGAATTACCCCAACAACCTCTGCTTTGGGGACAGAGTTCAACAGCCCTGTGAAGAGCCTGCCTTTCCACTTGACTCCAAGTTACTTGATAAGACCCAGAACTAGAATAGAGACTTGCCCAATCAATGTTTAAACCAACGAAGCTTTTAGGTGTTGTTTCTCCCATCCAAAAATTTCCCTTCAAACCCCTAAGGGAAGGGGTAAAGGAAGGAAAATTTCATGGGTCCCCTGCTGCAGCTCTGCCTGGGACAGCTGGCCCATGGGTCTGGCTGGGACTGGACCTGGGGACCAGGGTGGGTAAATAAATGTCAGATGTGTGCAAGAGGAATCTGCAGCCAGCAAGCCCTGTTGGGCCCCTGGCTCCCCTGCTCCTCTGAGTCAAGCCCCTTTATTATAAAGGGGATACCTTTATAATGCTTTGCAAATTGGCAGGATGAACACCTGCAATGCCACACCACTGTCTCCCCACCCCACTCCGCCCAACCATCCTCCTGATCCAGACTGCACTGACCTTTTTCTGAGGGAAAGGACATCTAAAGCCATGCCATCCAGTAAGGACACAGCCACATGACAGATGTGGTGCCTGGGCATTTGCAGTGTGGCTGGGATAAATGAGATGCTCTGTAAGTATAAAATAATACCTACCAAATTTTCAAGACTTTTGGTTCACGCCTGTAATCTCAGCACTTTGGGAAGCCAAGGCAGGAGGATCGCTTGAACCCAGGAGTTTGAGAACAGCCTGGACAACATAGCGAGACCCCCATCTCTATTTTTAAAAATAAAAATAAAATACCCTGTACAAAATAAAACTGTAAAATAGCTCATCAATAACATATATAAAAATGTGTTTTGGAATTAAAATGTATTAATTTAAATGTATTAATCTCATGGGTTTCTTTTTCATTTTTGAATGCAGCTATTAGAAAAGTTTATATATGTAGCTCACGCTATATTTCTTTTTTCTTCCCCGTGCCCCAGCCCCCGCCCGCAGACGGAGCCTTGCTCTGTCACCCAGGTTGGAGTGCGATGGCACAATCTCGCCTCACTGAACCTCTGCCTCCCAAGTTCAAGCAATTTTCCTGCCTCAGCCTCCTGAGTAGCTGGGATTACAGGGGCCTGCCACCATGCCTGGCTAATTTTTGTATTTTTAGTAGAGACGAGGTTTCACCACGTTGGCCAGGCTGCTCTTGAACTCCTGACCTCGTGATCCGCCCACCTCAGCCTCCCAAAGTGCTGGGATTACAGGCGTGAGGCACCATGCCCGGCGGCTCAGGCTATATTTCTAGCGGACAGGGCTGTTCTAGAATTATGACTGGCCTCCAGTCATCTCCGCAGAACAAAGCAAAGAGATGCGAAAGCAGGTCGAGCACCATTATTTTGTGAACTGATAATAACAAGATAAGGGTGATCTTGTTTTTCTTTTCTAGTTCATACACATCAGGAGGAGAAAGCAAGAGACATCACAGGGGCTGATCCAGGAGATGAGGGACAGCCTACAACAGCTCCAGCCAGCCTGCCCTTCACCAGTCCGGAGGGTGGTGTGTGTGTGGTGCCAGATTTGCCTATTAGAAGCTCCCACCATGTCCCTATTAAACTTTAGAACCCTCCATGGGCCCCTTACACAGCCCAAGTGCCTCACTATGGGCCTTCAAGACCCTGAACAGCCTGAGCCAAACTTGTCTTTCCAGCTTCCTCTCACATGCTTCCTGCTCAAAACCCCCACAGCTGTCAGTTCATGCTATCATTTAGTCTGCTAATCAATCATTCAACAAATATGTATTGATTACGTCCTACATACTAGCTACTGAGGTCATGATGATTAGCAAAAGAGGCACTGTCCGTCTGCTTGCTGGGGACCACACATCTAGCAGGGAATGACAGGTAAATACATAATAGGCAATTAAGCATATTGCAGTAAGAGTAGTTGTTGGGGAAGCACAGGGGCCATGGGTGCACCAAAGAGGCACCTCTAAACCAGCCTGCAAGTCAGGGAAGGCTTCCTGGAGGAGGTGGCATCTCAGTTGAAGAATGCAAGTTGCCCAGACTGAGGCTGGGGAGTGGCAAATATCCCAGGCAAGGGAGAACTCTTGAGTTCAAAAACTGGAAGGGCAGAGAGGAGGGCAGGGTGCCAGTGGCAAATGACTGGCCTGGTGTATATGGCAGGGGCTTTATGAGCCTTGTGAAGGAGTGTGGCATTTCTTCTGAAGTGTTTATTCTGGGAGTTCCTGTCTCCTGCCTGAAAGGCCTTCACCCCTCCTCCCTGTTCACTCAAATCCTGCTTCCCCAGTAGGATCCAGTCTGTGGGGCTCATTTGAGGGAGAATGAGCACGGGGCTTTTGGAGGCTGCAGCCTAGGGCCAAGGGATGGAGGTACTGGGGCTGTGTTTGGGGGTCCGCTGATGTTGGAATTTGGGGCTAAAGCTGGGTTTGAGGTTGGCGTTGGGTTTGGGGGCTGGATTCAGGAACAGGAGTCGAGGTTCGGGCTGAGCGTGAGGTTGGGATCTAGGACCTTAGTCCAGAATTTGAGTTGGAGTTAGGAGTTGGGGGCTGAGGTTTCTAGCCAGATTAGGGGTTGGATTTGGAGTTGGGACTGGAATTGAATTTGGAAATGGGGCTGGGGGTTGGGGCTGAGATGTGACGCAGGAGCTGGGGCAGGGGTGGAAGCTGGGAGTTCTAGCTAGGGTTTGCAGCTGCAGCTAGAGTTAGGGGTTGGTTTTGAAGCTGGAGCTAAAGCTAAATCGGGGTCGGAGCTGTGGAATGGGTTGGCGCCCAGGCTCTGGGGCAGATAGACGACATTCCTCCTGCTGCCCAGGTCTGCGAATTGTGTTCCGAGCCCTAACTGCAGCGGACAGAAGCCCCTCCCTTCACAGGAATGCCTCAGCCCAGCAGAAGGAGCAGTGCCACGTCAGCCAATCGGCTCAGGCCCTGCCCTGGAAACGACACCTGTTCATCCTCCTCCCGGCAGGCTCACCTGAGTGCAGGTTAGGCAGGTGAAGTGTCTCCCCGGAAACCAAGCTAGAGTGCCCCACCTGCTCGGCCCTGCCTTCTCGGATCGGATCCAGCACATCCAGGCTTCTCGTGAGTTCCCCCATTGTCCCCCAACGCCCCACCGCCCCCATGTTCTCCCACTCGCTTCTCCCCTGAGAACCTCCACCCCGCCCCCAGCCTGACACCCGTTGTCTCAGCACACCTGTGCAAGCATTTTCAGACCAACGAAGTCACAGCCCAGGGGAATGCTGGGACTGACTCCACGGCCACGCCCACCTCCCCCACTTCCTTGAGAGCATCGGCACCAGCCCCCGCCCACCTCGGGGGTAGGGGTCAGCCTCTGCAGAGGAGTCTCCGGGAGGACAGATACCTCGTCAGGATGTAACCTGTGCACGGCCACATAGTAATATTCCCAGAATGACCCAGGACCTACGTCTTCTGCCCTGTCCTGCCTTGGAGGGGTAACATCGTTTTCATGTATTCAAAAAGCACGCTTTGAGCATCTATGCAGGCTCTAGGCCCCACTGGAATTCTGAAACGAAGATGTCAGGTGACTCATCCCCACCCCTCAAGATAAATGTTATTGTCTTCACTTTTCAGACAAGGAGACTGAGGCTCTAAGAGACGAACCATTCAGGCTTCCTGGCCCCTCCCCCAGACCCCTCTCCTGGGCTCTGCAGGGCTCTGGGCTGACTAACCCACACCCACACTTAGCACAGGCACTGGCCTGCTTGCTTCTGTCTCTGTCTTCTGCTGCAGACTGGGGCTCCTTGAAGGCAGGGACCTCATGTGCTTTATTTTTGCCCAATGTGAGACATGCTTTCCTCTGGAGGACAGGTTAAATCAGCAGCCACTGTTAGGTGCCTGGCCATGTTCCTACCGGTGGGAAGGACTGGAGCTGGGGTTCAAATCCAGAGCCCTCCTTTTTCCTTTGCTCCACTTTAGAGAAATCGTGGAGGAGGATGGCATGGGGGAATGGCGAGTGTGGAGAAGAGCAAGGGGAGCAGAAAGACCAGTGAGGAGGTGGAGGCGGGAGCCAAGGATACGAGAGCAGGGAACTGGCTAGAGAAATGTTTAGAGGTGGAGCCCCAGGGACAGGACGTGGATTAGATACAGCAGAGGGAGGAGGAGCTGGCTGAGAGGGCAGTGATGCCATGCCTGAAGTGAGGAACGCAGAAGGAACAGGTTGGAGTAAGACAACGAGCTTGGGTTGGGACCTGTTGCATCACAGGGACATCAAGGTGACAATTGACTCAGGACGGAGATGTAGGTTGGAGAGAGGAATTTGGGAACTGGCAGCTTATATTACCAAACTCATGGCTGTGAGATTGGATGGGATGTTAGGGGAGGGAGGGTGTTAGGGGTCTGGTCCTAACCCACAGAGAAGGAGGAGACACAGCCCTAAAAGAGAAGTGTCAAGGTCAGTCAGGCTTCTGGTTCCAGAAGGGTTAAGTCATAAGCGCCCCCTCCATCCCCACAGCTCCTCCCGAGGAACCAGTGGTGACAGCTGAGGCCATGTGAGTAGGATCCTGAATGAGGCTTTATCTCTGGCTGTTCGTCCCATCGTCCACCGTGGCACCAGCTCCCTCAGCCAGCCGGGATGGGACCAGCGACTGAGAGAGCCAGAGGCAGAGAGGTCAGGGCCTGGGTGAGGGGATTCCCTGGAGGGTTTTAGGGGGTACCCTATGGGCAGGGTACTCCCCTGGGGTCATTGGAGAGCCATTCCCAAGGGACAGTACTGCAGAGGGGGCTATCCCAGGGGAGATTCGGGGGAACACTGGGGTGGATTCTCAGGGATCATCCCCAAGGCTCCCAGGTGGGACCGTGGGGGACAGGTGGGCTGGGAAGGTAAGACTGTGATCCTTCCCCTACAGGTGAGGGTGACCATATCCTGGACTGTGAGAGGAATGGGACTCTGGGCCTGTAGCTGCCAAGCAGGTGGCAGGTGCTCCAGGCTGTGATCTGAACCCTCTGACCCCTGACATTGACCTCCTACCCTGACCCCTGCCTGACCAAGCCATGTCTGAACAGGAGGCTCAAGCCCCAGGGGGCCGGGGGCTGCCCCCGGACATGCTGGCAGAGCAGGTGGAGCTGTGGTGGTCCCAGCAGCCGCGGCGCTCGGCGCTCTGCTTCGTCGTGGCCGTGGGCCTCGTGGCAGGCTGTGGCGCGGGCGGCGTGGCACTGCTGTCAACCACCAGCAGCCGCTCAGGTGAATGGCGGCTAGCAACGGGCACTGTGCTCTGTTTGCTGGCTCTGCTGGTTCTGGTGAAACAGCTGATGAGCTCGGCTGTGCAGGACATGAACTGCATCCGCCAGGCCCACCATGTGGCCCTGCTGCGCAGTGGTGGAGGGGCCGACGCCCTCGTGGTGCTGCTCAGTGGCCTCGTGCTGCTGGTCACCGGCCTGACCCTGGCCGGGCTGGCCGCCGCCCCTGCCCCTGCTCGGCCGCTGGCCGCCATGCTGTCTGTGGGCATTGCTCTGGCTGCCTTGGGCTCGCTTTTGCTGCTGGGCCTGCTGCTGTATCAAGTGGGTGTGAGCGGACACTGCCCCTCCATCTGTATGGCCACTCCCTCCACCCACAGTGGCCATGGCGGCCATGGCAGCATCTTCAGCATCTCAGGACAGTTGTCTGCTGGCCGGCGTCACGAGACCACATCCAGCATTGCCAGCCTCATCTGACGGAGCCAGAGCCGTCCTTCTTCTCACAGCGGCCTCAGCGTCCCCAGAGCCGAGCCAGGGTGTGAGTGCATGTGAACGTTGAGTACACATGAGTGCGTGTATGCCCCCAGGCTGGGTCAGCTCTTCTGTGGATTGCATGGCGTGTGATTAAAAGCCCATGTGTTCCCACACATCCACATCATGGGAAGGTTAATGTGTGCCTCCTTGGAACTGGGTGTTGGTGTCCATGGAACTTCCTCTCTGTATCTCAGGTCAGTAGGCGCAGAAACGCCTCATGATGAAGATTCTTGAGCCCCATTTCCAAGACCCCTCACATCCAATCCTGTCCTGTAACATCCATCAAGGATTTCCATAGGGGTGACTGGTGCCCACCCAAGACTGCACCAGTGCCTGCTCATTGAGGAGAGTAACTGCTGGCCAGGCAGAAAGAATATGGGCTCTGCAATGAGACAGACCTGGAGGGGACTCTCCCGTTGAGCACTAGCAGCTGGAGGAGTTGGGAGTTCATGGCTATCATGGTTGTGTTAATCGATTGTGGGGATGAAATGTCATTGTGTATGGAAGGCGGGGCTCATGGCTGATTGGCAATAAAATGGCGGCTGCCGTTGTCATTGTCTCCATCTCAGGATCTCACCTCAGAGACCCTTCCTCCCCTACCCCAAGCCCCGCCCCATCCAAAGCAAACTCCTCACTCCTATCTCAGCCTCATAAACCGTGCCTTGAGGGTCTCCTCAGTCAGGCCTGTGGTTTCTCCTCTTAGGTAGGGAGAGGACGGAGTGGATGCCAGCCTTGGGAAGGTGGTCGGTTTCCAGTCCCAGGGAGAGGTGAGGGACCTGAGTCCTTCGCATTTGCTCACATGCTAGTTCAATATGAGGCCTTAAGTGTTTGGTGTTATCAGCTGGTTTCTCTGGCAACTGCACCTCCCTTCGGTTGTGCCTCTTCAGCGGATTCCCTGAGGGTGGTTGGGAGGCTACATCTCCCTGCCCCACCTCTGAAACCAGAACATCCCACGTCTGGGCAGTGGCTGCACCAGCTGGCCTGCTCTAGGTTCCTGGGCATGGGAGAGGTGTTTCAAATCCCCTAGGGTGGTGAGAGTCACTTCCTGCTTGGAGTCAGCCCTGGGAGGATCTCCCCTCTGTAGCATGCAGTGCCATTTCCTGGCTGATGGTGAGCCACGGGAAGCAGCACTCAAGTGTTTCATCACTTCCTGCTTCTCGAGGTGCAGACTGCATGAAGCCCGTGGAAGATGCCCAGAAAAGCAGGGAAATGAGACCTGTCTCCAAAGAAACGTTACAGTAGAACTACAGAGGCTCTGACAACAAAAAGTTGGCTTTCAGCAGAAAAGGTCAAGGATGTCTCCTGGAGAAAACACGGGGCTGACAGATGAGGGGAAGAGTGTTGCCAGTGGAGGGAGGGAACAGCGTGAACAGACCTGGGAGAGAAAGACAAGGCGTGTCCCAGAACGCCAAGGACAACAGAAATGGCTCCCCTGGGTGCTCCAAGGGTGCCTCATACCCACCATATTCAAAACTGACCCTGCTCCTCTCATCTTGAATGAGCTCCTCTCTCTCACCCGGAGGTGCCACGCTCAGGGGGCATCTAGAGTAGAGACTCGGTGCAATGCTAGTTGGCACCGTCACTGTCTCCTCACCCAAGTCCACTGACAAATCACCAACTCCTCTGGTTTCCCTCACACAGATTTGTCTGACAATCCATATCTTCATGCTCACTGCCCAGAAGGGACCCTCTTCATTCCTGCCTGAGTGGCACATCGGCCTCCTCCTCTCTCCCTGCTTCTGCTCTTTTCTCTTCATTCCCCTTCCCCCTGCCATGCACACACACATCCCTTGAGCCAGAGTGATCATCCTAAAGCTAAAACGAAAATCTGCCTCAGAGCCTGTCTGTGGCTGCCCATACCTCAGCCTTCCCAAGTGCTGGGATTATAGGCGTGAGCCACCACACCCAGCCGACATAGAGTAGGTTCTTTATTGGATGGATGAAGGACTCCGGCATGGCCAGATGGCAATGAGTGTGCAAGGAGCAAGGAGAGACCCACCTATAGCTGGGAGGGGATAGGGAAGGTAGGCCACTGCCCCTGTTGGCCCTGAATCTGTCCCTCCCAAAGCCCCCTGCTCTCTACCTCAGTTCTCACTCTTCCTGAGTTCCCAAGGGCAATCTATCACTATGACCCACTCCTGGCCTGATATGGGACTACAGAATGTCCTGCTTTCCTGTAATATGGGGAGAAATACCCTTTCCTTTCATCTGAGACAGGGTTAGACTCTTTTGCAATTCTCACATTATTTCTTTTCTTTTGAGATCAAGTCTCACTCTGTCACCCAGGCTGGAGTGCAGTGGCGTGATCTCTGCTCACTGCAACCTCTGCCTCGCAGGTTCAAGCGATTCTCATGCCTCACCCTCTCGAGTAGCTGGGACTACAGGCGCATGCCATCTTGCCCGGCTATTTACAATATTTCTTTTAAGAAACTAAAGAAAAAACAGAAGCCCAGAGGCTTAGAAAATGGGGAAAGAGAGGGTTACCTGGCATAAGCATCTGACTGAGCAGCTGCCGTGGGTGAGTGGGTGAGCACCAGGCTCTCCTGGGAAGGACGGGAGATGGAGACTAGGGCTCATGGCCCCAGGGCACTGATCCCATAGGGTAATGGACACCCAACTGTAACAGGAGACAGGTGATGGTACCAGCTAGGTAAAGCACGGGCAGGGAAGAAATGTGTCTACCTCCTCAATCACTGAAGTAGGCTTCCCACAACCTCTTGCCTGCAGCCTGCTCAAATCATTTCACTGAATACTTTCTTTGCCTCCATTGCAACCAGAAGCCCACTGGCATCTCCGTTCTCCCTCTGTAAAGCTGCTGCCTCCTGACTTCACTGCCCCCTCCTGCCCACCCCCTTACCATCTAGTTAAGGTTCTGTGGCCATCATTTCACCTGCTCTTTGAGGGACTTGTCAAGTCCTTAGCCCTCTGCCCTTGGGTCCCACCCTCCCAGCCAAACCCCCTCCATAGACAAATCCATCCATCTGCCTTGGATGCGCCCGCCCCACTGTGAGTGGCCATTAGAGAAATCTGTACAGCCAGACAGCCTGCTGTCACTGCGAACTCCTCTATCAAGTTCTCAGCTGAGGCCAGGCACGGTGGCTCACGCCTGTAATCCCCGCACTTTTGGAAGCTGAGGCGGGTGGATTGCTTGAGCCCAGGAGCTCAAGACCAGCCTGGGTAACATGGCAAAAACCCCGTCTCTACCAAAAATACAAAAAAGAAGTTCTCAGCTGAATCTGCACTGCGGCTCCTCAGTGACACTGCCTTTTCCTGGTTGGCTCCTGCTCCTACCGTGACTCTGAAGTTCTCTCCACCCTCTTCACCACCCCCAACCCCCACATCCTCCCACCCCAAACACCACTCTCAGCAAAAGACAGCCTCCTCTCTTCATGAGAAGGCGAGAGCCCGTGACAGGAGCCCCTCACCACGGCCCCCACCAAATCTATCCTCACTTACTCCTACTTGTCCAATGGCCTTGGCAGCCCAGCAGAGGAATTTGGACTTTGTCCTCAGGACACTGGAAAACATGGAAAGACTTTCGCCAGGGGAGTAGGGTACTGTGGCCAGAATAGGATTTGGGACTTGCTGGCTGCGGTGTGGAGCCAGGGATTGGCCTTAGAAGAAAAAGAATGAGAAGAAATGGCCAAACAGCCCGTCTCGGCTGGCCACTGAGGGACGAGAAGAAGTTGGCCCAGCTAGAGAGGTTAGGAAGAGTATCCCAGAAAGAAGGAATAGCACAAAGAAGGGTCCAGACCTGGAAATCTAAACTGGCATTGGATGAAGGAAAAATCCAAAACAAGGGCTGATGGAGAGACAGCACAGCCTTGTCTGGACCTAGAGGCTCCCATCGGTGGCAGTGAGGTGGAGAGAGGAGCTTGACACATGTCCCTCCTGGGTTTAACATTCAAACTCTAGGTTCTCAGCCATGTCCCTTCATATCTGAGACTGGAAGAATATGCTCTAGAAACTGCCAAATCTGGTCCAGTCCAGGTGGTCCTCACATCACATCCAGTCACATCTCACAGGAGACCTTGGGCCTCTGGACACTCAGGTCTCAGACCTTGGAGGAGCTTCCTCCAGGCCCCAAGGGACCTGCACATGCCCCGTCATACTCAGCTCATGCAGGAGCACAAGGACAGGGGCTGCCTTCCTGCCTTTTGCAGGGGACCTGTGAGACTCCCCTGGGCATAGCCCTGGCAGCCACCCCAGATACCTGGAGGGCAATAGAAGCTGAGGGCCAGGCCCGGCCAGAGATGGGACACACCAGCTCTACCCTCATGACCTGCTCTCCCAAAACTGGACCTTGTACCCTGGGACTTCTCAGCCGCTATTCACTGTAGAGGGTAAAGGTGGGAGGACCCAGCCCAGGCAAGATGAGAGTCCAACAGCCGAGACAGTCCTTCTCTGAGTCTATTTCATCGTTACTTCAAGGTGAGATAATGGTGTTATTGCGGAGTGGGCAAATTGCAGTGAACTTGTTTGAGCCTCATCTTCTCAATCTATAACATGGATTAAGCAGGGCTGTTGTAAGAAAATGCTAGAACAGCCTGGTGTGATGGCTCACGCCTGTAATCCCAGCACTTTGGGAGGTCGAGGTGGGCGGATCACTTGAGGTCAGAAGGTCAAGACCAGCCTGGCCAACATGGTGAAACCCTGTCTCTACTAAAAATACAAAAACCTTAGCTGGGCGTGATGGCACATGCCTGTAGTCCCAGCTACTCAGGAGGCTGAGGCAGGAGAATCACTTGAATCCAGGAGGTGTGGAGGTTGCAGTGAGCCGAGATCGCACCATTGCAGTGCAGCCTGGGTGACAGAACAAGACCTCCGTCTCAAAATAAAAGTGCTAGAACAACATCAGTACTATTATTCTACAGCAGCAGAGATTCTATTTCAAACCCTTTGCTGTCCTGACCAGATCTTCCAACCTAAGTCCTGAGAAAGAGACAGTCAAATCCCCAGCGGGAAGGGAATGAGGAGGAAGGAGATGGGGCAAGCGTCTCCCTCAGAATGAACACAGGTTACCTCTTATGAGGAGCTGTTGCCCTCGGGGTGCCCGCAAGGATATCACTAACACTGCAGAGCACTTGCTCCGTTCCACTTGGCATAGACTCATTTAATCCTGCTAACAACCTTATGAGGTAAGTACTGTTGTAATCCCCATTTCACTGAGAAGTTGGGTCACTGAGAGGCTAAGTAACTTGCCCAAGGTCTCCCAGCATACATGGCCGAGCCAGGATTTAAATTCAGGTAACATGTGCCCTCAACTCACCTTGCCAGTCTGCTAGGATACTGCTGGAGTGTTTTTTCTTTGGTGTTTTGTTTTGTTTTTTTTTTTTTTTTTTTGAGACTGAGTCTTGCTCTGTCGCCCAGGCTGGAGTACAGTGGTGTGATCTCGGCTCACTGCAAGCTCCGCCTCCTGGGTTCACGCCATTCTCCTGCCTCAGCCTCCCGAGTAGCTGGGACTACAGGCGCCCGCCACCACGCCCGGCTAATTTTTTGTATTTTCAGTAGAGACAGGGTTTCACCGTGTTAGCCAGGATGGTCTCGATCTCCTGACCTCGTGATCCACCTGCCTCGGCCTCTCAAAGTGCTGCGATTACAGGCGTGAGCCACTTCACCCGGCTTACTGCTGGAGTTTCTTAAACGTCATGTTGGTGGCTTTGTGTGACTCCATCTTTGGCCTCCACACAGTGCAAGGGATGTAGCCTTGCCTTTGAGGCAGCAGGATGAGACAGTGGGTAGCTGGGTTGGGATTCCCAAGGCAGAGTAGGTAGTGGCAGCTGCCAAGGAGTGGAGGACAAGGTGCAGGGCCAGGGGCAGAGGCAGGCGGGGCCAGGACCCGAAGCCAGAAGACGCCAAACCAGAGAGGGCCTGGCTGAATCCCAAGCTCCCAACACCCCCAGCCCTTTGCGGCTGTGGGCTCAGGTCATGCTCCCTCTTTGCACTTGGGGTCAGGCATGCAAACCACAGTGGGAAGAAATTCCTCCAAGGAATCAAGGCCTTGAAGGACAGGGTCCAAGGTTCTTGTGACTACAGGGCCCTCCTCAGCCAGGCTTGCCACCCACAGCTGGTTCTGAGGGGAAGCCCCAGCTCGGGCACCCTGTGGGGCACAGGCTCAGCAAAATCAACTGCGAGTCTGGGATCAGGCCCTTACCTTCTTCTCCTGGGTCCATCAGAGGTTCTGACTGAGGCCCCAAAGAGTACAGGAGAACAGGGACAGCCAAGCATAGAACTGCACGCAGGGCAGCTCCTCTGTGGTGGGAATTGAAGGAGCCCAGGGGCAGGGGGCAGGCTCAGCTGCCTGGGCAGCAGCTTTTCCTGGTAGGCCAGGACATGCCCCTTAGGTCAGCCTCTGGGGTCCTCCTCCAGGGTCTCAGGCTGGGGCAGCCTCTGCTCTCCCCAGGCCTGTGAGGGGCAGACCATCTCTGGACTCAGGAACCATGGCCAGGTTGGGGGTCATGTGAGCTGGGCTTCCCTCCTCTCTGCTTCCTCCAACTCCCCTGCCAGGGCTTGGTCCGCTGACAGTCTTGAGATGTGTTTCCCGCTCCGCTCCTCTCTGGCGATCTCATCCATTCCTGCTCTCAATGACCCTGGTGCCAAGTGTTCCCAAGCCCGTGTCTGCAGACTAGACTTCTCCCTGTGAACCCAGCAGCCCCGAGGCATCTCCCCTGGAAATCCTGTATCCAACATTGAATCCCCATTGCCCCAACCTGCTCTTCGTCAATGTACCCAGTAACCAAGCCAGAAGCCAGGGTGCGTTTTTCTGATACCTACCTACTCCCCATATCCAAAGTCAACAGGTCCTATCAGCTCTTCCTCCCTCTTGTCTCAAAGTCTGTTCCTATGTCACACCTTAGACAGGTCTTATTACCTTCTCTCGGTGTCTCCCCTCCAATCCATCTCTGCACAGCAGCCAGAATGACTTTTCTATCATGATTATGTCATGCCCTTGCACAAAAAAAGTCCACAGATGAGCTTCCATTGCTCTCAGGTTGAAGTGTGAGCTTGGCATCCAAGGCCCTAACAGATCCACTCTTGGGCTTCCTCACTGCCATGGGCACCCCTCAGATACGACACTCAAGTCCTCTTCAATCTCCTGCCTCTTTCCCAAGCACCTCACTACATTTGCCAATGCCTCACTTTCCTTCTGTACCAGCTCATTCCTCAAAGGCTGACACTGTACTTGGGGAACACATGGGGGTGGCTGCCTGGCTCATGAGAACTGCCCCTTGTCTGAGAATGATCTGGAACAAACAGATGGGCTCCCCAAACCATGCCCCCCACTCATAGCAGATTGTGCTTTAAGCCTATGTATACTTGACCCAAACTGGGCCAAATTGATTCTCTTTTCTGAGCACTTGAAACTTGGAACTGAGAGTTTGGAAGTCCTGGTTATAGAGAGTCCCATCAGTGCCCCTAAACGACAGGATGCTAGGGGTGAAATGCCTGACCTCTGGCTGCTGGGACCGCCTGCTTCCTGCTGTCCCTTTGATTCTATGCAACAGCCAGGACTCTCCCCCAAACTCCTTTCTATTGCTTGCAATTAAAAACAGCTTAACTCAAGTCTTTTCCATCTTAAAACTAGCTCCCTTGTGCAAGAATCTGAGGATACACAATAAGACACAATCTGGGGCCTCAGGGAGCTCCCAGTTTAGCTATGGGGGCAGGCATAGTAAGAGGCAAGTACGAACCGTCATAAAGATTAAAATAAGCCTGTAAATCCCAGCACTTTGGGAGGCAGAGGTGGGAGGATCACTAAAGTCTAGGAGTTCGAGACAAGCCTGGGTGATACAGTGAGACCCCATCTCTACAAAAAATAATTAGCCATGCGCAGTGGCACATGCATGTATTCCCAGCTACTTGGGAGGCTGAGATGGGAGGATCACTTAAGCACAGGAGATCGAGGCTAAAGTGAGCTGTGATAGCCCCACCATACTGCAGCTTGGGTGACAGAGAGAGACCCTGTGTCAAAAAAAAAAAAAAAAAAAAAAAAAAAAGATGGCCAGGTGTGGTGGCTCACACCTGTAATCCTAGCACTTTGGGAGGCTGAGGAGGGTGGATCACCTGAGGTCAGCAGTTTGAGACCAGCCTGGCCAGTATGGCAAAACCCCATCTCTACTAAAAATACAAAAATTAGCTGGGTGTGGTGGTGGTGGGTGCCTGTAATCCCAGCTGCTCAGGAGGCTGAGGTAGGAGAATTGTTTGAACCCGGGAGGCGGAGTTTGCAGTGAGCTGAGATTGCGCCATTGCACTCCAGCCTGGGCAACAAGAGCAAGACTCCGCCTGAAAACAAACAAAAAGATGAAAACAAAATGTGGGCAGGACAGTACTAGAGAAGGGCTCATGGAAGGTGTCTTGGAGGGGGGAGCATCTGAGCAGTGTCTTCTAGCTCTGAGTGATAAAGCCCAGCTCAAGAAAAATAAAAATGAGTGACAGCTTTTTATTTTTATTCAAAATGAAAATAGATTTATTAATTCCTGTGAAAAACATATTATAACCGGATTACCCACTTTATTTATAGGAAAATATTTCATTAAGAAGCTGGCCGGGCATGGTGGCTCACGCCTGTAATCCCAGCACTTTGGGAGGCCGAGGAAGGCGGACTACCTGAGGTCAAGAGTTCGAGACCATCCTGGCCAATATGGCGAAACCTCGTCTCTACTAAAAATATAAAAATTAGCTGGGCGTGGTGGCGGATGCCTGTAATCCCAGCTACTCAGGAGGCTGAAGCAGGAGAATCGCTTGAACCCAGGAGGCGGAGGTTGCAGTGAGCCAAGATGTGCCATTGCACTCCAGCCTGGGCAACAGAGTGAGACTCCGTCTCAGGAAAAAAAAAAAAAGGAAGCTTGGCACTGGTTTTCACCTGCACAAATGTTACCATCTGGGCATATTTGAAATGCTGGCAGGTAGGCAGGCCATCACAGTCATAGAGGATTTAGGAGAAGAGTAGCGTAGGCAGGGGGACCAATGTGAGCAAAGGTGCCTGGGGAAACTGCATGGGAAGTGGTGGGAGGGAGAATAACATTGATTTCGACAGTAAAGTAGGGGAAGGCAAGAAAAGAAACCAAGAGGCCGAGAGGCATGATCACAGAGGGCCTTATGTCCACACTCAAGCCTTTGTTTGGCTTTATCCTGAGAACAGCAGGGAACAGTTGAGAGTTATTGAGCAAGAGAGGGTCATTGTCACTTTGCTGGCTAGTGTCAGGGAAGTGGGGTTTACTCCATCCCTGGCCAACCTTTAAGCCCCAGCCACCTCTGTCCCTGAGGTTCAAGGCCCCCATGTCATAACCACTGTCCTTAAGCTGTCAGGCATGGAGGGAGTGGGGAGGGTCTAAAGATGGGAGCTCAGAGGGAGAAGTGGTCCCTGCTACCCTCTGTCCCCAGCTCGCCAGTCCCAGGCTGAATGTAATTGTCCTCGATGAAGCCATCATCATCCTCATCTTCAGCCACCTGTGGGCGGCCTCCCCTTCCTGTCTCAGGCAGTGGGCGGTGCCGGTAGCTGGCATGGTATCGGCGGCAGAGGTGGCATTTGGCAGCAAGTGCAATGAGGAGCGAGAGGACCACAGCCCCCAGCACAAATCCTACCAGCACAGGCCATGCCCGAGCCCCAGTGCCTGGGCCAGGGGCCACAGCAGACGCTGTGGGGAGCTCCGAAGGCCCAACAAGTGCTGCAGAGAAAGGGACAGCATTATAGGTGGGCCCCAGAGGGGGCTCCCTGGAGAAACCAAGAGCAGTGCAGGTAGGGTCCTTCCCCCAACCCCAGCATCTAAGGGGAAGCCCCCCACCCCCATCATCCTCCCACTGTCACTCACTTTTGTTTGTCTCATTCATGGAGGGGCCTGATGACACCAGTGAGTCTCAGCCTCAACCAGAAAGAGCCCTGGCTCTGAGGAGGCCCCCAGATGCCAGGCAGCCCCAGGGCACAAGTCCTAGAAAATAACATAGGTATGGGTGTCAGGGATGGTCACAGGGTGCACTTTCCAGGTCACACTCACAGCCATGGTAGCCCTGCACAAACTCTGGGGACTGGACAACTGACCACACCAGCTCTCCACAGAAGAGAAACAAGCTGAGCCTACAGAAACTGGCTATTTGTAAGGGACCATCACAGGGTTTGGCTCTGGAAGCTGCTAAAAAAAAAATAAATTGTAGAACTTACTGAGCATTCCTTATAATTCAAGCACCAGGCATCATGCTCACAAAACCCAGTAAGGTAAGTATAAACATTATCCCCACTTTATAGATGAGGGCTCTGAGGCTGAAAAAGGTGAACTGACTCAACTAAAGTCTTCAGATTCGAACCCAGAGCCCAGTCTGTTGCACTGCTTGGTAAGCTGAGGATGGGAGACAGGGGCAGAGGTGGGTCCTGGCTCCCGAAGGTCAGAAAACAGCAATTGCTTGGAGCTACCCAGCCAAAGCGGAGACCACATATGGGGAGGGTGATGCAAGTTGCTACTGAGGACAGGGGCCCTGGACACAGCCAGAGCAGCCCTGGCCCTTCTAAGTTGAAAGCCGCTGCTGCCCACCTCTACCCTCAGCCCTTCAAGCAAACCCCTGTCCTTTCACCTCTACTCAAAGGAGGCCCACACTCTGCCCCCACAGGGAGGCTCAAGCCAGGGAGTATCCAAATGAGGATCACCTGAATCAGGAAATTATCACCCAGGGCTGGGGACACCTAGAGGAGGAACACTTCAATTAGGGGAGTAGCTGGAGGAAGATCATCCAGGCATGGAAACACCTGTAGGAGGAGCACCTGGATCAAAGGAGTGTCTGGAGGAGGCGCACCTGAATCTGGGGAGTATCTAGAGGAGGAGCATGAAAGTTAGAAGTACCTGGCAGACGAACAGCTAGGGCAGGAGCATATCTGCCAGTGGAGCACCTGAACCAGGGGAGTCCTTGGGGGCAGAGTAGCCGGGCTAGGGAAGTACTTAGGAGAGAAGTTGAGGGGAGTACCCCAGTATATTCTTTGATACAAGTGCCTTCAAACCCCCCCCAACCTCCTCACATCCAACCTGGTATCAATCCCCATCATGTCTTCCACTAAACATCTCTGGAATGACAATACCCTCTTCTCCACCCCACTGCCACAGCTGAGTCCAAGCCACCTTCCTCTTGTACTCTAGCCATAATCTCCTAACTGGGCTCCCCACCTCTGGTCTCTTCCACAGAGTGATGGGCCTACAACCCAAATCTGACCCCATCACTAGCCTGGTTAAAATCCCTTCAAAAGCTCCCCATGCCCCACAGTGCCTTGCAATCCAGCACACGGCCCTCAAGCCAAACTCTTCTTCCTCTTCTCCACAGTTCCCTCCCCAGCACTTCAGACAGACACACATGCCCTCCTCCCACTCACCCACCCTCCTGCTCCCTGGCCACGCCCTCCTCAGTTTTTGGGGCGCCAGTCTGTCAAGGCCAAATCAGACCATACCTGCCTGTGAGGTTGTCCCTGGACCTACCCTGGATGACCTGTCACCATCCTGCCCAGTCAACCACCAGTCAGAACCAGTCATTGCTAGGCGGGCAGCTCCCCGTGGGCAACGGCTGGCTGAAGGATCTGTACCCTGGCGCTGCAGGGAGCTGGGCGTTCAGCCCCTCAGTGTGGTGCTTGTGAAATTAACGAGGGGAGCGTGAGAGTGAATATACAGGTGGGAGCGGGAGAGACGTCCTGGGAAGGAGAGGTCAGCTGCTCATTCATTCCTCAGCCTGCTGTGGGCCTCATCCTAGTACTAGGTCCGCAAAACATGAGAATGTGTTACACTGGAATGAACTGAATTCAATTTGACGTTTCTAAGGTTGTATTCCTATTCCTTTCCTCCCTGCCCTGTGAATTCTTCCCAAGAAGACACACACACACTAACCTTCCAAGGGTGCATATACACTCCCCAACAGGCCTCTGAACTCACAGCCCACACTGATCTGCCCATCCCCCATACGCACAGCCCCTCCCCCCAGGTCACACTTTCCTCCACCAACAAACACCCCTCTGACATGCACAGACACCTACCCCAACTCTGATGTGTAGCTTCCTTCCTGCTGCCAGAAGCCCCTTGGGTACTGTGCAGAGCCTGGGTACCCCCTCCCCGGCCCCCCCGGGCCTTCTCTTCTGTTCCCACCTTCAAGAACTGTGCACAATCCGCGGAGTAAGCTTCCGGCTGGGGCCGGCAGAACCTGGACAGGTGGGCGGGTCAAGGCAGAGCTTGACTCACCTGCGGAGGCAGTGGGCGGGGCTGAAGCTGCAGGTCTGGCAGAGGGCGGGCTGCGGCAGCGCCTCCAGTGGGGAGGGATAATTCTACCTCTCCCCCAAGCTTTTGCCAAGAACTTTATGGGTGTAGACCTCACCCTCACCCCCCAATGCTTGCGGTTTGTACAGCTGGGATCCAGAGAAGCGTCCAGCGGGCCCTAGAGGGGCAGACACCTCAGCAGGCAGGTGCTCAGGTTGATAAACAACTGAACGTCCGGTGACTGGTACAAAGTCCAGAGTTGAAGAGGGAGCTTTGCAGGCCTGTAAGGGTGGTGGGCTGGAACCAGAGCGGGTGGGGAGGGCATTCTTTCCAGGCAAAGCCAGGAGGACCAAGAACACTCCCAAATTGCCTACAAATGTGTGTGTAACTGTGTAGGGGGTGAGGGGTGGATCTGGATGGGGGCTCAGCCTTCATCTGGATCTCAGGATCCCGTGACCCCACAAGCCAGGCTCTGAACCTCTCCCGGGTGCTCTCTGATTCCCTTTAGCTTTACTCCTCGTCTCTGGGCCTGGTGCCCCCTGTTCTTCAAGCTCCAGTTCAGGAATCACCTTCCCTGAGTCCTCCCTCTACCCTGCAAGTCCCCACTCTTCCATGCCCAGAGCACCCACTGTCGCAGCATTCCTCATTATCTTGTGATTATTCGCTCTCCTGGGGTGGGGCCAGGCTTTGACAGCCTGTGGCTCCCAGCACAGTACTGACCCAGGGCAGGCTCCCCGTAACTACCTAAGGGAGGAAGGACCGCACGCGCCAAGGCCTGGAGGCCCCGAATTCGCAAGGATAGGCCGGGCACAGTGGGAGCAAGGGCTGCAGAGAGGCCAAGTATGGTGGCTCACGCCTGTAATCCCAGCACTTTGGGAGGCCAAAGCGGGTTGATTGCTTGAGCCCATGAGCGGAGATCAGCCTGGGCAACATAGGGAGACCCCATCTCTACTAGAAACACAAAAATTAGCTGGGCGTGGTAATGCTCACCTGTAGTCCTAGCTACTGGGGAAGCTGAGGGGGGAGGACTGCCTGAGCCCAGAAGTTTTAGGCTACAGTGAGCCATGATTGCGCCATCACACTCCAGCCTGGGCGACAGAGCAAGACCCTGTCTCAAAAAAATAAAAGGGGGGTACAGAGAGGGGATGCAAACAAGGCATGGTAGAACTGTGGCTGGAAGGTGGGGGCCAGTTCACACTTGGCCCTGAAGATCTTAGGATGAAATCTGAACCCTCAGGGCCATCCCTTCCCACCTTTCCTGCCTCCTCTGCTGCAGCTACACCAAACTATTTTCTATTTTCTTTCTTTTTTTTTTTTTTTTTTTTGAGACAGAGTCACTGTGTCACCCAGGCTGGAGTACAGTGGTGCGATCTCAGCTCACTCCAACCTCCAGCCCCTGGGTTCAAGCGATTCTCCTCCCTCAGCCTCCTGAGTAGCTAGATTACAGGCATGTGCCACCACACCCAGCTAATTTTTGTATTCTTAGTAGAGACGGGTTTTCGCCATGTTGGCCAGGCTGGTCTCGAACTCCTGACCTCAAGCAATCTGCCCGCCTTGGCCTCCCAAAGTGCTGGGATTACAGGCATGAGCCACTGCGCCCAGCCACCAAACTCTTTTCTATTCCCAGAACTCACCATGCCCTCTCCTCTCCCTGGCTCTGCAGGCTCTGCTCCCTTCTCCTGGGACTCCTGCCTTCCCCACTCTCCACTGCACCCCTGCAGATGGTGGCCCTTCTCCCCTATATCCCTGAACATGTGGGGTGTGATTTTCTCTTTAGTTTCCCTGCCAACCTGTAAACTCTGGGAATGGACTCTGCATCTGTCTTGTTTCCATCATATCCCCCATATCTAAAATGGCAAAAGTATACCCTTCTGAAACAAATTTGAGGAAAGAAAGGATTATCCTGGATGGGGCAATGAGGTGCCAAGGAGGGCTTAGGGTTTTACTTTATTTTTGAAGCAAGGAAATCATGAGATTCAACTGATATTCATTGAGCACCTAGCGTGTCCTAGACACTGTGCCAGGTTTTCTTAAATTAAGGTGCTCATATACCATAACCTAATTCATATAACATAAAATTCCCCATGTTAGCCATTTCCAGGCACACGATTCAGTAGTGTTTAGCACACTCATAACGTCATGCAACCATCACTCTAGTTCTAAAACTTCTTCATCACCCCAAAGGGATACCCCTGACCAGTTAAGCAGTATTCCCCGTGTCCCTTTCCCCCTGGCCTCTCACGACCATTACTTTGCTTTCAGTCTCTATGGATTTGCCTGTTCTGGATATTTCATATAAATGGAATCATATTTGTGCCAGCTTTTTAATGAACTATTTCACTTAATCCTTGTAACCATGCTATGAGATAGATGTTAACTGTCCCCTTAACAGAAAAGGAAAATGAGGCTGTGAGAAGGTAATTGGTATGAAGTCCTGCAGAGGAAAACAAGCAGAGGGTCTGCTCATCCATCATTCAGTAATTTATTCAATGAATATTTTTTGAATGGCCACCAGAGTCACAGCCAGCCCATATGTCACACATTGCTAAATAGCAGATGGCTATCTGCTGAATGGCCCCACATCATGGAGAACAGAGGGCAGACTGGGTGTCAGCACCCGCGGCTCCTCAGCCAGGAGCTCTGATGCAGTGAACAACCTTTACAACCTTCTGTGGCAGCCCTGACAACCATGCAGAGGCTCTGTGCTAGCTTCTGGGACAATTTGTGCCGCCATAAAGCTTCCATTCTGGTGGATAAGACGAACAATACACAAAGAAATAAATAAGATTATTTCAGATAACAGTAAATGTTGGGAAGAAAACAGCTTCATGATAGCTCCATGTGAACTTGAGAGGTGGGTGCTACTTTAGATAGTCAGAAGAGGGGACTCACTGAAGAGGGCATGTTTGAGCTGAGATCTGGCTAAGAGTGAGACAGTGATTGTGCCAATATCTGGGGGCAGAGCATTCTAGGCAAAGGGAACCGCCAGCACAAATGCTGAGATGCGGGAGCACGGCTGGCTTGTTCAGCTACAACAAGGCGGCCGCTTGATGGAGTGCAGAAAGAGGGGTGCAGATCCAAGGGTCTACACCAGGTGCATATCAGGAGCTATTCCTGAGGGGCCTCACCGGATCTCTCCGGGAGATGGGAAGCCACTGGGGGTTTGAGCAGAGGACTGCTGTTTGCATTGTAAAGGAAACTGTCTGTCTTCTGCATGAAGTACGGACCAGGGGAGGCCAGGGTAGAAGCAGGAGGCCAGTTAGGAGGCTGTTGCGATCATCTAGGGGAAAGGACATGTGGCAGCCAGGAAGTCTGGTGGAGGTGGGGACAAGTGCTCAGACTCCAGATATATTTTGAAGGCAAAGTTGACATGACTGGCTGATTAAATGTGGGGCTTGAGAAAAAGAAAGGATTCAAGAATAACTCCAAAGTTTTGGTCTGAGCAACTGGAAGACTGGAGCTGTCGTTTAATGAAGTGGGAGGAGTCTGGGAGGGAAGCTTTGGGAGGGAAACTAGGACTTCAGTTTTGGACACGTAGGATGCCTGTGAGCTCTCCGGTAGCATCCTAAGTAGAGTGTAGCATCAAGTGGCCTGGATGCAACAGGCGGTGGGGACTAGAAACATACACTTAGGAACCAACAAAATGTAGATGATTTTCAAAGCCAGGCATCTGGATGAGATCCTCAAGGACAAGTATAGAGAGAGAAGAGCCCTGGGATGTGCCAGGAGTAGGGGTCAGGGTAGGGAGGAAAAGCAGGAAAGGAGACCAGGGAGGGGCCCACGTGGTAGGAGGCAAATACGGGGACCGTCCTGGCCAGGGAAGAAAGCATTTCAAGGGCAAGGGCTTAGCTAGCTTGGTTAGTCAAATGCTGCAGGAAGGTTTGTGAAGATAAGGAGTGAGAATTGACCTTTGAAATTGGCAAAGTGGAGATCACCAGTGACCTTGACAAGAGTAGAGGTTTTTTTGTTTTTGTTTTTGTTTTTGTTTTTTGAGACGGAGTCTTGCTCTGTAGCCCAGGCTGGAGTGCAGTGGCATGATCTCAGTTCACTGCAACCTCTGCCTCCCAGGTTCAAGCGATTCTCCTGTCTCAGACTCCCAAGTAGCTGGGAGTACAGGCATGTGCCACTACACCTGGCTAATTTCTGTAGTAGAGATGGGTTTTCACCATGTTGGCCAGGCTGGTCTTGAACTCCTGACCTCAAGCAATCCGCCCACCTCGACCTCCCAAAGTGCTGGTATTATAGGCGTGAGCCACCGTGCCTAGCAATGAGAGCAGGTTTTTTTTGTTTTGTTTTGTTTTTGTTTTTGTTTTTGAGATGGACTCTTGCTCTGTCGCCCAAGCTGGAGTGCAGTGGCGTAATCTCAGCTCACGGCAAGCTCTGCCTCCCGGGTTCACACCATTCTCCTGCCTCAGCCTCCCAAGTAGCTGGGACTACAGGCGCCCACCACCACGCCCGGCTAATTTTTTTGTATTTTTAGTAGAGACGGGGTTTCACCATGTTAGCCAGGATGGTCTTGATCTCCTGACTTCGTGATCCACCCATCTCAGCCTCCCAGAGTGCTTGGATTACAGGTGTGAGCCACCGCACCCAGCCAAGAGCAGTTTTACGAGACAAGAGAGTGTTCTGGGGACAACTGCCTGATTGGAGTGAAGCATAAGTATGGGACCAGAGGAAGTGGAGACCACACCTCCAAGGAGTTTTGCTATAAAAGGAGCAGAGACATGGGACTGACACTGGAGAGGGGTGTGGGACTAAGGGAGGATTTTGCTTTAAGGGGAGGAGCTGTTAGACCATGTGTGTAATGCTGGCCAGAATAAGCCAAGAGAGACTGGAAATTGATGATGCAGAAGGAAGAGAAGGGACAAGGCAAGTGTGGAGTCCCTGAGGAATCGAGAGGGTGGGGTCAAGTGCACGGGGAGGGTTGGCCTTGGACAGGAGCAGCAGAGTCCCTCTGAGTCAAAGGAGGAAGGTGGCTTAGACAGGTAAAATGCACTAGGTCTGTGATGGGAGCCTTAGGAAGCTTTCCCCTGATGGCTTCTGTTTTTCCCGAGAAATAAGAAGCAGTGTCCTTAGCTGAGTGAACAGCAGGAAGGGGGTGCTGAGGCTGAAGAAGAGAAGAGAAAAGAAGGTGTGAATTCATCACCCCAGAGCGTGGCAGAGAGAATGGGCCCAGGCGTATAATGGGCTTGCCAGACAGCCTCAGGCCTCCTTTAAGGTAGATGGGCATGGTCAGTTAGGGTGTCTGAGTTTTTTCCTCTTCTAGTCCCTCCAAGTGCAGGTGGGGAGAAGATGGAAAGACGGGTTTCACCAAGATTAGGGATTTGCTGGGCAAATATGATAAAGCAAGAAGGGAGTGGGCAAGGGAGCTGAGCTGTAGGCAAGGGAGTGGTTGTAATGATGGCCCACAGTATCTGGTCAGGTTAAAGGGGGAAGTGGGTACAGAGGGGTGCAGAGAACCCAAAAAGGTGGTAGGATCGATGGATTTTAGGATGGGTTGCTGGTGTACTAGAGAGAGTGAGTAGAAAAAATAGAGAAACAGGAGGTGGTGGGCAGATGGTGGCAGAAGGAAATTGAAGTTACACGAGGGATGCAGTTTTGTTTTGTTTTTGGGTTTTTTTTTTTTTTTTTTGAAACAGAGTCTCACTCTGTCACCAGGCTGGAGTGCAATGGCGTGACCTCGGCTCACTGCAACCTCCGACTCCCTGGTTCAAGCGATTCTCCTGCCTCAGCTTCCCGAGTAGCTGGGATTACAGGCACGCGCCACCATGCCCAGCTAATTTTTGTATTTTTAATAGAGACCGTGTTTCACCATGTTGGCCAGGATGGTCTCTATCTCCTGACCTCGTGGTCCACCCACCTCGGCCTCCAAAGTGCTGAGATTACAGGCATGAGCCACTGTGCCTGGCCTGCAGGTTTTGTTTGTTTGTTTGTTTGATTGATTTAAGAGACGGAGTCTCACCTTATCCCAGGCTAGAGTGCAGTGGCACGATCATAGCTTACTGCAGCCTCTGTCTCCTGGGCCCAAGCGATCCTTCCGGGTAGCTGGGACTACAGGCTTGTGCCACCACGCCCAGCTAATTATTTTATTTTTTGGAGACAGGGTCTTGCTTTATTGCCCAGGATGATCTCAAACTCCTGGCCTCAAGCTATCCTCTCACCTCAGCCTCCCAAAGTGCTGGGATTACAGGCCTGAGTCACTGCGCCTGGCTGCATGCAGTTGTTGACAAAGACAAGTCCTAGGATATGAACGATGGAGTGGTCCCAAGGTGCAGTCTACAGACCAGTGATGGTTTTGCTCTTATCCAAAGCACACGATTAACTCAACCTTCAAAATCAGAGGTCTGTAGATAACGTCTGAAAAACTCTGTTAATCAGTGGCAGAGCCAGAATCCAAACTCGGGCTTCTGACTCTCAGTCCAGCACCTTTTCAGTGGCGCAGCAGCTAAGTTCCTCTGCTCCTATGAGTGAAACTGATCATCCAGGTGTTGGACTCCTCAAAATCTTTGGAGTGACACATCGCAATCACTTCCTTTAAAAAAAAATGTGATTATATTTCCTAAGAAAACTCAGGATGCTGCCACCAGAAGATCAGGGAATGGGTGCTGAGCAGGCAAAAAACCGAGGCGCCCTAGCCCCTCCCCACACCTGCTCCCTTCTGCATCAGACACAAGCCCTCCCTGCAGCAGATGGGACTTCTAGCCTGAGGGCCTTCGCCTTAGGGTAGCTGCAGAGCCCTTCTGAGAAGCTGATGAATGCAGGAAAATGCATGTGTGCACCCAATCACAGATATGCTCACAGGCCGGATGCTAATAAGATGCTCCACAAACACTTATTGGATGAATGAATGGTTAGAATTCCAGGCAACTCACTTGCTCGCTCCAGATTAAGAACTGGTGTTATGGGCTGGGCGTGGTGACACACGCCTGTAATCCTAGCACTTTGAGAGGTTGAGGCAGGCCAATCACTTGAGCTCAGGAGCTGGAGATCAGCCTGGATAACATGGCAAAACCCCGTATCTACAAAAATAAAAAATTTTTAAAAAAATTAGCCAGGCATGGTGATGTGTGCCTGTAGTCCCAGCTATCAAGGGGGCTGAGATAGGAGGATCGCTTGAGCCTTGGAGGTCGAGGCTGCAGTGAGCTGTGATCGCACCACTGCACTCCAGCCTGGAAATGAGACTCTGTCTCAAAAAAAAAAAAAAAAAAGGAACTGGTGTTAACACTTTCCACTCTGTGTACAGGGACCTCTGTTCTGTTGTAAGCAGATGCCCCTTTTGAATCGGTAGAGGACACCTTCCTTCTCTTTGTAAGCCTCTGGAGGAAGGCTGCCCATTTCCCAGGCTTCCGGCCTCTTCCAGCCCCAGCCTCCCAGAGAGGAATTAGCCCCTTCTTGGGACTTAGGACTGTCCTTAGGGACACCACACTCTTCCTCCTTCATTCAAACTCCACCTTCCCAGAAGGCTGCCTTTCCCTATTCCTAGTCTGCCCTCCCTGACCTCCTAGACATGCCCTGGCATTGGAAGTCCCACTGAGGGCTGTGCTTGAAGCTTGGTGAAAACGAGCCCTCTGAGCCAGTTATCCCTAAGAAGTCACAGTTCCCTGAGTCAGCTCAAAGGATCTATCCTCAGTGGAGCTTCCCAGGAGACTGAGACTAAGGAATGTTTTGAGACACATCTTCTAAGGTTTCCTCACTTCTTCAGGAGGAGACCAGCCTATCCAGGGCCATGTATGCCATGAAACCCTGAGGGCGAGAGCTCACCAATCCTCATGGGTCACCAACCACACCACCCTGAAACTCCAGTGTGATTATGTCATGGAGCTGCCACATGGGATCTAACCTCAGGTTCATGGGACAATTTCTTCCCAAGCCACCAGCTCCACCTCACTACATCTGACCTAGGAAGATAATTAGATATCACACATGCATGGTGTAACGATGGCAGTCTATGAATCCCCTTGGTTATTATCTCTGGGGTAGCCAGGTCTCGCAAGAACAGAGCTCAGCAGGCCTGCCAGGGACTACCACACCCTCTCCTGAGGATGTCGTGTCCATGCAGCTGGCCAGAGGCCGTAGACCCACTGGACAGAGCTGCCCCACCACGCTGCCCCTCCCAGCCCTGCCTGCCTGGGCCCCAGCAATACCAACGGTCATCTCTGCCACATTCTTGCTTTCTCATGGGGGCCCTGTTAGAAACGGGAAGGGAGGAAAGCTGGTGCCCACCTGAGACCCCCAGCTCTGAGACTCCAGGGGTGTTGGAGCAGTTCCCATAGAGAAATCCTCTGGGGGCAGGCACCACTTAAGTCTGTAGGAGAGGTCTCTCCCCAGGGGAGCAGGAAGCCCACACCTGTGTGCTGGTGCCATAGTTCACTCCAACTCCCCAGTGGGAGCCAGTGTCCCTTCCTTAGGGTGCGGGCAAGGGTGGAGCTGGCAAAGCACCAATATGCCTTCAGGGAGAAAGGGCTAGGGAAAGAGGAGTTGAGACACTGCCTTCAAGCCTTTCCTCATCATCCCTGTGTCACCACGAAATAAATCATGCATCATGAGCACTAATGGACTTGTGTTGTCACTACCTCTTATCCTCAAAGTAAGATTGAAGCCAGGGGTGGTAGCACACACCTATAGTCCCAGCTACTCAGGAAGCTGAGGTGGGAGCATTGCTTGAGCCCAGGAGTTCGAGGCTGCAGTGAGCTATGATTGCGCCACTGCACTCCAGCCTGGGTAATAGAGCGAGACTCTGTCTCTAAAGTAATAGTAATAATAATAATAATAATAAATAAACAAAGTAAGATTGAACAACCAGAAAGCAGCCCCCATGTGTGGCTCCTGCAAAGAATGCGTGGCTGTGGCCCGAGCCAGCTTTGTCTCATAAAATGTGTTTTGTATGCTAAGTAGGCTGCTGTTGTTTGAGGCAGAAGAACAATGAGTCACTTGTGTCATGTGCTATTGGGTGTGCTATTCTTCTAGGATTTCAGAGTGACCTGAGCTAAAGCAAGGACCTGATGGAACTTAAAGGCAAGACATCCTTAAAATTCATGCCTGCCCATCTCTCCTGGTCAGCCCTTGCCTTTTAAAGGGCACCACTCCATCATCACACAGCACAGAGTTGAGCTCATTGTTTTCCAGAATAAAATTTCAGATGCATGCTGGATACAAAAGGATTGTTTTTCTTCAATCATTTTTAAGAGTTTGAAGGATGACATGCAGATGAAAGCAGCCTCCCTGGGTGTGCTGGCCTTCTTCCTGTCTAGGTAGTATAGTCTAACAGGCCTTGGGCATAGTTAAGCTCTCTGGCTGTGGATCAAACTGTCTGGGGTCAAAGCTGAACACCATCACTTAACTAACCTGAGGATGCATCTGTTTCCTCATCTGCAAAATGGGGATCATAATAATGACACCCGGCTGGGTGCGGTGGCTCACGCCTGTCATCCCAGCACTTTGGGAGGCCAAGGAGGGCGGATCACCTGAAGTCGGGAGTTCGAGACGAGCCTGAGCCCGACCAACATGGAGAAACCCCATATCTACTAAAAAAAAATACAAAATTAGCCTGTAATCCCAGCTACTCAGGAGGCTGACGCAGGAGAATGGCTTGGACCCAGGAGGTGGTGGTTGCAGTGAGCCGAGATTGTGCCATTGCACTCCAGCCTGGGTGACAGAGCGAGACTCCATCTCAAAATAACAATAATAATAATAATAATAATAGTGACACCCATCTCAAAAGGCTGAGAGTCCATGAGGTGTAGGCATCACCTTTTCCCGGCACCTGTAAACCCGTAGCAACTGTTAGCCATTATAATTGAGGTTTGTTGGTGTTCTAGCATAAGACTCTGCATTGCTGGGTAAATTCCATTCTGACCAAAGTGGGTAAAAGTTTGTTATGCTTTACTAAGTACACTCTGAGCTTCTAACTGCCTGAACCCTATGTGGGTGTTGATTTCAGTTTCTGACCTCACAGGACTCCTCTGGGCCAAATGGCCTTTGTCAAGCAGTTTCTATAAAAGGGACTTCTTTCAGAGCCTTGTTGAATTAACTGGGGCTTCCTTTAAATAAGGGCTTGTTTTTAGAAGCTTTCTTTTTCCAACAAGGAAAAGAACACAATGGATTCCAAGTAATCTCCAGTCCTCATCACAGCTTGTCACAAACACCTGGCACGTCTTTTCTGACTAGAGTGAAAACACACACACACACACACACACACACACACACACACACACACACACACACTAGCTTCAGGGACACAGCCTCAGCCTGATGCTCCAAAAGCATTTACTGCAAACTTCCTCTCACTACAGAGTTATTTCCTGGAAGAACAACAAAAACTGTTTTTGAATTGACAATGTGGCTTTAGTTGCTGCTGAAGTTAAGTGAAAGTACCAACCATTGTTACTATTAACCTAAACAAAATCTTAAAAGAATTACTTTCTTTTTCTTTTCTTTTTTTTGGACAACAACAAGAACAAGATATTTTTCCTTTCTTTGCTGATCAGTATGAAGAATGATTTATCAGTAAAGTCAATTTCAGGCAAAGGCAGAACTTAGGAATTGGGTTAAAGTGTTGCTTATTTCAACCAAAAGAAAACTTTCTAATTTGTTTGGGCAGCATTTACTTGGTTCTTCGAAAAGCAATTGTGACAAACAGTACAGAGAGTTAAGGCACTTATTGGCATATAAAAAGATGCCAGCATTTGGAGTTGCACATAACAAAGAAATATCTTAAATACTTTTCAAAATATTCTAGGAGCCAAGACACAAGGGCATGCTTCAGGAGAACACAGGAATGTAATTTGGGAGGAAAATTGCAACTACCCCTTCCCTTTAAAATCACTGAGCAAAACAAAGCAGCATTCTACTTCACATACTGACTTTACATAGTTTATATATAATAGTTTGACTTTAAGAAGCAAAGATGGGACTCTCACTGTTTATCTTTTATTTATTCTTTTTTATTTTTTGAGACAAAGTCTCACTCTGTCACCCAGGCTGGAGTGCAATGGCATGATCTCAGCTCACTGCAACCTCTGCCTCCTGGGTTCAAGCAATTCTTGTGCCTCAGCCTCCCAAGTAGCTGGGACTACAGGCGCGTGCTACCACATCTGGTTAATCTTTTTGTATTTTTAGTAGACATGGGGTTTCACTATGTTGGCCAGGGTGGTCTTGAACTCCTGGCCTCAGGCGATCTGCCTGCCTCGACCTCCCAAAGTGCTGGGATTACAGGCATGAGCCACTGTGCCGGGCCTCTCACTATTTTGAAAAATAATTGCATGGTCACCCATGTAACCCACCCCAGTCTGGCAAGTTTAATTGGGAGAGGTCTCCGTTACTTAGAAGAGTACCAATTTGACACTTTAATTCAGATAGCCCTGACTTCATTTTTGGGGAGCAACTTAGAGAGGTTCATTCTTTCCCCCCTGACTCATCCTCTGTTGATCCAGTCCCGAATTTCACCAGCTTTTTTATGCATAATTTGCATAACAATTTCACCCAAATGGATCTCAACTGAGCATCATTTCTGCAAGAAGACTATGGAGTTTGTCTATAGAGAAAATTAAATCAAATTCATAGACATTTTTAAGAGTCTGTCAAATGTTTCCACATGTATTTACATGTGGTCTAAAACCCTAAGGGCATTGTAAGAAGCCACACAAAAGACCCAAATGAATGTTCTAAGGGGCATAAAGCAGTTTGTTGTCTGAGCCACCTGTTAAGGGAAATGAGTGGAACTTGGAGAGTCAGGCTTTCCTGTCCCTCTTGATCATGACGGTCACTTGGAGAACAGTGAGTCCAACCCGCTGGGGTGGCCACAGGGGATGGACCTTTACTAACATAAAAGAAAAATTTTTTAAAAATTCTTTGAATGGTTTCCAAATGAGCACTCCCTCCAAAGTGGAACTTAATACCACAACAGATATTCACCCTGTGCAAATACAGGTTGAGCACCCCAATCCGAAAATGTGAAATCTGAAATGCTCCCAAATTTGAAACTTTTTGAACACTTTGTGATGCCACAGGTGAAAAATCCACACCTGACCTCATGTGATGGGTCATATATATCATATGAAATATTGTTTAAAATTACCTTCAGGCTATGTGTATAAGGTATGCATGAAACATAAATGAATTCCATATTTAGACCTGGGTCTTATCCCCAAGATATTTCATTATGTATATGAAAATATCCCAAAATTCAGAAAACCTGAAATCTGAACACTTCTTGTCCCTAGCATTTTGGATAAGGGATACTCAACCTGTACATGCAGTATGAATATATATTCCTATTTTTTTCTTTTTTAGGCAAACGCTAACATACAATATACACTTCTGTACCTTCTTTTTATCACTTACTAATTAGTATGTCTTAGAGAGCTTTTAAAAACCAGTATATAGACTTGGAGAGTTTCTTCAACTAATTTCACAGCTGTTATATTTTACTGTATAGCTACATCAAAATTTATTTAACCATTTCCCCATTGATTGACACAGGAATTGGTCCTAATCTTCTGCCATTACATATAATGCTACAATGAATAACCATGACATTTTGTACTGTGGGAGTATATCTGCAGGATAAATTCCCAAGAATGCAATTGTGAGTCAAGGATACGTGTGTTCATGAATTTGACAGATATTCCCAAGTTGCCCTCCATCAGAATTACATCAACATGCCTATATAGAGCATGCCTATTTCCCCACAACCTTGCCAAGACAGTGTGTTATAAAACTCCCAGACTTCTGCCAAACTGATAGTGAGTATGGTAGTGAGGAAGAGTTTTTTTATTTTTATTTTTATTTTTGAGAGGGAGTCTAGCTCTGTCACCCAGGCTGGAGTGCAGTGGCGCGATCTCGGCTCCACTGCAACTTCCACCTCCCGGGTTCAGGCGATTCTCTTACCTCAGCCTTCTGAGTAGCTGGGATTACAGGCACGTGCCACCACGCCCGGCTAATTTTTGTATTTTTGGTAGAGACGGGGTTTCACCACATTGGTCAGGCTGGTCTCGAACTCCTGGCCTCAAGTGATATGCCCGCCTCGGCCTCCCAAAGTGCTGGGATTACGGGTGTGAGCCACTGAGCTTGGCTGTTAAAAAATAAATTACCTTGAGTTGACCTGGCGCCTTGAGTTTAACTCTATCATTATCAATTCAGTTTGTTTTGGGTTTGGAGGTTAACCCTCCAATGTGTAGAACTTCATATTTGCATTATTTTTGGCCTATAACTTTCGAGTGACTGAGACTTCAAGATGTGCATTATGGCTTAAGTCGTCTTATACATCTGCAACAGCAGATGTATACACAACCCACTCAAAATTTGTGTGTGCAGTAATATTTCATTTGGGACATATTGTTTGTAAACTGATGCTATTTAAATTACTTGCAGCATAATCTCAACACATGTAAAAATACTTTTACACTTGTAGGATATTGTTTTATAATACAAATTCTTGTGTACAAACTCCATTAACATTTTATTTATGTACAGATCATTATTACCAGTTTTTGTTTCCCAGTTGAGAGTGGGGAGGGCAGATGGGCTCAGAATCTTTGCATGTGCCAGCATCCTGCAGTCTCAAACTTTTCCATTCAAAGCAAATACCTGTGCCAATATCTGTGTCACTTCCAACAAGAATGAATGCTGCCTAAGTGCTCTCCACACATTTGCAAAATGACATCAGGCCCCCCAGGTCTTCCAAGAACCAAAGGAAAAGTTCCACAAAAGTGAATCCTGCCATACAAACAGTCCCAGCACTTTCCAGCTCCTTTTTCATTCCAGATTCAAAGGTCTGGCACCAGGATGAGCTGAAGTGTAAGGCATCCACCACTCTCCCCCTGCTCCTACTCCCATCCCACCCAAAGCCTTGTCTAGAGAAAGCTCCTCCCAGCCTCAGGCCCAGGAATGGGAATCTCTGTGGGTCACACATCAGTAGGGAGGTCTTTCCCGATCCTTTTCTATGCTACTCCAGGAGTCAAAGCGTCTCCTGGGACTTTTCAGGGCGCTTCAGAAGAGCCCTGGGCCTAAACCAGCTCAACCAAGCTGCAGGGACCCAGCCTCCTGAGAAAAGTGAATGTGAGCCCGGTGCATTCAGAGGAGAATGAAGCCTTCACCCAGAACACACTCTGGGAAGATGTCCCAGGCCCAGGGGGAGGGTTTGTACTACCAGACCTAAGTCACCTAAACTGACACCAAGTCTCATCCATCCCAACCATTCCATTCCGGGTCAGAGGGGTCATCGATTTAACCAGCAAGGCTGCCCATCCAACGGTTGCTCCCTCTGCTCCCTGGAAGGGCCTCCTCGTGGGCGTTCTGTACCTACAGGTCTTGTTCCGTTCTGGGAACTGCCAGTGGTGGCAAGAGGTGGAGCAACGGGTGCCAGGGCAGGGAGAGGTGAGTCTGGGAGGGAAGCAGAGGCAAGATCCATGGGGCTTTAGAGACTTTGCCAAAGCAGTGCGACTGCTCCCAGGTTGTTGTCAGCCGTCAAGAGTGAGTGCACCTCCCTGGGCAGACTTCTGCTGCCCCAGTGCCCAGGAATAGGCAGGGGTTTGCCGCAAAATGAATGACACCTGGCAGACAATAAGCTGAAGCTTTCATTAGCAGCTTAAGCTGAGGACTATCTATGCAACCGATACTCCCTGTGTGCTCCCCGGGACTGCTTAATGTGAGCCCTTGTGGAGCGATTGGCACCAAGAAAGCAAGGACTAAGTCAGAAGTTCAAGTCCCAGCCTTGCCACAGCCTCAGGGTGCCCTCGAGCACAGCAAGCCTCAGTTTTCCCATCTGTACAATGAGAGAGGTACACAAGGTAGACTCGAAGGCTCTTTGTTGCCAGGGCCCTGTGTTCCTTTGAGTGTATGTGCTTCTCAGGCCCACAGAGGTCCTTTGTGTTTCGTATGTGAACTGCTCTCTAGGAAACCCATGTAACTGTCTGTGTCCTGGGGCACATACATGAGGACTCATGTGGGCCGTATTGTGTGTTTGTGCCGGGGGGAGGGGAGACCCCAGAACAATGTCCCCCACCCCACCCCCCTCCTCAATAGGCGGAAGCCACTGGCTTCCTCCCTTTCCTGCCTCCTGCCTCCTTTGTGCCAGCAAGACTGAGTACTGGAGAGAGACAGGGGATGGGAAAAATCAGTCCAGCTGTCCCCAGGTCTGCCCTTACCATAACCTTCCCCCCACCTCAAGTGACTCCTCCCAGGCCACACCCATCCCCAGCCTTGTGGGGGCCAGATTGGGGGGCCTAGAGGCTCAAAGGCAGAATGAGTCCTCCCACCCCCTACCCTGCCACCCCTCCCACCCAAGCCACCTCATTTCCTCTTCCTCCCCAGCACCGACCCACACTGACCAACACAGGCTGAGCAGTCAGGCCCACAGCATCTGACCCCAGGCCCAGCTCGTCCTGGCTGGCCTGGGTCGGCCTCTGGAGTATGGTCTGGCGGGTGCCCCCTTTCTTGCTCCCCATCCTCTTCTTGGCTTCTCATGTGGGTAAGTCTCCCCTGAGTCCCTCACCCCATTTCTAGGCCCCGAGGCCCTGATTTCTACCCAAGAAACCCTATTTTATCATAGAGACAGAAAGTAGGATGATGGTTGCCATGGGCTGCAGGGAGGAAGAAATGGGGAGTTTTGTTTAAAAGGTACAGCGTTTTTACAAGATTTTTACTTGGTTTTACAAGATTAAAAGAGTTATAAACATGGGGCCGGGTGCGGTGGTTCATACCTGTAATCCCAGCACTTTGGATGGCTGAGATGGGAGGATCAATTGAGGCCAGGAGTTCAAGACCAGACTGGTCAACATAGTGAGACCCCGTCTCCATTGTGTTTAGACTTTCGTCTTTTTCAAAAAAAAAAAAAAAGGATGGATGGTGGTGATGGTGGGACAACACTAGGAATGTATTTAATCACATTGGGTTATATGCTGCTTACAAATGGTTAAGATGGCAAAATTTGCCGGGTGTGGTGGCTCACGCCTGTAATCCCGGCACTTTGGGAGGCCGAGCGGGTGGATCACAGGGTCAGGAGATCGAGACCAGCCTGGCAAACATGGTGAAACCCCATCTCTACTAAAAATACAAAAATTAGCCGGGCGTGGTGGCAGGAGCCTGTAATCCCAGCTACTTGGGAGGCTGAGGCAAGAGAATCGCTTGAATCTGGGAGGCAGAGGTTGCAGTGAGCTGAGATCGCGCCACTGCACTCCAGCCTGGGCGACAGAGCAAGACTCATCTAAAAAGAAAAAAAGATGGTAAAATTTATTTTATATGCATTTCACCACAACAAAAAATTTTGGAAAACAAGCCCTATCATCACTGCCATCACTTTGATCCACTAGAAAGTGAGATCAAGGCCAGGAAAACACAGGCAAGTGCTAGAAATCACTGCAACCTGGGATCAGGGGAGGAGTGAGGAGTAGCCGCTGACTGTGTTGGATCTGAGGATCTGTGGAGGGCCATTTTCAGGGGGTGTTCATAGGGTAATTGTGTTGGATTCACTCAGTTGTTCACTGGACAAACATTTATTGAGCACCAACAATATTCCAGGAGTTGTGCTAAGTGCTGGGCCATTAGTTGAGAGGCTGGCAACACCTAGTCTGTACAATGAGATTAAATGATGCCAGCCTCCTATGGTTGTTATGGGGTTTAAATGAGAAAATGATGCAGAGCAGTTGGCACAGTGCACTGTGCTTGGTAAGGATTTCTGAGTAGGTGGCAGCTGATTCCTTCAGTCTGCTGGTCAGCCGATTAGAACACAGAGGCTGCCTTTGAGTGGTTCATGGTCTAGTGCAGAACACAGGACAGGGGAAGAGGGCTAAACAGGGACAGACACAGGAGCTCTAGAGGAGCACTGAGGAGGAGTTCAGCTTACACTGCCTCAGGTAGGAGACAAAAAGGGAATCAAGGAAGATTTCACTAAGAGGGGTGGTCTTCATTCCAGGCAGCCAGAACATAAAAAATGCAAGTCTCAGAGGCATGGAGGTGCATGGGAGAGAAGGTGCCTGTTAGGAACACAACAGGAGGGATAGCGTGGGAGCATCACGGGGCTTAGGAGCACGAACATTATCCTGAGGGCAATAGGGAGCCATGGGAGGTCACAGGCAAGAAAGTCACAAGGTCAGGTTTGGTCTTAGATCACCGTGGAGGATGAGTTGCAGAAGGAGGGGCTGTGGCTGTTGGGATGGTCTAGGTGAGTAAGGATGAGGGCTGAACAAAGGCAGGCTGGGGGGGTGGGGATGAAGTCAAGAAGCGTTCAGGAAACAATGTGCAGAATTCTATGACTGATGAGGCAGGCAGCACAGTGCTCAGAGATGTGGACTTTAGAATCAGACAACCTGGCCCTGCCACTCACTAATTGTATGACCTTGGGCAAGTTACTTAACTTCTCTGAGCCTCCCTTTCCTGGCTATAAAACAGGGATAATAACATCCACCTCCCAGGATAGCTGGGATGGTAAAATGAAACAATATCAGTAAAGTGCCTGGTGCATAACTGGCAGCCAATAAACATTCATTATTATGACAATGGGAGTAGAGATGACTCCATAGTTTGTGTCTCAAGTGGCGGGTGCTGTCCAGTGAGTCAGGGAGCACTGGAGAGGAGCAGATTTGGGAAAAGCTGATGGAAATGCAGGTCCAAGCTGAAAGACCGTTCCCGAGTTACTGACTCAGAGGTGATGGTTAAAACTGGGGGAGTGGGCGAGCTTGCTCAAAGAAGCCAGTAGAATAATTACCATGATCCTCCTCTGTAACTGGAAAGAATATCCACTTCACTGGTTGTGAGGATCCAGTGGAAAATGGGGGTTGGTATGTGGTGGGCGGTCAGTAAATGCCAGCTTCGTTTGCTCATGGTAGCCTTTCAAACACTGATAAGCTAGGTGGCATTTAAACTAATGAACTGCTTGACAGTCAGCTACAAGAGACAGAGAAGGAAGGGCTTGGCTGGTGGAGGGGTTCTGGGTCCTGGAGCTAAGGCAGGCTCGCAGGCTCTCCACCGTCCAGACTGGACTCTGACTCCACCTGATCTCTCCTGCCTCAGCCTCACATTTTGTACTCCAGTCACACAAACCTGGAGAGCCCCCTCCACCTGCCACAATATTGCCACTGCAGGCCTCTGTCCAGGCTGTTCCCTCTGTCTAGGATGCCCTCTCCCTGCCCCTGATTTCTCTCCCTCCCCATTGTCCTCACGCCAATGTGCCCTGCTCCAACTGTACCTCCCAGGAAGCATCTCTTCATCTCCCTGAGCTCCCCCAGGCTGGAGCAGGGGTCCCTTCTCTGTGCTCAAAAGCACAGCGCCCTACATTTGGCAGCTGTGTTCATGCCTGTTCCTCCAACTAGGGCGTGAGCTCTTTGGAAGGCAAACAAAGACCAAGACCTACCTCGTGTCTGTGTCTGTCTGGGCTCCAGGCCTTGCCCTGGGGCTGCCCTCCCTGGCTCTGGGCCCAGCCCCAAGCTTAGCTCCATTTCTTTTTGTTTTTCTTTTTCTGGAGAATGGGGTCTTGCTATGTTGCCCTGGCTGATCTCAAACTCCTGTGCTCAAAGGATCCTCCCACCTCTGCCTCCTTAAGTGCTGGGATTCCAGGCGTGAGCCACCGCACCCAGCCCTAGCTCCATTTCTGTGCCACAACCTTCTGGCTGCAAAACTCAGCCTCTCCCACCTCAAATCCCAGCCCACCAGACATTTCTAGATCTCCATAGTGACAGAGAGGGGGACCCATGGGACACTTCTGTTCTGGCTGGCTCTCCTGGCCTGCACTCTCGTGGTGGAGGCAGGGAGAAGTGGCTCACAGCAACCTTTGCAGGGCAGTTTTAGAGACGAGTGGGGAAACAGGACTGATAGAAATAAAGTGAGGAAACGGAGACAGGGAGCATAGATCATTCTTTCCGAAAGCTGGGGCGAAAGGGAAGCCATCTGGCAGGAGAAGGGAGGGGACACGGCCAGAGAAGGATTCGTGGTTTTGTTTTTGTTCTTTTAGAATGAAGAGACTTGAGGGAAAGAGGCCAGTGCGCATGGAAGGGGAAAGGAGGGGGATGGGAATGCCTGATAAAGTGAGGCCTGTGGGGTCTGAAGAACCGGGCAGGGGAAGGAAGAGGGGTGAAGGTTGGAGACCCTCTTCTGAGTGGACGGTGGATCAGTAAGACCAGAGGGCTGGGGCTGGGGGCTCTGGGGCACTAGGGTTGGCTGGGACTACAATAGAGTCACTGGTGTCCTGGCCCCAGGCGCGGCGGTGGACCTGACGCTGCTGGCCAACCTGCGGCTCACGGACCCCCAGCGCTTCTTCCTGACTTGCGTGTCTGGGGAGGCCGGGGCGGGGAGGGGCTCGGACGCCTGGGGCCCGCCCCTGCTGCTGGAGAAGGACGACCGTATCGTGCGCACCCCGCCCGGGCCACCCCTGCGCCTGGCGCGCAACGGTTCGCACCAGGTCACGCTTCGCGGCTTCTCCAAGCCCTCGGACCTCGTGGGCGTCTTCTCCTGCGTGGGCGGTGCTGGGGCGCGGCGCACGCGCGTCATCTACGTGCACAACAGCCCTGGAGGTGAGTTAGGCAGGCGGGGGGATGGCGCGGGGAAAACCAGGCCGCTGACCCACCTTCCACCCCGCAGCCCACCTGCTTCCAGACAAGGTCACACACACTGTGAACAAAGGTGACACCGCTGTACTTTCTGCACGTGTGCACAAGGAGAAGCAGACAGACGTGATCTGGAAGAGCAACGGTAAAGAGGGGCATTTGAACTGGTGGGGAGGGTAGACCCATCGTTCTGAGGCCCCAACACTTTCATGACCCATGGGACCCTCAGCTTTGGCCCCTGACACACCCGACCTCCAGGGCCTCTCCTCTGTAGTGGACCAGGTCCCATGGGATGTGCCTGCACCCATCTTATCTGTAGTTCTGAGCTGCCTTCCTTCTGTACACAGAGGGCCAGGAGCCTGTGGTCAGCTGCCCCTTCCCTCTTAGCCCCAAATGAGCACGATGTTAAACCCTCATCTCTCCCCTGGGAGTTAGCAGGTGCTGTCACATAGCCCACCTGGCAGACCGCATCAGTCCCCCTGAGGAGGAAGAGAACTGGTAACATCATGCCCAACACAGGCAGGGCAGAGTCTAGCCTCTCCCAAAGATCTGTCCAGCCCAGATCCTTGATGCCCAAGACAGCCTCATGCTGAGGCCTGGGTAGACCCGTGGGATCTCAGTCCCAGGCCTGTCCTCCACCCTGACCCTTTGGCCACCCCATAGAAGGAAGCTGTTTTCCTATGTGGCCCCAAGATTCCTGCCTCAGTCCTCAGATTCACAACCCCTTGGCTGACTCTTGCATACCTGGGCTCCTGAGGGAGGAAGACCCTTCCCTTTGGCCAAGGGGGCTGCCTCCTGAGCTCTGGACCCCGTGAATTGACAGGAAATGTGAAGAGGCACAGGCAGACCTGGGTCTCTAGGCTCTCTGTTCAGCCCTGAGCAAAGAGGCAAGAAGCGGGTGGGGCAGCGACTGGAGCACTCTTCTAAGAGGGAGAGGCTCAGGGGAGAGACCCTAGAGTAGATGGCACTTGAATTGTGCTCAGAGGAGAAGTGGGAAGACAAAGAAGGCAGAAAAGGAAGGAAGGGCCTTCCAGGAGGAGGGACTGAGAAGAGCAGTAGGGTCTGAAACACAAGGGTGTTTCTAGAAGAGAAACAATCCATTCAGGAATTCAGGAATGTTAGGAGTCAAGAAGGGTGTGAAGACGAATGGGGCTGGATGGCTTGGCCACGGCCAAGTTGGTGAAAATGATGTCTAAGGAGCTGGATTTTTGTCCTGAGGTCACTGGAGAACCAGGAGAGTTTCAGCAGAGGAGTTAGAGAGGAGTCTGTTGTAAAAAATCACCCTGGCTGCTGGGTGGAGGAGGGACAAGAAAGGGTGACACTGGAGGCAGAGGAGCCTTGTGAGGCCCCTGGAGGCTAGGACCAGGGCAGTGGCAGTGGGTGTGGGGAGAAGCGGACTGGGTTAGGGGATGAGGAGGAGATGGACTGAGCAGGACTTGGTGATTTACTGGGTGGCTGGTGGAGCATGAAGAAGAGGGCACTTCTGAGCTTTCTGGCGTGGGCATAGGCTCTCGTGGTGCCGGCCCTAGGTCTCATCACTGTGCATGGGGCTCATTGATGTGAGCTGAGCAGAGGTGGACAGAGAGAGGTGACACAGCCCTCATGTAGTGCTGAGGCCCCTGACACATTCATGTCCCCCAGGATCCTACTTCTACACCCTGGACTGGCATGAAGCCCAGGATGGGCGGTTCCTGCTGCAGCTCCCAAATGTGCAGCCACCATCGAGCGGCATCTACAGTGCCACTTACCTGGAAGCCAGCCCCCTGGGCAGCGCCTTCTTTCGGCTCATCGTGCGGGGTCAGAGGCAGAGGGCAGAGGTTGTGGGTAGGGTGGGAGGCTGGGAGCCCTATGGGTACTTCCTGTGGGTCCCCTGGAGCCCCTGGATCTCCAGTCCTCAGTGGTCAGGTGGGTGAGGGTCAGCTGCTGAAGACACCTTCCTCCAGGTTGTGGGGCTGGGCGCTGGGGGCCAGGCTGTACCAAGGAGTGCCCAGGTTGCCTACATGGAGGTGTCTGCCACGACCATGACGGCGAATGTGTATGCCCCCCTGGCTTCACTGGCACCCGCTGTGAACAGGGTAAGGAGGAGGGGAGCTAGGACCCAGGCAGGAGAGGATCCCTGACTGGGAGAAGACCCTAGAACCATGTGGGTGGAGCTTGGAGGGTAAGGGCGACAGGCAGGTCCTGGGCCCAGGGGCCCACAGAGGCCCATACACCCCACACACTCTCTTTCTAGCCTGCAGAGAGGGCCGTTTTGGGCAGAGCTGCCAGGAGCAGTGCCCAGGCATATCAGGCTGCCGGGGCCTCACCTTCTGCCTCCCAGACCCCTATGGCTGCTCTTGTGGATCTGGCTGGAGAGGAAGCCAGTGCCAAGAAGGTATGCCTAACCTACCCTCATGGTCCCTGACCAAGACAGCTGGCCAGGAGCTTGACCCGGACCCTCCACTCTGCCTCTGACTTACGCAGCAAGCCCTCCTGCTCACTTGACCAGTCCTTCTATCCTCAGCCTGTTGTATAACCTGTGCCCCATCTGCGCCCTCATCTGTGCCCTCATTGCCCCCTGTCCCATGCCCCTCTAATCATACCTCCTCTATTCCCAGCTTGTGCCCCTGGTCATTTTGGGGCTGATTGCCGACTCCAGTGCCAGTGTCAGAATGGTGGCACTTGTGACCGGTTCAGTGGTTGTGTCTGCCCCTCTGGGTGGCATGGAGTGCACTGTGAGAAGTCAGGTATAAGCACTATGACCTCTGAGAGCCCCCCAAGATAAGTCGGCCTTTACCAAACACATCTCCCCGGTGGAAGAGAGTAGTCCCTCCTTTCCCTACGAGGGTCCAAGTCCTGCCCTCAGGGAGCTTAGAGTCTGATGGACAGGGAGCTCTGGCAGGGAGTCAGTCTGGTAGGGAGTCAGTCCAGCAGGGAGCCAGTCCAGCAAGGAGCTCACTGCCAGCCAGCCATAGTGGAAAGGGCAGCAGCCCAGAGAATGTGGGAGCCCAGAGGATGCCCCTGGGCAGACTGAGCAGGTCAGAGAAGGGTCTGGAAGCAGGTGTGATCTGAGATTAGATATGAAGGACAAAAGAGAGATAACTGAGGAAAGAACAAGAGCAAAGACCCAGGGATTGGGGACTCAGGTTTGGGTGCCAGGACAGTGGAGTAGGGGACCCAGGGATTGGGGACTCAGGTTTGGGTGCCAGGACAGTGGAGTAGGGGACCCAGGGATTGGGGACTCAGGTTTGGGTGCCAGGACAGTGGGGTAGGGGACCCAGGGATTGGGGACTCAGGTTTGGGTACCAGGACAGTGGAGTGGGGGACTGGGGAAATGGTCAGAAGAGGTCAAATCGTGGGGCCTTTGAATGAAGGCCAAAGAGTTTGCACTTCATATGATGGGGCAAGAGGGAATTGTTAAAAAGGAACAAGGTAGTCAGATCCGTGTTGGAGAAAGGACCCCTAGCTGCTGGCCGGGGAGCGGGAGCAGGAGACCCTCGAGGACTCTGTACCTAGGGACCAGAAATGATGAGGCCTGAGCTAGTGTGCTGGCTGGGAGGATGGTGAGGGGTCTGCTGGCAGGTATTAGACGGTATCGGGAAGTGGGGAGGTGGTTAGGAAGTAGACTTTGCAGCTGATGGGATGTGGGGCTGGGACGCTGGAGGAGTCATGCGGGCCTTTGCTGGTTTTCAGGCTGGAGGGACTGGGTAGATACCTCCACTGAGAAACAGAACACGGATGAGGGGCGCTTTGGTGGTCACGTGTCTGCCCCTGTGGGAGCTCCAGGATGAGTGTCCTTTCTCCCCAGACCGGATCCCCCAGATCCTCAACATGGCCTCAGAACTGGAGTTCAACTTAGAGACGATGCCCCGGATCAACTGTGCAGCTGCAGGGAACCCCTTCCCCGTGCGGGGCAGCATAGAGCTACGCAAGCCAGACGGCACTGTGCTCCTGGTCAGCCCCCAATCACCCCAACCCACCAGCCCCTCAGGCCGCCTGCTTCACAGCTGATCCCTAAGACCCCCTAGTCCCTCAGAACTTTCTGCAGGGCCCACCCATTGGCCTGACCATTGCTCACATGAGGTCAGGCTGATTGGTGAGGGGGCTGCCACTGGGCCTCTGTCCTGCCATCAGTCCAGACGGACACCTGGGTGCCTGCCACAGAGGTGCCCGTTCCCTGTGACCTGTCCCCTTCCCCCATCTCTTTTAGTCCACCAAGGCCATTGTGGAGCCAGAGAAGACCACAGCTGAGTTCGAGGTGCCCCGCTTGGTTCTTGCGGACAGTGGGTTCTGGGAGTGCCGTGTGTCCACATCTGGCGGCCAAGACAGCCGGCGCTTCAAGGTCAATGTGAAAGGTCAGTGATGTCCTAGGTCCACAGGGAATGGACGGTGAGCAGAGTAGGCTCTAGATGATGCTGCTCAGGCTGGAGATACTAGCAGGAAGGACAAGGACATCTAAGGTCATAGCCTAGCACCAGACAAAAAGCGGGGTTGTGGTCAACCAGAGGTCCGGGCTGGGCAGTGTCAAGGCTGGAGTACAGCTTAGACCCATCTGGAAAGGACATCCCGTGCCCCAGAAACTGGGGACACTCTCCAGCCCCGCCCTTCCTCCTGCCCAGCCATGCTGTCCCCCACCAACCGTCACACACAGACAAGTATACCTTTAACTCTGCTCTGGGATGCTGCCTCCCATCTCTGAGTCACCCCACAGACACTCAGTGCTAGCCCAGGGGAGCATATGGGGCTATGGAGCTCAGAGGGTGACCAGCTTGGCTTCCTAGAAGTGGTGCATGCCTAGAAATCTTCCAGGTAAATAAGGAGGGACCTCCCAGTGCCCAAGATTACTCAGACCAGAGCACCCCCACCTGCTCTAAGGCCTCCTTCGCCTTCTCCAGCTTCTCCAGCACCCTAAGTCTTAACCATTCACACCCCTGCCACCCCCTGACCCTGCTGTCCCTCTGCTCCTGCCACCCCATGTAAGCCCCCTCTCTCACCTTCTGCTTTCTCGTTGCCACACTCTGCCTCCCAGGTCCTCGCCATCTCCCTATCCCGTGACTATGCATGACTCTCTGCCATCAAGCCTCACCTTCCGCCTTTCTCTTCTCACTGTGCCCAGGCTTAGGAGCCAGACAACCTGGGCTTGAATCCTCTCTCCACAAATTCCTTGCCCCATCACCTTAAGGAAACTACTTAACCTCTCTTACTTTGTTTCTCTCTTTGTGAAATGGGGATAGCTAGCACTTGATGGGGTTGTTACAAAGATTAAATTTGATGATGTATTTAAGCATTTAGCACAGTGCCCGATACAGGGTGTGTGCTCAATGTATGTCGATAATTATTGTTATTATTTAAAATGTCACCTAGTCCCTAGATTTTGATAGTTCTCTGGCAGCTCTCACATATGATCTGCAGCCAGGACCCCTCTTCTGACTCCAGATCATTTGGTGGGGACTCCATGAAGTGGGGCATCTACTCTGGAAGTCTGGTTTTGAAGTTGGTGTGGAAAGTAGCTGCTGTATGATTCGGAGGCCCATTTTATATCCAGCCACTTCCTGGACATCTAATCCCCTGCGTGAGCCAAAGGCACCAAGGGCTTCTCTGCACCCAAAATGGACCTTCATCTCCCCGCAAATCAGCACTGCCCTCCTGACATGCTCATTGCTGCCTGACACTCCCTCAGCTTACAGCGCGGCATCCTTTTCCTCCCTCGCTCCCTCCCTCTTTCCTTCCTTCCTTTCCTCTCAAAAAGCCAATCTGGTAAACATTTGTAAGAGTCAAGGGAACCTGTTAAAAGCACTAATGCAATAATCTGGAGAGAAAAAGTTGAGGCCAGAATAGGAGCAGCGATCATGGGGTGAGGAAGTGGGGCAGGAACAAGAAGGCTGTTTTGGAGTAGAATGGATAGATCTGAGGCGGCCTGCGCAGACAGACCTAGTTCAACACATGGCTGTATCTCCTTCTAGTTGTGTGTCCTTAGGCAAGTTATTCGGTGTCTCTGAGTCTCAGTGTTTTCATAATGCAGGGTAATGTGCCCTGACAGAAAGGTGGCTGTGAGAATTAGAGGTCATGCTATGAAGCGTGTGGCGGGGAGCAGGTGCTTCAGTGCCAGTGCCATTTTTTTTTTTTAATAAGAGAGTGGTGAATGAGGGCAGGGGCAGAGAGCAGGATGATGCCCAGGTAGTCTCCCTGACCTGGGTTTCGGCCCCTTCTGTCTACCCCCACACTGCATGGGAAGAGTGCACCCCCAAACCATGTCTGGCCATGTCACTTCCTCATCTACCATCTTTTGGGACACCCTCATGCCTTTATTGCTTAATCCTTGTGCCCCAAGCTACCCAGGGGCCTGAACTCTGTCCTCCCTGGGCCCTGGCCACTATGGTCATCTGTTGAACTTGGTGTCCCTCAAGCCCAGAGGGTCCCCAGCTTGAAACAAAGATGCAGAAGTGGACTGGATAGGCTGTGTGCCCATGCCTTACCCTGAGTCTCCTGGCAGTGCCCCCCGTGCCCCTGGCTGCACCTCGGCTCCTGACCAAGCAGAGCCGCCAGCTTGTGGTCTCCCCGCTGGTCTCGTTCTCTGGGGATGGACCCATCTCCACTGTCCGCCTGCACTACCGGCCCCAGGACAGTACCATGGACTGGTCGACCATTGTGGGTGAGTAGGGAGAGAGCTGGGGCAGGACAGAGGTGTTGGGTAATAGTGAAGGGATACAGTGAGCAGGAGAGGGAGGGCAAATGGTGCGAGGGGGCTGAAGGGAGCATGGCAGCTTCTAGAAGAGGTGGGGGCTGAATAATGTGTGCTTTACACCCCACGCCCAGTGGACCCCAGTGAGAACGTGACGTTAATGAACCTGAGGCCAAAGACAGGATACAGTGTTCGTGTGCAGCTGAGCCGGCCAGGGGAAGGAGGAGAGGGGGCCTGGGGGCCTCCCACCCTCATGACCACAGACTGTCCTGGTGAGAGGCCAAGAGTCATCCCTTCCTGTCCCCCCAAGGGTTACTTTCCCGTCGACCCCAGGGACCCCTGCCTTTCCCACTGGAGGTTGTTCTTCCTTGTTCACTGGGGATCATTGTCCTGTCCAGCCCCAAGTACCTACTGGACAGTTCTGACCCCTGACCTCTGGCCCCAGAGCCTTTGTTGCAGCCGTGGTTGGAGGGCTGGCATGTGGAAGGCACTGACCGGCTGCGAGTGAGCTGGTCCTTGCCCTTGGTGCCCGGGCCACTGGTGGGCGACGGTTTCCTGCTGCGCCTGTGGGACGGGACACGGGGGCAGGAGCGGCGGGAGAACGTCTCATCCCCCCAGGCCCGCACTGCCCTCCTGACGGGACTCACGCCTGGCACCCACTACCAGCTGGATGTGCAGCTCTACCACTGCACCCTCCTGGGCCCGGCCTCGCCCCCTGCACACGTGCTTCTGCCCCCCAGTGGTATGTGCAAGGCGCAAGGATAGCTGGGGGTTGGGGGAGGACGTGGGACACAGGGACACATGAGACCTAGGAGACACGGGAGGCTGTAGGAGATTAATGGACATGGAGAGGACACAGGACACACATAGGGTATTAGGCAGACGTGACCCCAGCGGGGACATGGGACTTGGGGAAGATCCAGGGTACCAGGAGGACACAGATCACCAGGAGCATGTGGGGAGAGCATGGGGAGGTCAGGGTTCATGGCGAGAACCAGGGTCATGGGAGGGCATGAGACTTGCGGAACACAGGGCATGGGCGGATGTGGAGAGGACTTGGGATACAAGAAGTACAAGGAGAAGCAGAAGCTTGAGGGTGAAAGTGGCCTGGGGGAATGGAGAGGAATTCAGTCTGGTGGGGAGGAGGAAGTTGGCAGGGTGGCCCCTGTGCTTGGACCCACAGAGGAGGGAGCACAGCTAGAGCAGATGTGTCCAGCCCCACAGCTACATAGCCCGGTCCTATCTGAGCCTTGCCTTCCCCCACCATCTCCCCAGGGCCTCCAGCCCCCCGACACCTCCACGCCCAGGCCCTCTCAGACTCCGAGATCCAGCTGACATGGAAGCACCCGGAGGCTCTGCCTGGGCCAATATCCAAGTACGTTGTGGAGGTGCAGGTGGCTGGGGGTGCAGGAGACCCACTGTGGATAGACGTGGACAGGCCTGAGGAGACAAGCACCATCATCCGTGGCCTCAACGCCAGCACGCGCTACCTCTTCCGCATGCGGGCCAGCATTCAGGGGCTCGGGGACTGGAGCAACACAGTAGAAGAGTCCACCCTGGGCAACGGTGAGAGGGCAGGGCCCACAGGACCCCCCGGGCTCTGAGCGGGGAGAGCTCAGCACGCTCTCCTTCCACATCACCCCCTACTGTGGAGCTAGGGCATCCCAGGCCCCTCCTGACAAAGAGTCAGCCCCAGTCCTGGGGACTCAGCCTTCCATTCTCATGATCCACTGTCCCAGGGCTGGGAAAATCATGTCGCCCCTCTGACACCCCTCATCCCTTCCTTCATGTGGCCCAAGTGATTTCCTGACAGTCCTGGCACTGGGATCTTTCACCTCTCCCTCTGTGTAACCCCATGGTGGCCTCTGGGTTCCCTGACCCAGGTGTCCCCACAATCTGCCCCTCTCACTGTGTCCAGGGCTGCAGGCTGAGGGCCCAGTCCAAGAGAGCCGGGCAGCTGAAGAGGGCCTGGATCAGCAGCTGATCCTGGCGGTGGTGGGCTCCGTGTCTGCCACCTGCCTCACCATCCTGGCTGCCCTTTTAACCCTGGTGTGCATCCGCAGAAGCTGCCTGCATCGGAGACGCACCTTCACCTACCAGTCAGGCTCGGTCAGTGACCCGCCCCGCCCCTGGGTGCATGCTTGCAGCCCGTGTTTATGTTTCTACCTGTGTACACACAATACCTTGTACACCTTGTGTGTGTGTGTGTGTGTGTGTTTATGTTGCAGGTATAAGATTACACTCAACAATGTTCAAGGGTACAAAATATAATTTTCTTTATTTCTCTAAAACTGAATTCAGCTCATGAGCCCATTTATATTAGTGGTGAAATATTTAATATTCCCATTTCAAAAGAATTCCGTGATGACCATATTTCACAATGGACATTCCAGTTTTGGGCTCCGTCAATTGGAGATTTTCCTCTCCCCTCTTTTATTTCTCCCTAGCGGTTATCTAGGCCTAGATAGCAAGGTGATCAAATGGAAGGGCACTTGGGGTTCATGCTGGCTTTTGTCCTTGCAGGCCTTCCTGGGCTCGGGAGCCAGCCTCTGTCTGCACACATCTTTGGCTGATGTTCTTAGCCCTGCTGTGGCCACCTGCCAGTAGGCCAGTCATGCTGTGAGCTCCTCATCCTAACCTTCATTCTTGCAAATCCCAGGGCCTCCTTTTGGAGACTTAAGAAAGGGGCTGGGCACAGTGACTTGCACCTGTAATCCTAGCATTTTGGGAGGCTGAGGCGGGTGGATCGCCTGAGGTCAGGAGTTTGAGACCAGCCTGGCCAACATGGTGAAACCTTGTCTCTACTAAAAATACAAAAATTAGCCAGGCGTGGTGGTGCATGCCTGTAATCCCAGCTACTCGGGAGGCTGAGGCAGGAGAATTGCTTAAACCCGGGAGGCGGAGGTTGCAGTGAGCCGAGATGTTGCCACTGCACTCCAGCCTGGGCAATAGAGCAAGACCCTGTCTCAAAAAATTAAAAAAGAAAAAGAAACAGAACTAAAGAACTGTAGGGGCTTCCTTATACCTTATGGAAGGAGGCATATTCTGTGGCCCTCAGACCGCTGCCACAACCCCTTCCCACTTAGACAACTGTTTCTACCACTCCAGAATTGTGCTGGCCTGCTCCTTGAAAGAGGAAGCACAAACCTCCACTCCTCCTGGCTTCCCTGTAATCCTGCCCGAGTTGTCTGTCCTCCTGTAGCCCACACCCTTCTGTCCCTCAGGCCCCTGCTTAGAGGTGGGGTGTGGGAGGGCACCCACTGTCACTTTATCCTGTCACATTCTAGCCGCCCATCCGCAGGTCCTGTCTCCTCTGAGGGCTTCTTCATTGTCGTCACTTAGGATCTGAACTCTGTCCTTGGCCTTCCAGGCCTGGACTCTTGATATTTAGAGCTAAGCTTTGGCATTTCAAATAAAAAATAAAAAAAGAAAGAAAACCCTCTTCTCTCTCAAGGGCTGATCCTTGTGATAGAAAGCCTAGTGTCTCTGCTATGCCTTTGAAAAATCCATTCAGAGGCCGGGCGTGGTGGCTCATGCCTGTAATCCCAGCACTTTGGGAGGCTGAGGCGGGTGGATCATGAGGTCAGGAGTTCAAGACCAGCCTGCCCAGTTGGTGAAACCCCATCTCTACTAAAGCTACAAAAATTAGCCAGGCACAGTGGCAGGAGCCTGTAATCCCAGCTACTAGGGAGGCTGAGGCAGGAGAACTGCTTGAACCCGGATGGCAGAGGTTGCAGTGAGCCAATATCACGCCACTGCACTCCAGCCTGGATGACAGAGTGAGTGAGACTCCATCTCAAAAAAAAAAATCCATTCAGAGATTCAATTGGCTTCTTTGTTCCAAGCTGTGTTGGCTCTTCCTCTGAGGTCAGTGCACACAGAAAGCCCTCACTGCTGTGGTGGGGGAGGGTAATGGGTACAGATGTCGAGGGCAGGAGGTGGGAAAGCAGTCCTTAACATACATGGTGTCATACTCTATATCAAGATATATCCCCCTAGCCTGGGCAACATGGCAAAACCCCATCTCTACAATAAAAGAAAATATGAAAATTAGATGGGCGTGGAGGTGTGCACCTGTGGTCCCAACTACTCGGGAGGCTGAGGTGGGAGGATTGCCTGTGCCCAAAAGCTCGAGGTAACAATGAGCTGAGATCGTGCCATTGCCCTTCCGCCTGGGCAACAGAGCGAGACCTTGTCTCAAAACAAACAAAAAGATATATCCCTGGTACATGTGCCTGCATATGGATAGGAAACGTGTGTGCACAAATGTGTGTGCTCCATGTATGAGTGCACACGTGCATCCCCTGTGAGTGCCACATGTTTAAATGCGTGTGTCCCAGATGCACGTGTCCCTATGCCTGTGCACCTTCAGGCCTGCATGTGTGTATGGACCTATACATGATGCACCTACATATGGTGCTGCCCAAGAACATCACGTGCATTTGCTATGTGCCGTCAGCACCAGTGCTTCTTGCAAATCCCTGGGCCCCAGGTCCTCAGCCCTTGCCCATCAAGCTGGACTTCAGTGCACTTAGGAAGCCCCACCAGAAGGTCTGTCTTAACCCTGCTTCCAGTTCTCATATTGGCAGTTTCTTTGGTCCTGTTCACTTATTTCCTTTTCCCACCATCAGCCCCACCCAGATGGCCTCCTCCTACTGAGTTAGGAAATTGGACATTCCTCTTTGTTATAGTCTTGCTATTTTCAGGTCCTGGCCTGATTTTAGAGCTATGGAGAAAAGCCAAGTGTGTGGACAGGGTAATCTCTGCTTCTGCTACTGTGGAGAAAACCCCTCCACTGGCTCCCAGCAGCTCAGGGCTGAGCATGTAGTAGGTGCTCAATAAATGTCCCCTGGCCTACTCCCTAAGGCTGGAATCTTCTCCAGAGCTTCCCTGGTGACCCCCAACAACAACAACAACAAAAAGCCTGGTTGTAGGATTAGCACAGTCATAGGAAGCTCATTCCGATCCTTTTCTGTTTTAAATGTTAGAAATATCCTCCTTCCATTGACTCACATTGTGGCTTCTAGCAACTTTACCCACAAGCCCTGGTTCTGCCTTCCAGAGTCCCGTACACTAGATCCCCTGGCTGCAGCCTCTGCATTTCTCTCCTTGGACATCTGTCCACCCAGCAGCCTACCTGTGGCTCTGTTACCTATGATTCTGTCTCAGTTATGTCCTCTGTCTGCCTGTCTGTCCCTGGCTGACCACCAGGGTGCCCTCCATCTGGGTCTCTGCCCACTTGTCTGACACTGAAACCTCCTCGTGTGCCTGTCTGTGCCTCCTTCCGCCCCCTTTGACTCTTGCGTGGACCGTCTGCCCTCTTGTCTCATCCTGTGAAGGGCGAGGAGACCATCCTGCAGTTCAGCTCAGGGACCTTGACACTTACCCGGCGGCCAAAACTGCAGCCCGAGCCCCTGAGCTACCCAGTGCTAGAGTGGGAGGACATCACCTTTGAGGACCTCATCGGGGAGGGGAACTTCGGCCAGGTCATCCGGGCCATGATCAAGAAGGACGGGCTGAAGATGAACGCAGCCATCAAAATGCTGAAAGGTCCACTGGGGCGACCCCTGGCCCAGCCCTGATGCTCTCCTTTGTCCCACAAATCCCAGGCCCCACCTGGCTTCCTCCAGCAATTGACCCCAGCCCTTGCCAGCCCTTTCTCCAGAGTTATTTCTGGCAAAATAATATTGGATTCTTTACACAGAGTATGCCTCTGAAAATGACCATCGTGACTTTGCGGGAGAACTGGAAGTTCTGTGCAAATTGGGGCATCACCCCAACATCATCAACCTCCTGGGGGCCTGTAAGAACCGAGGTGAGCCCCCAGCTCATCACCTACCCCTTCTTCCAAACCCCCATCCTCAGCCATCACCTCCACCACATGAGTAGCTTGCCAGGGGCTGCTGGTGACCTGTGCACCACCCTTGATCCTCCTTCATCCCTGTCTGTTACCATCGGGTGCCTGCTCCCACCCTAGGTTGCCTGTGTCTAAATCACCACTGTCTGTCTCTTTGCCTCTCAGGTTACTTGTATATCGCTATTGAATATGCCCCCTACGGGAACCTGCTAGATTTTCTGCGGAAAAGCCGGGTCCTAGAGACTGACCCAGCTTTTGCTCGAGAGCATGGGACAGCCTCTACCCTTAGCTCCCGGCAGCTGCTGCGTTTCGCCAGTGATGCGGCCAATGGCATGCAGTACCTGAGTGAGAAGCAGGTGTGTGTGAGTGGGGGCGGGTGGAGGCCAGAGGGGGAAGCCACTGGGCTGGTGTCAGTGGAAGAAGTCAGCCGGCCCTGATTGTATCTGGGGATTGAGGTTCCTGGCCCAAGTGTGTGGGTGGGTGCAAGCACAGCGAGGAGGCAGGGCCAAGGGGCAGGTCTGGAGGAGGTGGGGACTTCCAGTATGGAGGGTGCGGGTGTTGAGTGAGCAGGTCTAGATGCTAGCCTGGAACTCAGGAGAGAGGCCCAGGCTGGAGACAGCATCTGTGTGTGAGCTGTCACCCCACAGATGGTGCCTAATGGCAATGGGCCTGGTGCGATCTGCCGGAGAGGGGGAAGGGCAGAGATCCAAGCCCAAGTCAACTCAGGCCTGAATGAGAGGACAGGGGGATGACTGTCCAGGGGAGTGTGAGTCTGAGGGAAGGCATTTTATCTTTTTTTTTTTTTGAGACTGAGTCTCACTTTTTTGCCCAGGCTGGAGTGCAGTGGTGCGATTTCAGCTCACTACAACCTCTGCCTCCTGGGTTCAAGCAATTCTCCTGCCTCAGCCTCCTGAGTAGCTGGGATTACAGGCATGTACCACCACACCCAGCTAATTTTTGTATTTTTAGTAGAGACGAGGTTTCACCATGCTGGCCAGGCTGGTCTCGAACTCCTGTCCTCGAGTGATCCACCCGCCTCAGCCTCCCAAAGTGCTGGGATTACAGGCATGAGCCACTGCACCTGGCCAGCATTTTAAAGATAGTAAAGTTTTGAGTATGTTTGAAAGCAGAGGGGCAGGGGAAGGGGCCAGTGCAGAGGGAGGGGCTGGTGGAGAGAGGTCTCTGGGGAAGCTGGAGGGCTAAGGGAGAGAAACTGGAACCCAGGGGATGGGAAGAGGGAGGGGGAGAAGCATGGAAAGAGGAGAAGGTGCAGTATGGCCACCACTGTCTCAGGAAAAGGGATCCAGCCTGAACTTGGTCAGGGCCCAGGAACGAGCGGGTGAGAGCCAACACTGATCTTTCTCAGATATGAGTCAGCTGACGAGATTGCAGCCAGGAGGGTAGGAGTATGGGGTATTGAAGGTAACAAGGGTACCCACGAAGACTGACTCCTTACTGGCCTGACTGTCCTGGGCTCCCTCATCCCCAGTCTCTCCTGACTTCTGACCCTGCCTACAGTTCATCCACAGGGACCTGGCTGCCCGGAATGTGCTGGTCGGAGAGAACCTAGCCTCCAAGATTGCAGACTTCGGCCTTTCTCGGGGAGAGGAGGTTTATGTGAAGAAGACGATGGTGAGTCTCATTCAACCCTCACCCTTAGGGCTTGTGCCTGGCCCTGCCCCACAGGAGCCTCAAACAGGCCCTTCCTCCACACTCAGCCCCTCAAACCCATTCTCTCCTAGGGGCGTCTCCCTGTGCGCTGGATGGCCATTGAGTCCCTGAACTACAGTGTCTATACCACCAAGAGTGATGTGTGAGTGTGAGATGAGAGGGCACAGGAGGGCTTGGCCCCCAAGAATCACCCAGGCCTGACCTAGACATATCTCAGAAATGTCATAGGTGGTCTAAGGCATGACCTGGGCTGTGTTCCAGGTGTGACACAGGTGTGTCTTGGGTATAAAGTACCTAGCCAAGGTGGGGCTTGCTGGAAGGAGTCTTGGAAGGTGTTTCAGGAATAGGACTGGGGTAAAGGTAGTTTCGGATTATGTTTGTGTAAGTGACGGGGGATGCCTTGGAGAGGTTTGGGAATGCTGGCGGATGCTTCCTGAGGTAGATGGAGAGGCCACTCAGGAATTGCTCTCATCTTCCTCCCTGAAGGGCAAGGTCATGCCCACCTGAGGATCTTACCAGAGCATGACCCCCAAGACTCCCTCTCTGTGCCCCCTCCCCTGCAGACAGCCCTCTTGGCACACTCCTCCTGTCTCTCCAGGGATGTCCATCTTGATCTGAACCTACCCCTTGCCCCAAGCCCTTTGGCCTTGCCTGCATGGCTCACTGCTTACCACACTGATCACTCCTCTGACCACTACATGCCTACTTCGTGCTTCTGCCCCAACACTCCCTTGATTCCCTCCACCCCCTTTGAACTCTCTCCCCTGGTCTCAGGGCTGATGCACACTACACAGAGGCTGTTAAAGTGTGAGATGCAGTCAAGAGTAAGAGCTTTGGAGCCTGAGTTGGAACGCTTGCTCTGCCACTAACTAGCTGTATGGCCTTGGGCAATCTAGCTAACCTCTCAGTGCCTCAGTGTCTTCATCTGTAAAATGGCAAGACTAATAGAACCTGTATCATAGGGTTGGTGTGAGGGTTAAATGAATTAACATGTCTGTTAAATGACCAGGGCCTGGACCACGGTAAGTGCTCAATAAAAATGTTAGCTCGGCTGGCTGTGGTGGCCCACATGTGTAATCCCAGCACTTTGGGAGGCCAGGCAGGCAAATCACTGGAGACCAGGAGTTTGAGACCAGCCTGGGCAAGATGGCAAGACCCTGTCTCTACTAAAAATACAAAACATGGCCGGGCGTGGTGGCTCACGCCTGTAATCCCAGCACTTTGGGAGGCCAAGGCGGGCAGATCACAAGGTCAGGAGATCGAGACCATCCTGGCTGACACAGTGAAACCCCATCTCTACTAAAAATACAAAAAGAAATTAGCCGGGCATGGTGGCGGGCACCTGTAGTCCCAGCTACTTGGGAGGCTGAGGCAGGAGAATGGCGTGAACCCAGGAGGCAGAGCTTGCAGTGAGCCGAGATCTCGCCACTGCACTCCAGCCTGGGCGACAGAGCGAGACTCTGTCTCAAAAAATAAATAAATAAATAAATAAATAAATAAATAAAAATACAAAACATTAGCTGAGCATGGTGGCACACACCAGCTACAAGGGAGACTGAGGTGGGAGGACCACCTGATCCTGGGAGGTTGAGGCTGCAGTAAGCCACTGCACTCCAGCCTGGGTGACAGAGTGAGACCCTGTCTCAAAAAAAAAAAAAAAAAAAAAACAAAACAAAAGAGCTCTAATTGTGCTGAGCCCAGGGATGGGGGCAGTATGAAGGAGCTTCATTGGCGCAGAGACAACAGCTGGCCAAGGCCAGATACTTACAGAGTAGACACATACAGCGGGGCTGGGAGGCACTGCACATCTTGGGCAGGTAGAAGCTAAACTGCTAGGGACCAGGGCCTAGAAGGTAACTAAGTGCATCCTTCTTATTTCAGCTGGTCCTTTGGAGTCCTTCTTTGGGAGATAGTGAGCCTTGGTGAGTTCCTGATCCCCGTCCCCCAGAGTGCCCCACCTTACCCCACGTGGAGCCCTGGACCGAGAGCACTTTGTCCCCTCCTGCAGGAGGTACACCCTACTGTGGCATGACCTGTGCCGAGCTCTATGAAAAGCTGCCCCAGGGCTACCGCATGGAGCAGCCTCGAAACTGTGACGATGAAGTGTGAGTCACCCCATCCTTGAGCTCCATGATCCTATCTCTGTGATGAGTGACCTCAGCTTTGATCCCTGTGACCCCATCACCCCAGCTGGCCTGACTCCTCATCTCAGCAATGCCCCCTCGCAGGTACGAGCTGATGCGTCAGTGCTGGCGGGACCGTCCCTATGAGCGACCCCCCTTTGCCCAGATTGCGCTACAGCTAGGCCGCATGCTGGAAGCCAGGAAGGTGAGGAGACTGGGGCTGAGGTGGCGGGCTGGGCTCACAGAGTGCTCCAGAGTGCCCTCTCAGAGGTGCCATGACCCCTGTCCCAACCACACTGCCTGCCCAACCTCCCTCAGTGGGGGCTGTCACCACGGCTAGGCTGGGCCCCAGGATGCAGCCTGCCTTTCCAGCCCTCACTGGTTTAGACACCAGGCCCTTCCAAAACTCTTCCAAGGCCACTGCTTAGCCCCAACAGCAAATCCCTACCTTAAGCCCCAAGTCCCAGACTGCTTGCCTGTCCTCTGCTGAGGCCATCAGCCTGTCCTCATCTGGGACACCTCTCCCCACCTGCCAGAGCCAGAGCAGAGTGCATGAATAGTCACTAACCAGATGGATGGATGGGTGAATGAGTGATACAGTAACCGTATGAATGAATGAATGGAATTAGTGGATAGATGATACAATAATCATATGAACATGTAATTCAATAACTCAATCTACTAACCATGTGAATAAGTGAATTATCAAATAAATATAATGAAAAATATATCAAAATTAGTAAATATGAAGAGTTCTTCAAGTAAATTAATGATTAAATAACCATCTTAAGAATGAAGGAATGATCAAATAACCATATAAATGGATGAGTCGTCTAAAATGGCTTTTGAACAGATAAGTTACTGAATGAATGAACGCATAAGCCAAGAATTCATTGAAAGAGTGCATGTAAAAACCCTCCTCTAACAATGGCATTGAGAGCCTCTCACCTGAGGCCCCAACTGTGGCCTGATGCCTTCACTGCCCTGGGCTGGTAAAGGCCACTCTTGGCCATGGGGCCATCTTAGGTCTCCAGAACAAATCAGTGTCAGTTCAAATGCCCCCACCACATGGAAGTCCAGGAGCTTGAGGCCAGATGCACCCCCATTCCTGGCCCCCACTAAAGCTTGCTCTGCCCCCAGGCCTATGTGAACATGTCGCTGTTTGAGAACTTCACTTACGCGGGCATTGATGCCACAGCTGAGGAGGCCTGAGCTGCCATCCAGCCAGAACGTGGCTCTGCTGGCCGGAGCAAACTCTGCTGTCTAACCTGTGACCAGTCTGACCCTTACAGCCTCTGACTTAAGCTGCCTCAAGGAATTTTTTTAACTTAAGGGAGAAAAAAAGGGATCTGGGGATGGGGTGGGCTTAGGGGAACTGGGTTCCCATGCTTTGTAGGTGTCTCATAGCTATCCTGGGCATCCTTCTTTCTAGTTCAGCTGCCCCACAGGTGTGTTTCCCATCCCACTGCTCCCCCAACACAAACCCCCACTCCAGCTCCTTCGCTTAAGCCAGCACTCACACCACTAACATGCCCTGTTCAGCTACTCCCACTCCCGGCCTGTCATTCAGAAAAAAATAAATGTTCTAATAAGCTCCATTCAATGTCTACCTTTTACTGCTGGTCAATCTTGGGGTGAGGGGCGTAGTTAAACCCAAGAGACAGAAACTGGCCGGGCGTGGTGGCTCACTCCTGTAATCCCAGCACTTTGGGAGGCCGAGGCGGGTGGATCACGAGGTCAGGAGCTTGAGACCATCCTGGCGAACATGGTGAAACCCCGTCTCTACTAAAAATGCAAAAAATTAGCTGGAAGTGGTGGCGGGCACCTGTAGTCCCAGCTACTCGGGAGGCTGAGGCAGGAGAATGGCCTGAACCTGGGAGGCGGAGCTTGCAGTGAGCCAAGATCGCACCACTGCACTCCAGCCTGGGCGACAGAGCGAGACTCCGTCTCAAAAAAAAAGAGACAGAAACTGGGCTTTCTAGGAAAAGAAACACTGTCTGAGGCCTCAGCCCTCTGTTGAGGTTGCCTGTCCAGGATAGGAGGTGCTCTGGAAGACTCATTTTACACAAACACCACCAGCCCCTACCTCTGTCCTGATTAGAAGGCCAGTTTTCCCCTGTTCCCTTCCCTGCTCTCCAGCTTCCATCACTAACGTGTCTCCCTGTGTATCTCTAGGTAGCAGCCAGCCTAGGATTCTTTGTTCTGTCCAAATAGTCCATGCCAGGATCATCTATAGCCAGCCTCAACTCTGCCTGGCATCTCAGCGCCAGACGGATCCTGGCCTGTCTAGAGTTTCCTTAGGTGCCTTCTTCTTTACCTTATGCCTCCAGGCAGCCTTCCCTGGCTTGGTAGCCACTTCACTGCCCAATGTATGAGCCCAAAAGGAGGAGGGCAGAGGCCACTCCCAACTTCAGCCAGCCAAGGTAGGATTCCTTTGCCATCTTCAGGGCCTCATAGTGCTGTGAGAGGTGCTTCTCTCCTGGTCCTGAAAGTGAGTCCCACACTACTCCATGCTGTGCAGCCTCTGGACTTGCCTACTGTTTGGATTGCTCATGGCTGGCCTTAGATTTCTCTCCTATTGGTCCTTAAGAAACAAGATTGATTGTGTTTTACACATTTTTTCAGTGAATCAGAAGACATCAAAGAAGGCATAACATGGTGTGGCACTGTGATGAAGAGCACAGGTTCTAGGATCACACCAACCTGTGTTCAAGTCCCTGCTATGTCACTTATCATCTGTGTGGCCTTGGTCAAGTCTCTGAGCTTCAGTTTTCTCATCTAATTAATGGAGTTAGTAACAGCTACCTCGTTGTTTGTGTTAAATGAGACCACACAGGCCCATCTTTCACAGCACTGGGCCTGGGCCATAGTAAGTACACAGTGTCAGCTGATATCATTATATACAAATGCAGGAAGCTGCAGGGAGGTAATGATTAGGATCTGTATTCTGAAAATACTTGGATGGTTGGAGGAGGATGAATTTAAATGGGAGGCTACGTAGGATGAGGGAGATGGGAACTGCTAGAATAAAACTTCATTTCAGATCCACATTCACTGCAGGGATTTTGCCAGGTCCAGGCTGTGGAGATTAAACCATTGTCTTTGATGGAGACCAATATGTAAACAAGGATGCCTCTGTGAAGTGACAGCTATGTTAACAAGCAACAAAATACAGCGGTGTATGCTCTAAGAGAGCGGGGGAAGCTGGGGAAGGCTTAAACAGGAACTGGAGTCAGAACAGTTTCCCAGAGAAAGTGATGTTTTAATCTGGACCATGAAGAGGAAGCAGGGTTTCACCAAAGGAAGAGACCCTGGCACAGGAAACAACACCTGTGATATGTGGCATGTTCAGGAGCTGCAAATAGTTCTCTGTGGCTGGAGCAAAGGGAAAACAGGGTAATGAACCCAGAGAGGTGACGGATGCCAGGCTATGCTGAGCCTTATAGGATATGAATCTTTATCCTAAGAGCAGAGGAGCCACAGAAGAGCTATAAGCAGGGGTGAGTCATAATGAGATTTGCATTTTTTTAAAGTCACTCTGGCTACCCTGTGGAGAACAGATTATATAGGAAAAACAGTAAAGGTGAGGAGCATGGCTATAAATTAGAAACCTTAGATGAGATGAATAAATTCCTAAAAATACACAAACTACTGAAACTGACTCCAGAAGGAATTCACCAATCTAAATAGACTTAAACAAAAAAAGAGATTGAATTAGTAATAATAATTAAAAAAAAAAAACACCCACAAAGAAAAAGCCCAGGCCCAAATGCTTCAATGGTGAATTTTACCAAACATTTAAAGAATAAATACAAAAACTCTATACAAACTTTTCCAAACAATAAAAAACGAGAGAAGGCTTCCCAATTTATTCTGTGAGGCCAGTATTACCCTGATACCCAGAACAGACAAAGATTGCACAAGAAAAGAAAACTACAGACCAATATCTCTTATGAATATGGATGCAAAAATTCTCAACAAAACACTAGTAGGAAGAATCCAGAAACATAAAAAAAAGATTATACATCATAATAAAGTGGAATTTATCCCAAGAATGCAAGGTTGGTTTAACATCTGAAAATCCATACACTATATCAATAGACTAAAAAACAAAAACTACATGATCATTTCAGCAGACACAGAAAAAGCATCTGACAAAATATAACACCCTTTGTGATTTAAAAAAAAAAAGCTTTAACAAACTGCAAATGGAATCTTTGTTAATCTGATAAAAGATGTTTACCAAAAAAAATACAGTTAGCATCATATTTAATAGTAAAAGACTGAATGCTTTCTCCCTAACATCAGGAATAAGACAAGGATACGTGCTCTCCTCACTTTTATTCAACATCATACTGGAGGTCCTAGCCAGAACAGTTGAGCAAGAAAAAGAAAGAAACAACATCCAGACTGGAAAGGAAGAAATAAAACTCTATTTGCAGATAACATGATAGTATATATAGAAAATCCTAAGGAATCCACTAAAAAACTAATAAATGAGTTCAGAACAGTTGCAAGATACAAGATCAAAATGAAAAAAGCAATTTTCTTCTATATACTTGTAATAATCTAAAAATGAAAATAAAACAATTCCATTTATGATTGCCTTAAAGAGAATAAATAAAATTATCAAAGACTTATACTCTGAAAACTATAAAACATCATTGAAAGAAATTAAAAATCTAAATAAACAGAAAATGAAGCATCTCATGTCCATGAATTGGAAGGCTTAATATTGGTAAGATGATAATACTTCCCAAATTGGTCTATAGATTCAATGCAGTCCCTATCAGAATCTCAGCTGGCTTCTTTGTAGAAATTGGCAAACATTGACCGGGCACGGTGGCTCATGCCTGTAATTCCAGCACTTTGGGAGGCCGAGGTAGGTGGATCACGAGGTCAAGAGATCAAGACCATCCTGGCCAACATGGTGAAACTCCATCTCTACTAAAATTACAAAAATTAGCTGGGCGTGGTGACAGGTGCCTGTGGTCCCAGCTACTTAGGAGACTGAGGCAGGGGGGTGGCTTGAACCTGGGAGGCGGAGGTTGCAGTGAGCCTAGGTTGTGCCACTGCACGCCAGCCTGGCGACAGAGTGAGACTCTGTCTCAAAAAAAAAAAAAAAAAAAAAAAAAGAAATTGGCAAACTTTTTTTTTTTTTTGAGACGGAGTCTCGCTCTGTTGCCCAGGCTGGAGTGTAGTGGCATGATCTCAGCTCACTGCAAGCTCCGCCTCCCGGGTTCACGCCATTTTCCTGCCACAGCCTCCCAAGTAGCTGGGACTACAGGCACCTGCCACCACGCTGGCTAATTTTTTGTATTTTTTTTAGTAGAGATGGGGTTTCACCATGTTAGCCAGGATGGTCTCGAGCTCCTGACCTCGTGATCCACCTGCCTCGGCCGGGATTACAGGTGTGAGCCATCGCGCCCAGCCGAAATTGGCAAACATTTTTAATTCATATGGCATTGCAAGAGACCCAGCCAAAATAGCCAAAACAATCTTGAAACAGAGGAATGAAGTTGGAGGACTCACATTGCCAGATTTCAAAAGTTACTACAAAGCAACAAAAATCAAGACGGTGTGGTACTGGCATAAGGAGAGACATATGAGATCAATCAAACAGAACTGAGAATCCAGTATGGTCAACTGATTTTCAACAGAGGCGCCAAGGCCATTTAATGGGGAAAGAATAGTCTTCAACAAATGGTGCTGGGACAATTGGATAGCCACATGCAAAAGAATGAATTTGGACTCCTACCCAAACACCACATACAAAAATTAACTCAAAGTGGGTCAAATACCTAAATATTAGAACCAAAATTATAAAGCCCTTAAAGAAAGCATAGAAGTAAATCATAATTACCTCAGATTTGGCAGTGGATTTTTAGATATGACAGCAAAGATATGGGTAACAAAATCAAAAATACATAAGTTAGAATTCATCAAAATTGAAAACTTTTGTGCATCAAAGGACACTATCAGGAAGGTGAAAACCACAGAATAGAAGAAAACACTTGCAAGTCACATATCCTGTAAGAGACTTGTATCTAGAATATATTAATACAAAGAAGTCTTATAACTCAATAGTAAAGTGACAGATAACCCAGTATCTTTTAATGGACAAAGGCTCTGAATAGACATTTCTCCAAAGAAGATAAACAAATGGCCAATAAGCACATGAAAAGATGTTCAACAGGATGAGTCATCAGGAAATGCAAATCAAAACCAGTGTGAGATACTACTTCATACACACTAAGATGGCTATAATCAAAAACATAACAAGTGTTGGCAAGGAAGAAAATGAACCATCATACACTGTTGGTGGGAATGTAGAATTGTGCAGCCTCTTTGGAAACCAGTCTGGCAGTTCCTTAAACATGTGGAAACTCTACACATAAAGTTCTCAGAAGACCCAGAAATTCCACTCTTAGGCATATATACCAAGAGAAATGAGAACGTATGTGCACACATATATGGATGTTTATAGCAATATTATTCATAATAGCCAAAAAGTAGAAACAACTCAAATGTCCATCATCTGATGAATGGATAAATGGTATGTGGTATATCCATACAGTGGAATATTATTCAGCCAAGAAAAGGGAATGAAGGCTGGGCATGATGGCTTGTTCCTGTAACCCCAGCACTTTAGGAGGCTGAGGCAGGCAGATCACTTATGCCCAGGAGGTCAAGACCAGCCTGAGCAACATGGCAAAACCCTGTCTCTACAAAAAATACAAAAATTTGCCAGGAGTTGTGGTGCATGCCTGTAGTCCCAGCTACTCGGGAAGCTCAGGTGAGTGGATCACCTGAGCCTGGGAGGTCAAGGCTGCAGTGAGCTGTGATCGTGCCACTGTACTCCAGCCTAGGCAATGGAGTGAGACCCAGTCTCAAAAAAACAAAGAGTTGGGGGTGGTGAATGAAATACTAATGCATGCTATATTGTAAATGAACATTGAAAATACCATGCTAAGTGAAAGAAGCCAGTCACAAAAGACAACATATGGTAGTCATATTCCATTTATATGAAATTTCCATACTAGGCAAATCTATAGAGGTAGAAAGTAGATTAGTGGTTGCTTAGGACTAGAAGGAAGTTGGGGAGATATGAGGATGAGTGTAAAAGGTACAGGATTTCTTTTTGAGGTGATAAAAATGATCTAAATTTGACTGTGGTTGCACATATCTGTGAATATACTAAAAACCACTGATTTGTACACTTTACATGGGTGAGTTGTATGGTGTGTGAATTATATTTCAATAAAGCTGGGTTGTTTTTTGTCTGTTTGTTCATTTGTTTTTTTGAGATGGAGTCTTGCTTTGTCACCCAGGCTGGAGTGAGTGCAGTGGCGTGATCTTGGCTCACTGCAAGCTCTGCCTCCTGGGTTCACACCATTCTGCCTCAGCCTCCCAAGTAGCTGGGACTTCAGGCGCCCACCACCACGCCCGGCTAATTTTTTATTTTTATTTTTTTTAGTAGAGACAGGGTTTCACCGTGTTAGCTAGGATGGTCTTGATCTCCTGACCTCGTGATCTGCCCACCTCGGCCTCCCAAAGTGCTGGGATTACAGGTATGAGCCACCGCGCCTGGCCAAGCCGGGTATTTTTTTTAAGTGAAGGCAAGGAGATCAGTGAAAGACCACTATATATAGTAGTGTGGGTGAAATGATGGTGTGGTGGTAGCAAACTGGAAGAAATAACTGAAGAAAGAATAGACAGGGGTTGAATACGGGACTGAAAGAAGAGTCTAGGATCACTGCCAAGCTTCTGTTCATATGATGGGTGGGTGGTGATACCAGTCACTAAAAGAATAAAAACAGCTAATATTTACATAGTACTTAATTACCCGGCACCATTCCAAGCATTTTGCATGTATTAATTCATTCAGTCTTCAACAATCCTATTAGTAGGTACCATTATTATTGTCATTTTACAGAGAACAGGACCAGAGAGGCTAGTAACTTGGCTAAAATCTGATAGCTAGTAAGAGGCAGAGCTGAATCTGTTGTTCTTGTTTTGAGACAGGATCTCGCTTGGTCTCCCAGGCTGGAGTGCAGTGATTCGATCATAGCTCACTGCAGCCTCAACCTCCTGGGCTCAAGCAATCCTCCTGTCTCAGCCTCCCAAGTAGATGGGACTACAGGCATGCACCACCATGCTCAGCTAATTTTTTTAATTTTTTTTGTAGAGAGAGGGTCTCCCTATGTTACCCAGGCTGGTCTCAAACTCCTGGGCTCAAGCGATCCTCCTGCCTTGAGCCTCTAAAAGTCCTGGGATTACAGGCATGAGCCACTGCACCTGGCCAAGAGCTGACATTTAAACCTGGATATTCTGGCTCCAGAGTCCCTCTCTTAGCCACAGTACTATGCCGCTTCTCTGGCAGTAGAAAGGGCCAGATTTGGGTATAGTACACTTCCAAATTCACCACAAATATATCAATCACACACCACATTCCAGGTTGTGGGCCCCAAAGATATCCTGCCCCAACAGAAGGTCTCCCCATTCCCACTGTAGCACTGAAGACCCAGAACCCCAATACAAGCAAGTCAGCAAACTGCAGGTCCAGAGCACAGTCCTAAATGCTCAGCCTCGTCTGCCTGCACCTGTTCCAGCCTCAGTTCTCACAGCTTCACTCAACAGCCATATTCTCACAGGAGATGGCCTGGGTTGGGTGGGGCTTGGAGCAAAAGACCAGCCCAGCAGCACAAACTTGTTTCCAGGGATAGAATGGAAAAGGCCAGAGGAAAAGCCTCATTAGGAGGCAGCTGGGAAAGGCGAACCCAGTGAGTACTTCATCCGAGGAACCTCCCTACAACCCGTCCTGGCCACAAAAACAGAACTCCCACCAGTTGGCCCTGAGTCATTCATTCCCCTCCCGCCCCCAGGGAAGGGGTGATTTCCTGCAGGCAGCTCAGGCTCCTCCCAGGGGCTGTGCATCCTCTTATCTCACCCAAGGCCCTCTCCTAGGGCAGGGCAGGCAAACCAGAAGCTGGCTGCAGTGGGGCTGTCCTTGTATTTCCTCAGCGGGCCTTGGATTCTGGGGTCAGGGAGAGACCCAGCAGCTTAAGGACCACTCAGGAGCCAGGATGTCTCATGAAGAGCAGAGGACAGAGGGCTGACCAAACTGGGTTCTCTGCAGCTCTCTCCCTTGGGGTTACTACTGGGCAACTACTGGTCCTGTTTCCATTTACTTGAGTTAAACCTCTCCAGATGCCTGTTTTGAACTCAGACTCATCCAGCTCAAGACTCACACCATGCCCTGTGCCAGGCTTATAATGTTAAATGAGTGAATAAAATGGAGGAAACAGCCATAACATGCTCCTAGTCAGAGGTATCTGTGCAGTAGTTAAAAGAACAGGCTTTAGAGTCAAACAGACCTGAATCCAAATCTCAGCTCCATCCTTTGATAGTGACTTTGAACTCACTGACTCCTTCTAAGCCTCAGCTTTCTCTTCTGTGAAGTAAGGACAAAGGCACCTAACAGGGTGGTTGTATGATGAAATGAGACAATGCATTCCCACAGTGCTGGCAAACAGCAAGTGCTCCTCACTGCTAGGTGGCAGGATCCTGGCAAGAGAGGGAGTTAGGGAGGAGGGGGCAGGCCCACTCCCACCCAGCGCCTACCCCAGGAGGAGGGCCTTAAGATGGCAGTCCCCGGGCTGGATGCGGTGGCTCATGCCTGTAATCCCAGCACTTTGGGAGGCCGAGGTGGGCGGATCACGAGGTCAAGAGTTCAAGATCAGCCTGGCCAACATAGTGAAACCTCGTCTCTACTAAAAATACAAAAATTAGCCAGGCGTGGTGGTGCCTGCCTGTCATCCCAGCTACTCTGGAGGCTGAGGCAGGAGAACTGCTTGAACCCAGGAGGCGGAGGTTGCGGTGAGCCAAGATTGCGCCATCGCACTCCAGCCTGGGCAACAGAGCAAGACTCCATCTCGGCGGGGAGAAAAAGAAAAATGACAGTCCCTACTTGGGGATTCAGTTCTTATGTAGCTAGAGTGGGGGCACAGCATGTCATTTTATACATAAGAACCCCCCAACAGAGGCTCAAGTTTCTGCGGGAACTCAAAGGAAGAAAGGTTATGTGTGTGCACCCAAATGACTTCAAGGGGTGCCCTTTGGGGTCACCCTTTTGATTTGTGTCTAATTATTATGGCTCAGTTCCTATTCCACATCCTTTGGGAGGTACATGCCTTCCTGTGTTTCTACCAGGACTCTCCAAGGGTTTCCATCCGACAGGTGTCGTTACCTCTTTTCCTTTGTTCCGAAAGCACCATGAATGGAGGGTTTTGTGTACAGTACACTTTACTGGATGTCTGGGCATGCTGTAGGGAAGCCAAGCACTCACAGAATAGGGAGCATACTGAGGATTTGGCATCATCATTCTGGAATTCTCCTCAGACAGTCCTACCTGGAATTTCTCACTGGTTGACCTTTCTTCTCCTCAGGTGGCCATCTTTCACTTACCGGCCCTCCTCCGTTTTCTCTGGAGTTACCACAGGACATTCTAAAATTCCCATCCATTTCATTTCCCCCAAACTCAGCTCTCTAATGCTTCCTATCAAGGCCATGCCCAAAGGCCCATCCAGTTTGTTTCTGATCACAAAAGAGCTACAGGGCCTCTAAAAGGAATGTGAAATTGTATTTCGCTTTTTTAATTAGCCTTTTCCCCCAGTTGCATATAGTTGGGGGGATAAGAAAAGACTCCCAAGAAATAGTGACTTAGGGGCAGGCAGAATCACAAAGGAAGTTCCAACAGGCTAAGTGGGGAGGGTCTGTGCCTGGGGAAGCAATGGGAACAAGGCCCTGTGCCTAGAAAGGGGATTGGGTATGGGGACTAGTGAATGGAGCATCCTGAGGGGGAGATTCCAGCAATGGGGGTCTTGTGCTGCAGCACTGAGGGATGAGCCTTCCTCATCTTGTGGAGCTGCAGAAAGATTTCCAGCAGGAAGAAAATAAATAAAAGCACATTTGAACCTCAGAAAAAGCACTGAGTAAGGATATACCATTTGTCAACTATCAGAATGGCAAACTTAAAACTTAACGTTGACTGGCCGGGTGCAGTGGCTCATGCCTGTAATCCCCATACTTTGAGAGGCCAAGGCGGGAGGATCGCCAGAGGTCAGGAGTTCGAGACCAGCCTGGCCAACATGTTGAAACCCCGTCTCTACTAAAAATACAAAAATTAGCTGGGCATGGTGGTGCACGCCTGTAATCCCAGCTACTCAGGAGGCTGAGGCAGGAGAATCGTTTGAACCTGGGAGGCAGAGGTTGCAGTGAGCTGAGATCGCACCACTGCACTCCTGCCTGGGCGACAGAGTTAAGACTCTGTCAAATCAAAAACAAAAAACAAACAAAAAAAGTTGACAAAGATGTGGGGGAAATACAGCACCCTAACACGCTGCTAAGTGTATAAACGGAACCATTATATTTATTTATTTATTTATTTATTTATTTATTTATTTATTTAGAGATGGAGTTTCACTCCTGTTGCCCAGGCTGGAGTGCAATGGCACAAACTCGGCTCACCGCAACCTCCACCTCCCGGATTTAAGCAATGCTCCTGCCTCAGCCTCCCGAGTAGCTGGGATTACAGGCATGTGCCACCTTGCCCGGCTAATGTTGTATTTTTAGTAGAGACGGGGTTTCTCCATGTTGGTCGGACTGGTCTCGAACTCCCAACCTCAGGTGATCCGCCCGCCTCTGCCTCCCAAAGTGCTGGGATTACAGGTGTCAGCCACCGCGCCCGGCCGGAACCATCATTTTAGAGAGACAACTAGCAATGTTGAGAAAGAGATGAAGCGATAGAGAATCCTAGTGCCTAAAGCTACCTGTCCCAAACTTTCTAACTGGAAAAAACTGTCAGTTGTTGGGAAATCTGAAAACATGGGGAGATAAAGGGCAAGTGCACAGGTACGGGCTCACGAGAGCCAAAAGCCAGTTATCTTCCCAGCTCACTGCTTAGTGACATCATGTTAGTAGCTTGAAACAGGCCATGACGGAAGTATTTACACCACAAAAAGCAGCAAATGCTACCAAACAGAACACCCTACCTCACCCCGGCCAGTTTGTCAGCACACTACAGCCTGAGCCAATCCTCATCCAGCAACCTCTTGAGTTCTCTGAACAATCGCTACCCAGAGATCAAGTACCAGTTTTATAAGCCAGGTCTTTGGCCTTACATCCCAAAAGGAAAGCCTAGGCCTGCTGAGCAGCACTGGACTTTCAAGAGCCTGCCGGACTCCTTCACCAAAGCAGGCAGACCTATATGGCCTCCTTTCTCCTAGATATCCCAGTTCCTGCTTGATTTTCTAAAGAAATCAAGGCCTGGGCCAAGTGTGGTGGCTCACGCCTATAATCCCAGCACTTTGGGAGGCCAAGGCAGGTGGATCACGAGGTCAGCAGCTCGAGACCAGCCTGGCCAACATGGTGAAACCCCGTCTCTACTAAAAATACAAAAATTAGCCAGACGTGGTGGCAGGCGCCTGTAATCCCAGCTACTTGGGAGGCTGAGACAGGAGAATTGCTTGAACCTGGGAGGCGGAGTTTGCAGTAAGCTGAGACCATGCTATTGCACTCCAGTCTGGGTGAGAGAGCGAGACTCCATCTTTAAAAAAGAAAGAAAGAAAGAAAGAAATCAAGGCCTGGAGAAGACAGCTTTTTTCAGCTGTGTGGAAGCAAAAGAAAATGGGAAAATGACAGGGACAGAGAGTGGACCGCCTCCCATGCAGAAGCAGAAAGCCCCTGTCTCAACTCTCTTGACAGTCATACACAAGCCCCTTGCAGTCTCTGCACCTTTAACCGCTATTATACTGCCTCCCTGTAGAAGACACAGGACTTAGACGTAGGTGTAGAGGGAGAAGGAAGGTTTGAGGATAACTCTCAGGTTCCAGGCTTAGGAGCCTAGGTAGCCCATGAGAGATGCAGAACAGAGCTTGAAGAGAGGGCCTAAAGGGTGTATGGGAGTTAGTTATATTTGGGGCTTGGTGAATTTGAAGTGCCTATGGGACAACAAATAGAGATGTCTGATTGAGAATCTGAAGTTTGAGAGACTGATGAGATCTTGCAAGTTACCAGTGCGTAGATAGAGTTGAAGCCATGAGATCACTCTGGCAACAGAAAAGGCTGAGCAGGGACACCTGGAGGCAGCAAGATTTAAGAGAAAGAGCAACCACAGAAGGAAACTGAGTGGGGACATGATAGGAGGTAGGAGGAAATCAGGAGAATGTGACATTGGAAGGATGAAGATTATCAAGTGTTGCAGAAAGGTTGAATACGAAGAGGATTAAGATGAGTGACACAGTGAGACGATTTTGGCTGGCTGAGAGGGAAGAAAGAAAGCAGGAGATAAGATTCAAGTAGGCAGGGGCCAGGTCAGGCAGAGCCAGACATGGCATCAGAAGGCGTTTGAGTGGTATTCTAAGTGGGAAATCTTTGGAGGATTTTAAGAGGGGAGTGAAGAAATCTGATGTGCATTTTAAACATACCATGCTGTTGTGCGGAGGACAGGCTGGGGGGCGAGGGTGGGAATGGAGGTGGGGACACCAGTTAGGAAGCTATTACAGTAACCCAGACTTGGATTAGGACGGTAAGGGTGGAGGTGGTTAAATGTGTTCAGATTCAGTGTACATTTTGAAGGAAGGTCTGACAGGACTTGCTAATTAATTGGATGTAGAATGCAGAGTAAGAGAAAGACAGGGATCAACAAGTATGGAAGGTGTTGGTTCGAGCAACTGAGTAGGTGGTAATGCTATTTACAGAGGTAGGCAAGGCTAGAGGAAAACAAAATAAACAGGGTTAGGGGTGGGAATGAGAATCCAGAGTTTTATTTTGACCACCTTAAGTATAAGATGCTTGCCGGGTGTGGTGGCTCACACCCGTAATCCCAGCACTTTGGGAGGCCAAGGCAGGTGGATCACCTGAGGTCAGGAGTTCGAGACCAGCCTGGCCAACGTGGCGAAACCCCGCCTCTACTAAAAATACACATACAAATACACGCCAGGCATGATGGCAGGTGCTTGTAATCCCAGCTACTCGGGAGGCTGAGGCAAGAGAATTGCTTGAACCTGGGAGGCAGAGGTTGCAGTGAGCTGAGATTGCACCACTGCACTCCAGCCTGGGCAACAAGAGCAAAACTCCGTCTAAAAAGAAAAAAAAAAAAAAGTATAAGATGCTTTTATATATGCAAGTGGAGAAGTCAAGTAGGCAGTTGGCTATCCAAATCTGGAGCCCAGGGAAGAAGTCACAGCTAGAGATACCATTTGAAGTCATCAGCATACACAGAGCATCAAAGCCATGGGACTGCATGAACACTGAAGTTGTGTTTTCCCTCTCACTTGATCTCACAGAAGTTTGGGTAGCCCTTGCCTGGGGACTGGGGAAGGCATCCAAAGTCATTACCATCAGTCCTCGTAATGTGAGAGCCAGGTACAGCTAAAGACAAATCTGAGTCAGGGACTGCTTGCAGAGAAATGGTGCCAGAGAAACTAAGACTTCACAGGAGAGCTGAAGGTGTTCCATCTCCTCCTTGATACTGAGGATACTTAGTCTGTACAGCCAGCAATGGGAGCCCTAGCTGAGGCCTGAGGGGCTAAAAATGGGAGTTGATGTGGCTATGCACCCTCCCCACAACTCACCTCCTGTCCCCACCTCCACCCACACAAGAGTCAAGCCTCCTAGAATTGGCATAAAATCCACATACAGAGCAGTCCCAGGAGGAGGCTTGGGGTTCAGTGACAGGAGATGAGCACAGGCTGAAGAGCTGAGACCAGCCATCCACTGAATTTTTTTTTTTTTTTTTTTGAGACAGAGTCTTGCCCTGTCACCCAGGCTGGCGTACCGTGGTGCAATCTTGGGTCACTGCAACCTCTGCCCCCTGGGTTTAAGAGATTCTCATGCCTCAGCCTTCTGAGTCGCTGGGACTACAGGCAAGCACTACCACGCCTAGCTAATTTTTTTGTATTTTTAGTAGAGACAGGGTTTCACCATACTGGCCAGGCTGGTCTCAAACTCCTGACCTCAGATGATCCACCCAGCTCGGCCTCCCAAAGTGCTGGTATTATAGGTGTGAGCCACTGCACCCAGCCCCATCCACTGATTCAGAGCAAACAGGATAAAAGTACTGAAGACCATTGCTTCTCCAACTTTAAGTTACATTCAAACCATCTAGGGATTTTGGTAAAATGCAGGTTCTATTTTTGTAGGGGCCAGCTCCACAGGGTCAGTGGGTTTTTCTCCCTGTGTGCAAAGACGAGAGATCATAGAAATAAAGACACAAGACAAAGAGATAAAAGAAAAGACAGCTGGGTCCAGGGGACCACTACCACCAAGACGCGGAAACCAGTAGTGGCCCCGAATGCCAGGCTGCGCAGTTATTTATTGGATACAAGACAAGGGGGCAGGGTAAGGAGTGTGAGCCATCTCCAATCTGAGCAAACAGGATAAAAGTACTGAAGACCATTGCTTCTCCAACTTTAAGTTACATTCAAACCATCTGGGGATTTTGGCAAAATGCAGGTTCAACTTTAATAGGCCTGGGGTGGGGCCTAAGATTCTGCATTTCTAATAAGTGCCCACCTAATGCTGTTGCTCCTGGTCTACAGACCACATTTTGAGTAGCAAGGGATTAGAGGCAGCCGTGGAGGCCACCCATAATGGAGAGGGCATTTCCAGTTCCAGGGAGAATGTGTTTATTCATGCGCAAAGTCACAGAACTATTAAAGTGGAAATACCCACCATTTGGCATGGTTGTGGGGCAGAGAGTTATTTCTCAGCAGATTAGCCTCCCAAGAGCATAGCACAGCATGGCTGTTATGCAGGTGGGTTCTGAAGGTTGACCTCCTGAGCTTTATGTCTTAGTATGTAATCTTGGGCAAATCTTTAACTTCTCTGTATCTCCGTTTCCTCATCTCTATAATGGAAATAACAAGACTATTGTGCGGATTGTCTAAGTGAATGGATATAAAGTGCTTAACACACGGCAGCATAGTAAGTGCTCAGTAAAAGTTGCTATTCTGATGCTATTATACCATTCTATAATCGTTAGCACAGATACAGAGGCTGAGTTGCCTTTTGGTACACGGTCAAATATACAACCCCCATCTCCCTCACACCAAAAGGCCTGTGTCCTCTCTTTCAAATTCCTCCTTCCCTCCTGCCCACTCCCCCTCCCCTGGCCCCTGGCCCCAGTGTGGTCTGGATGGGCCCCAGAGGGGCAGGGACAGGGACAGGACGTGGGGCTGTATCTGACAGGAACCTGAGGGGCTGGCCTGGGAGGGGATTGGGGCCCAGCTTCCTGAAGGGAGGATGGGCTAAGGCAGGCACACAGTGGCGGAGAAGATGCCCTCCTGGGCCCTCTTCATGGTCACCTCCTGCCTCCTCCTGGCCCCTCAAAACCTGGCCCAAGTCAGCAGCCAAGGTGAGGTGCACAGAGGGTGGAGATCACCTATGCCCAGGAAGAGGGAGCCCTGGGAGGTGATGCAGGGCCCCGGGAGGGGAGGTAGAGTAAGAGGCTCTCCTGCTGGTCCCCTCCCCTTCCACATAAACATGCCTGGGAGGACCCAGGGCCAACTCACCAGCTGTTCCTTAGATGTCTCCTTGCTGGCATCAGACTCAGAGCCCCTGAAGTGTTTCTCCCGAACATTTGAGGACCTCACTTGCTTCTGGGATGAGGAAGAGGCAGCGCCCAGTGGGACATACCAGCTGCTGTATGCCTACCCGCGGTAGGTGCTGGACTGTGCCCCACTCCCCATGTATCTGTCCCTGCACTTAGCTGAGTCCCACTCCAGCAGCTTTCCTGCCTGTCCGAGGACCACTCTGAATACAAGCCCTAAGTACCTACTTTTTGAACAGATGTGCTTTGGATGTATGTGGGCCCCAGCTCCAGCCCTACATAACCCCTAATCCCACCTATCCCAGGCAGTGAGAAGAAAAATGGCAGTACTAGAGACAGAAGTTGGGCATGGGCCCAGGTCTGGGTCCTCAGGGCTCCGCATGGTGGCTGTGTAGGAGGGACCTCTTCTATGCCAACAGGGAGAAGCCCCGTGCTTGCCCCCTGAGTTCCCAGAGCATGCCCCACTTTGGAACCCGATACGTGTGCCAGTTTCCAGACCAGGAGGAAGTGCGTCTCTTCTTTCCGCTGCACCTCTGGGTGAAGAATGTGTTCCTAAACCAGACTCGGACTCAGCGAGTCCTCTTTGTGGACAGTGTAGGTAAGAGCCATCCTCCTGTCACCCTGCCCCCTCCACTTGCTGCCCCCAGTCCAGCTCCCGGAATCAGACTTGCCTGTGCCCTTCCAGCTCAGCACGGATACCCCTATTACCAGACCCCCTGAGGCACCCCAAGACTCCCTTGTCATTCCTCCCAGCCTTGGCATCTAGAGCTAGAAATGCCCAACAGATCATTCACACCCTGTTCCTCCCATCGTCAACAAATCATTTATTCATCCATTCAAGAGTTACAGAATACCTACTGTGTGCCAGACACTGGGCTAGGTGATGGGGATATGGAGAGAAAAAGGGATCCCTGCTTACAAGAAGCACTGAGTCTAGCAAGCCATCATACTGCAAAGAAGTCACTGTTCTCATGAGAGAAGAACAGAATCAGGAGCCTCCCTAGCCTGCCCTCCAGGAGAATGACAGCCTACAATTTTTGAATCCAGAAGCTGCCCCAATTCAGCCCCCAGCACCCCTCTCTGCAGTCCAGAGGCTGAGCCATAGACTGTGGTACTCAGAGTTCTGATGTGCCCTGTCTTGCCCTCAGGCCTGCCGGCTCCCCCCAGTATCATCAAGGCCATGGGTGGGAGCCAGCCAGGGGAACTTCAGATCAGCTGGGAGGAGCCAGCTCCAGAAATCAGTGATTTCCTGAGGTACGAACTCCGCTATGGCCCCAGAGATCCCAAGAACTCCACTGGTCCCACGGTCATACAGCTGATTGCCACAGAAACCTGCTGCCCTGCTCTGCAGAGGCCTCACTCAGCCTCTGCTCTGGACCAGTCTCCATGTGCTCAGCCCACAATGCCCTGGCAAGATGGACCAAAGCAGACCTCCCCAAGTAGAGAAGTATGCTGACCTTCTTCTGCCCCACCTCTTATCTCCTACCTTCAATCTTGCCCCAGGAAAGGACAGACCATACTTTGGGGATTCCAGACCTAGGTTCGTCCTTGGAGAGTTAGTATAGGCTCAGATATGAGCCACGCCTACTTAGGGGCTTCCTACTTTGGGTCATTCCCACTGACAAAAGCAAAGGCTTTCAGGCCTCCAAATTAATGGAGATTTCGCAACAAAACCCTGAACACCACCTGAAACCCACCAACTTAGCCCCTGGTCTGTGTGCATATCTATCCAGCAAGGAGCTGAGCTCCTCTCCACAGAGATGCTGTGCAAATATAAGGGTTGGAGGCTCTCTCAGCTGACAGGCAGACCTAGATTGTGAAGCTGGGATTTTCCTCCCAAGGCTTCAGCTCTGACAGCAGAGGGTGGAAGCTGCCTCATCTCAGGACTCCAGCCTGGCAACTCCTACTGGCTGCAGCTGCGCAGCGAACCTGATGGGATCTCCCTCGGTGGCTCCTGGGGATCCTGGTCCCTCCCTGTGACTGTGGACCTGCCTGGAGATGCAGGTGAGTCAACAAAGGAATAGGGAGATGGGGAGGAGATAAAAGAATATCTCTAGGGAAGCCTGGGCTAGATCTGAAGCTCTGGGAACCATGGTCCTTCCTGATGATCTCGAACTTGCCACTGGACAGGAACTATGTTCAGGGAAAGAAGAGAGAATAGGAGTCAATGTTCTAAGTTATATGTGTAGAAATTATCTGAAATCTGAACACCCTATACAGTAGGGGCACACGGGCCCTGATGGGACTTACTTCTTTGACTTTAGTGGCACTTGGACTGCAATGCTTTACCTTGGACCTGAAGAATGTTACCTGTCAATGGCAGCAACAGGACCATGCTAGCTCCCAAGGCTTCTTCTACCACAGCAGGGCACGGTGCTGCCCCAGAGACAGGTGAGAGCTGAACTGCTGATTGAGGTTGGTGTCATGGGAGTGAGCCACAATCTTGCAGAAAAAAAGAAGAGAGTGTTCTTGGTCCTCTTCACTCTCCTTCCTTTGTCTCCAAACCATACAGCTTTCAATGCTCTCTTATCTATTCTGTCATCCTCCAATCGATATTTTATCTTCTCAACCCCTCTCTGTTCCCATTGGGAATGCTTTGGTTTAGTTTAGCCTTAATCATGTCACTGGGACCATTGCAACATCCTACAGTCTAATTCACCTCCAATGTATTCCCCATGCTGCTAACAGAGTGATCTTTGTTAAGCTCAAACTGTGCATGACCTTTGTAAAGCTCTAACTTTGCATAGTCTCCCCTTACTCAAACATGTACTGCAATTTCTCATTATCAAAGCCATAAAAAATTTAGCCTGGCCTTCAAAGACTTCCACCAAGCACCTCATTGATTCTTCATCCTCTCCATATCTAAATCTATAACCAAGTTGTATTGATTTTACCTATTAACTATCTCTAGAATCTGCCCACTTGTCTATCACTGCCATTATCCTACTACAACCCATCATTAATTCTCTCTTGGGCTACTGAAAAGACATAGTAACTGATCACCCTGAGTCTTCCAAGTAATTCTTCACATAGGTGCTGAAGGGATCTTTTCATTTTGTTTTGTTTTGAGACAGTCTGGCTCTGTTGCCCAGGCTGGAATGCAATAGTGCAATCTTGGCTCACTGCAACCTCCACCTCCCGGGATCAAGGGATTCTCCTGCCTCAGCCTCCCAAGGAGCTGGGATTACAGGCATGTGCCACCATACCCCATTAATTATTTTTGTATTTAGTAGAGAGGGGGCTTCACCATGTTGGTCAGGCTGGTCTCGAACTCCTGACCTCAGGTGATCCACCTGCCTTGGCCTCCCAAAGTGCTGGGATTACAGGTGTGAGCCACCGCACCTAGCCTGAAGGGACCTTTTAAAAGTGCAAAAATGAATGTAACACTCCCTGCTTAAAAATCTTCAATAGCTTCCCACTAGTCTTAGGATAAAGAAAAAAACCTCTACCATGGACTTGAAAAGTTCTGAGACTCAGCCCCTACGTACTTCTTCAGCTTCATCTTGTGCTATGCTGCCCTTTGATCCCCATGCTCCAGCACAGGGCTTCTGTGGTCCCCTCATATCTGGCATATTCCCTTCTGCTTCTAGGTCTTTACACTGCTGTTTACCCAGCCCTACTGCCTTTACTTAACTTCTACTTATCCTCCAAATCTCAACTCAAGCGTCACTTTCTTAGGGACCCTCCCCTGGCCTTCTTTATTAAGTCCAATAGCACTAATATACATTCTTGTTGTACCATGTACCGCTTCTTCTTCTTCTTTTTTTTTTTCTTTTTTTTTTCTTTTTGAGACAGAGTCTCACTCTGTCGCCCAGGCTGGAGGGCAGTGGTGCCATCTCGGCTCACCGCAAGCCCCGCCTCCCGGGTTCATGCCATTCTCCTGCCTCAGCCTCCCAAGTAGCTGGGACTACAGGTGCCCGCCACCACGCCTGGCTAATTTTTTGTATTTTTAGTAGAGATGGGGTTTCACTGTAAGTGTTAGCCAGGATAGTCTCGATCTGACCTCGTGATCCACCCACCTCGGCCTCCCAAAGTGCCGGGATTACAGGCGTGAGCCACCATGCCTGGCCGTACCTCTCCTTCTTAAGTACTTATCATAGTCATACTTTCATATTTATAGTTTATATGATTATTTGGTTGATAATAAAAATCTGGCCAGGCCCAGTGGCTCACACCTGTAATCCCAGCACTTTGGGAGACTAAGGTGAGAAGATCACTTGAGGCCAGGAGTTTGAGACCAGCCTAGACAACATAGTGAGACTTCGTCTCTACAAAATTTCTTTAATTAGCCAGGCATGGTGGCACCTGTATTCCTAGCTACTTGGGAGGCTAAGGTGGGAGGATGGCATGAGCCTAGGAGTTTGAGGTTACAGTGAGCTATGATTGCACCACTGCACTCCAGCCTGGGCAACAGATCAAGACTTTGTCTCAAAAAAAACAAATCTCTCAGAACTCCAGTTGAGAAAGGCTGATCTTGACCACATATGATCCATGAGGGCAAGATCAATGGGTTTTTATTCACCAATATATTCTCACCTACCAATAGTAGGTGCCTGGTAAAAAATTGTTGAACACTATTAACTATTTAAATGTATTCTTCCAGTTTTTTTCTATGTATTTACATACATCTCTATACAACATTTAAATTTTATTATTTTTGAGATAGGGTCTTGCTCTGTTGTCCAGGCTGGAGTGCAGTGGCATGATTATGGCTCACTGCAGCCTCGACCTCCCAGACTCAAACGATCCTCCCACCTGAGCCTCCTGATTAGCTAGGACTACAGGCATTTTCTTTCTTTCTTTCTTTCTTTCTTTTTTTTTTTTTTTAAGTAGAGACAAGGTCTCCCTATGTTGCCCAGACTGGTCTCAAACTCCTGAGCTCAAGCAATCCTCCCATCTCAGCCCCTCTACCACGCCCAGCCTAACATGTAATATTTTTTTTTTTTTTGAGATGGAGTCTTGCTCTGTTGCCCAGGCTGGAGTGCAGTGGTGTGATCTCAGCTCACTGCAACCTCCGCCTCCAGGGTTCAATCGATTCTCCTGCCTCAGCCCCCCGAGTAGCTGGGATTATAGATGTGCGACACCATGCCCAGCTAATTTTTTGTATTTTTAGTAGAGACGAGGTTTCATCATGTTAGCCAGGCTGGTCTCGAACTCTTGACCTCAAGTGATCCACCCACCTCAGCCTCCCAAAGTGCTGGGATTACAGGTATGAGCCACCACACCCAGCCTAATATTTAATTTTTAAATATAAATTGGATTACATTACATATATGGTTTGTTGACTCACCTTTTTGCTTAAAAACATGTCTCAGAGATCATTACAAAAAGATGTAACTCATTCTTTTTAATAACTGCATACATATCCATAGGATTGAGATGCCTGAGTGGACTAAAGGGTAGCAAAACTGAAGTCATCATTTCCTCTATCAAAACTTGCTTTTCCTGCTGGGCACAGTGGCTCACACCTGTAATCCCAGCACTTTGGGAGGCCGAGGTGGGTGGATCACCTGAGGTCAGCAGTTGGAAACCAGCCTGGCCAACATGGTGAAACCTCATCATTACTAAAAATACAAAAATTAGTCGGGTGTGGTGGCACGCGCCTGTAGTCCCAGCTTCTTGGGAGGCTGAGGCAGGAGAAATGCTTGAACCCGGGAAGCGGAGGTTGCAGTGAGCTGAAATCGTGCCCCTGCACTCCAGCCTGGGCAACAGAGAGAAGACTCTGTCTCAAAAAAAAAGAAAAAAAAAACTTGCTTTTTCTTTATTGTCTCCGATCCTACCATGAATTCAGTTTTCCTGGACTGAAAAATAGAAATCATCCTGGACTTCTCCCATTCCAATACCCTCCAGGCCTAACCAGAAATAGTCTTGTCATTTTTACCTTTTCAATATCTCTTCAATCATCTCTTTCCCTGTCTCTCACTGCTGCTACCCTATTTTCACATCCTCATCACTTTGCACATGAAAAACTACAAGAATGTCATAATGGATTTCTCTGCTTCTAGTCGGCCCTCACAAATCCTTTCTACAGACTGTAGTTAGAATGATCTTCCTAAAGTACAAAGGTAGCTATGGCACTTCCCTGCTTAAAATCCTTAAATGTCTACATAACTACCACAAGGTTAGTAGTAATTCAAGTTCAAGCTCCCCAGAAAGGCCATAAGGCCATCCATGACATGGTCTGCAGTCTCACATTTACCACCTACCACCAGGCCCTTTATGCGAAAACCATCTGCACCACTTAGAATTTCCCCCAAAGCACCACACTCTCTTATCTATGCACAACCATGTGCCTGGGATGCCTGTTTGTCCCTTTTGCCTATCCTATTTTTAGTTCAAAACTCAGTCTAAACATCGCCGTATCCAGGAAGCATTCCCTGACCCTCCCAGTCTGGGTTGGATGCTCCCCTTTGATGCTCCCAAGCCAGTCTATGCACATCACAGAAAAATATCATGTTTGTTTTTCTGTCTTTCCCACTGAAATTAGAGCTCTTTGAACCTTATTCCTCTATGCACTCATAGGGCCTGGCACAGTACCAATTGGCACATAGTATCAATTATTTGTTGATTAAATGGGTAAACATACCCATTTTAGTGACGGTGAGCCACTTAGGGGTTATAATCAAGAGGGAGACATGATTCAATTGTTCAATAAAGAATTATTGAGAGTGACTTTTTGCAAGGTACTGGGGATAAATAGTGCAACAAATAAAATGGAAAAGGGGCCAGGCTCGGTGGCTCACACCTGTAATCCCAGCACTTTGGGAGGCCAAGGTGGGCAGATCACTTGAGGTCAGGAGTTCGAGACCAGCCTGGCCAACATGGCGAAACGCCATCTCTACTAAAAATACAGAAATTAGTCAGGTGTGGTGGTGGGTGCCTGTAATCCCAGCTACTCAGGAGGCTGAGGCAGGAGAATCGCTTGGACCCAAGAGGCAGAGGCTGCAGTGAGCTGAGATCGTACCATTGCACTCCAGCCTGGGCAACAAAGCAAGACTGTCTCAAAACATTTTTAAAAATAAATAAAGTGGAAAGGGTTCCAGCATTGTTGGGGCTTACATTAGTAGAGGGGAGGGGAAAAGGAGGGGGAGAAAAGTAAGTAAAGAAATAAAGGAACAAAGTTATAATAGAGACTAAAGGGGGGCGTGTGGTGGGTGGGGGGTGGGTGTTGCTAATTTAGACTGAGTGGCCAGGAAAAGCCTCACCAGGGAGGTGACAGATAAGCCGAGATCTAAATGGCAAGAAGGAATGAGTCACATGAAGACCTACAGTCAGAGCAATCCAGGGCAAAGGCAAAGTGCAAAGATAGCACATTTGGCATATCTATGGCACAGAAAGAAGGCCTGTGCGGATGAAGGGTGATAAACTGGCATGAGAATCATAAGAGATGAGAATGGCAAGGCAAGGAGAAACCAAATCACAGAGTCCTGTAGGCCTGGTAAGGGGTTTGGGTTTTATTCCAAGTGGGATGAAGAGCCACTGAAGGATTTTAAGCAGTAAACAATGACAATTTGACTTACATTTTTAAAAGATATGTTTCTCTGTGAATAAATAAATAAGAGTAGAAGCAGAATCACCAGTCAGAAATTTGCCTTAATCCAAGCAAGGAATGATAGTGGCTTCATCTAACATAGCAGTGGTAAAGATCAAAATCAATAGTTTGTGACATTATATTCTGGACATTATCACATCAACATTTTTGGAAACAAATTCTGGTAGCTGTGTGGAGAACAACTTGAAGGTAGTGGCAAAAACAGAAGCAGAAAAGCCAGTTAGGAGACTATTGTCATAATCTAATAGCAAAATAACACATAGGGGAGAGTAGGAGGAATGACGTATGAGAACACGTTAAAAATAGAGGATATTTTTCTCCAGAAAGATGAGGGTTCTTTAATCTTTGAAACAATCCTGTGAGGTTGGTATCATTAACCCATTTTACAAATAGAAGGAAACTGGAGCAGAGATAAACCAAGTAATTTGCCCAAAGTTACACAAAGGTAAGCCAAGACCTCAACTCTTGGTGAAAACCCATGCTGTTTTCACATATCATGCCAGGTCTTTCCTCAAAGGGAAGAGGCCAGACAACAAAGCTGACTTCAGAAAACATCATGGCAAAATAGCAAAAACAAACGAACAAATGAACAAAGGAAAAAACAAAAAGAAAACATCATGGCATAAAGACAGAGGGAAAGCTCTGGAGGCCCCTGGAAGGAAGGAGTTAAATGATAATCCCTGCAGGCCATCGTTCTTGTAGGATGGGAAGCCTTGGGATTAGTCTCTGGGGCAGGCCTGATTCAATGACTCTGTGGGGCTGGGTCTTAGGTACCCCATCTGGGAGAACTGCGAAGAGGAAGAGAAAACAAATCCAGGACTACAGACCCCACAGTTCTCTCGCTGCCACTTCAAGTCACGAAATGACAGCATTATTCACATCCTTGTGGAGGTGACCACAGCCCCGGGTACTGTTCACAGCTACCTGGGCTCCCCTTTCTGGATCCACCAGGCTGGTAAGAACTTTCTTCCTCATTCTTCCCACATAGTTCCCACCCCCACTGAATCTGACCCTGTGCCCAGGATCCCCAACTCTGACCCTTCTGACCGATGGCTCTGGTGGCACAATGCCTTGTGCACAGAAGGACTTAAGCTGCTCCCTGCTGACATCCCTGTAGTGCGCCTCCCCACCCCAAACTTGCACTGGAGGGAGATCTCCAGTGGGCATCTGGAATTGGAGTGGCAGCACCCATCGTCCTGGGCAGCCCAAGAGACCTGTTATCAACTCCGATACACAGGAGAAGGCCATCAGGACTGGAAGGTATGGTCAAGCAACAAATGCCCACAGACCTCACTACGCAGGGGATCCCTGGGGTTGGCCATGCCTGTTAGCAGGAGTGAAAGTGTCTATGTATCCAGTCTCTGCTAGTATATCTATGTTTATCAGATTCAACTGGTATCTTAGTCTCTCTTGGGCATCTGATATTTCTGGCTACTCCTACTTAACATTTCTCTTCCCTTTGTCTTTGGGATATCAGTCTTCCCCGATTTTCCTCCTACCTCTCTGACTGAACTTTCTCACTCTCCTCTCCTGGCTCCTCCTTTCCAGCCTTCCACAAAATGCTGTGCTTCCTAGAGTCTCATCCTAGGCTCTTTTCTCCTCTGATAAAATAAATATGTTCTCCCCAGGTGAGTGCTTTAACTCCATGGTTTCAATGTCCATACATTAACAATCGCAATTTTACCATTCTAACTCCCATATGGAAAGGAATTTACAAACCACAGGCAAATTACCAAAATGTTTGAAGTCTGTTTCCTCATTGGTGAAATGAGGATGAAGCTATCTACCTTATGGAGTTATAGTAAAGATTAAATACTATATCTAAATACCTAGCATACTGCCTGGCATAAGGAAGGTGCTCAATATACATTACTTAAATATTAGTTTGTCTACTTTTATTCTCATTTGCCACACATATATACAACTATGTACAACATCTTATGGTTCTACCAAAACTTCCTCCCCCTGGACATTTCAGACTCAGTCTATCCAGAATGGAACTCCTCTTCCTCCTGAAGCTTTACTTTTTTATTGTGATAAAACTTACATACAACAAAGTGTACAAATTTTACATATATAGTCTGTACTTGTGTATACATCCACATAACCATAACCAGGATCAAGATATAAATTATTTCCAGCACCTCAGAAGCTCCCAATGCTCCGACACATCCCCCGCCACCAAAGGTAATCACCATCCTGACATTACCATTGATTCATTTGGACTGTTGTTGAACTCTATAAAATGGAACCCTAAAGTATATCTTCCTCAAACTTACTTCTCTTCTGTGTCCTGTCTCTGACAATGGCACCGCTACTTACCCAGTACCCAAGCCTAGAAGCACCCTTGACTCTTCTTGCTCTTCCCTTATCCCTTCCCCTTACTCATCAACTAAGTTGATGGCAATAACGTACTAATAGTCCTCAAATTCCTACCAGGATTGCCTTAGACTCATCTGTGACCATCCAGCCGTGTCATCCATGCTTTTAGCACACTAAACTACTCTGTGGCACAAAACCAAGCATTAAATGCTTCTCTGGACTTCCGTGGTGCCTTGCACTAATTAATTGTTGTGATTATTTACCTGTTTGGATGTCTTTCTCATTAGATATGTAAGAGACGGTGTTTTATTGCTTTCTCCCCAGTGCCTAACCCAATGTTTGGAGTATCACACAGTTCATAAATGTTTGCTGCCTTCCTGCTTGTACACATGATGCTTGTACCCCAGCGCCTAACGCAAATCTGGCATCCTCTGCAGCATGAGTATTATTTGTGGCATGGTCTGTGTGGCTCTGAATATATCTGTTTCTGGGGGTGTCCATCGCCCGACCTGGAGTTGTGAGAACACCCGGTAGGGTGTGCGTGTACCGGGATCCCTGCCGAGGGTGTACCTGGGTGTTGGTGTTAGGATACGTAGCTCTCTGAGGTGAGGTCTGTGTCTCAGGAGGTGGGCCTGGCACGTTTCTCTCGGGCAGAGCGTGATCCCGTTAGGGAGAGGCTCTCGGTTAGGGCGCTCTATCCTGTTGCTGGGAAGCGTGTTTTCTGCCGGTGGGGCTCTTTGTGGGAATCTCCGACCGCCTGGGGATTCGGAGCTGCAGGATTTGGGTCAAACAGACGCTGGGCTATCGAAGCCCCGACGCCGGGCCACCGCACGCTTCTTTGCTCAGGTGCTGGAGCCGCCTCTCGGGGCCCGAGGAGGGACCCTGGAGCTGCGCCCGCGATCTCGCTACCGTTTACAGCTGCGCGCCAGGCTCAACGGCCCCACCTACCAAGGTCCCTGGAGCTCGTGGTCGGACCCAACTAGGGTGGAGACCGCCACCGAGACCGGTGAGGCAAGCCCCGGCCGCACCAAAGCCGCACAGCGCCTGCGCCAGGGACTGGGCGCCGGGTGCGAGTGGGGCGGGGCTCGGAGAGGGGCGAGGCGCGGGGCGCGGAGAGGGGCGGGGCCCTGACCTTGCGGGCCGACGGCTGCGCAGGTGCCCGCAGTGCCCAGGGGCGGCGAGGGGCGGGGCCAGAGTAGGGGCTGGCTGGATGAGGGCGGGGCTCCGGCCCGGGTGGGCCGAAGTCTGACCCTTTTTGTCTCCTAGCCTGGATCTCCTTGGTGACCGCTCTGCATCTAGTGCTGGGCCTCAGCGCCGTCCTGGGCCTGCTGCTGCTGAGGTGGCAGTTTCCTGCACACTACAGGTACCGCCCCCGCCAGGCAGGAGACTGGCGGTGGACCAGGTGGAGCCGAAGGCCTGTAAACAGGCATTCTTGGTTCGCTCTGTGACCCCAGATCTCCGTCCACCGCCCGTGCGCACCTACGGCTTCGCCACTTCCTGCACGTCACCTCTGGGACTCGCCGCGGCTCCTTACACTCTAACACGCCCACTATACCGCCCACCTCGAACAGCCCCGCCTCCTGCTGCTCACCTCGGCGACTAGGCCACCGTCCACCCTTCAGCCAAACTGCCCACTCCACCCCCATCCAATCTGCCGTCAGGTCCCACCTCCTAAACCTAGTCCAAACAATGGCCCCCTTTCTCTAGCCCTACAGACACGACCTGACTCACTGAAACAGAACCTCTTGCCCCTCCGATCTAGCCTCACACAGCCACCAGAATAATCTTTCTAAAATGCGCACATGAACCTATCAATTCCCTCCTTAAATCCTTTCAATAGCTCCCAGGATATAGTCCAGGCTCCCTATGATGACAAGCGAGGCTCTGCAAAATCGGCCCCTGCCAGCAAGCACTTCAGCCTGTTCTACCCTGTGCATCAGCCTTTCCAAACTGGTTTTCTCCACAAGTCAGGTTTTACTTCTCAGTGCCTTTGCACATAACGTCCGCTCTGCCTGAAATAGCCTCCCTGTCTCACTAAACCCATTCATCTGTAAATAACTTTCTTCACCAACTCTTAAGAAACCTTTCCTGACCCTCCCCCTTTTGGCCGCTGCTCTGTGCTCCAATACAGTACCAGTAGTGTTTTACTGTGTTTATTTCTTTATATATCTTCCCTATTATACCTTACTTGGTCATCTTTAAATCCTTAGCACAGTGCCTGCCAAAAAGCAGGCCCTTAAATAAATGTTATTAATGAGTGACTCATTTATGTGGGAAGACGAAGGCTGAGGAGAAATGCCATTGGAGGCTATAAACATGAAGGGTAGAATGCATCCCACCTCCATCCTTCATCTGCTGCTTCTTTAAGACTTAGCTCAGAAGTCATCTCCTCCAGATGGTGTCTTCTGATGGTCCTGGGCTGGTTCAGGTGCCACTCTCATGGGCTACCATCTCCCTCTGAACATACCTCTCTTTGAACTTTTAATCTGCCCATACGTATGAGCAGACTGAAAGGTAGCCTCCATGCAGGTAGCCAGATCCAACAAAAAAGTTGGAGAAGTAGGAGGAGGTGGTCTGCTGAGCCAGGCATACTCAGTTTCTTTTCCCCAATTTACCAGGTAAGTCACACCTTCTCCCCTGGAGAGATATGAGTGAGGTCACTGAAGCGGCCTGAAATGTTCTACTGACGTCCCTCCACATGGAAATATGAAGCTAAAGAATCCAGGTTCTGGCCGGGTGCGGTGGCTCACGCCTGTAATCCCAGCACTTTGGGAGGCCGAGGTGGGCAGATCACAAGGTCAGGAGATCAAGACCATCCTGGCTAACACAGTGAAACCCCATCTCTACTAAAAATACAAAAAAAATTAGCCAGGCATGGTGGTGGGCGCCTGTAGTCCCAGCTACTCAGGAGGCTGAGGCAGGAGAATGGTGTGAACCTGAGAGGCGGAGCTTGCAGTGAGCCAAGACCGCGCCACTGCACTCCAGCCTGGGCCACAGAGGGAGACTCCATCTCAAAAACAAAACAAAACAAAACAAAACAAAACAAAACAAAACAACAAAAAAATGGAGGCCCCTCCAATACATCTTAATCCATATTCTTCCCAGATAGACTACCCTCTCCAGTAACTTACTAATAAGCTCCACTGATTTTCTTCATTCATTCATTCAGCTAATTTACTGAGCACCTACTATGGGTCAGACACTATTCTACACCCTAGAAATACAGGAGTGAATAAATAGACAAACTCTCTTTTCTCGGGGACCATATGTTCTAGTGGGGTGAGACAGACAAAAAGAAATATACATAACAATGTAATAAATGTACAACAAGTCAAATACTATAAGGAAAAATGAAGTACAGCAGGAGATAGCCTGTCATGGGGAAAGGAAGCAGCACTACAGTGGTCCCCTCTTATCCACAGTTTCACTTTTTGTGGTTTCAGTTACACGCAGTCAATTAAGGTCTGAAAAAAATTACATGGAAAATTCCAGAAATAAACAATTCATGTATTTTAAATTGTAAGTAGCACGATGAAATCACTTGCCATGCCGCTCTGTCCCACCCGGGATGTAAATCATCCCTTTGTCCAGCATCTCCACGCTGTATATGCTCCCTGCCCCATAGTCACTTAGCAGCCATCTTGCTTATCAGATTGACTCGTTGAGGTATTGCAGAGCTGTGTTCAAGTAACCCTCATTTTAGTTAATAATGGCCCCAAAGTACAAGAGTAGTGATGTTGGCATATTGTTCTAATTGTTCTATTTTATTAGTAGTCATTATTAATCTCTTACTGTGCCTAATTTATAAACTTTATTGTAGGTATGTACGTATAGAAAAAACATCTGCTGGGAGTCTTGAAACATATCCCCTGCAGATAAAGAGGGACTACTGTGTTTCAGGCAAGGTAGTCAGGGATGACATTTGAACAGAGGCCTACAATGAGGTGAGGGAATGAATCCAGTGTTCCAGACAGAACAAACATTGGAGTGTTTGAGGAAACTGCAGCACCCTTTGTTGAACCTGCCCACCACTGACTTCCCTCCCCTACCTGAGGTTTTCTTCTTACTCTACTCCCCTGCCCAACTTTATTGCCTTGACCATGCTCTTATATCTCCAAGCCTTACTCCCCGGCCTCACTGCTCCCCCACCCCAACTGCTGTCCTCCTCCCTGCCAATCCACTGCCATGGCTCAGTCTGCTTCTCTTCCTTCTCCCCCAGGAGACTGAGGCATGCCCTGTGGCCCTCACTTCCAGACCTGCACCGGGTCCTAGGCCAGTACCTTAGGGACACTGCAGCCCTGAGCCCGGTGAGTGTGCTTCCCTCCCCTGTGCCCACCACCAACCCTGCCTGGTACTGGATCCTTGCCCCAACAATACAACTTGTTCAAGGTCCTTGCCCTACCAGTGTGCCATCCCCAGGCACTACCCCAGCACTACCCCAGCCCTTCTCCTTCCTGTACAGTCCAGCCCCTCCTCCCACAGGATCTGCTTTAATCCAGCGCCTCTCCTCATCTCTCCCAGCCCAAGGCCACAGTCTCAGATACCTGTGAAGAAGTGGAACCCAGCCTCCTTGAAATCCTCCCCAAGTCCTCAGAGAGGACTCCTTTGCCCCTGTGTTCCTCCCAGGCCCAGATGGACTACCGAAGATTGCAGCCTTCTTGCCTGGGGACCATGCCCCTGTCTGTGTGCCCACCCATGGCTGAGTCAGGGTCCTGCTGTACCACCCACATTGCCAACCATTCCTACCTACCACTAAGCTATTGGCAGCAGCCTTGAGGACAGGCTCCTCACTCCCAGTTCCCTGGACAGAGCTAAACTCTCGAGACTTCTCTGTGAACTTCCCTACCCTACCCCCACAACACAAGCACCCCAGACCTCACCTCCATCCCCCTCTGTCTGCCCTCACAATTAGGCTTCATTGCACTGATCTTACTCTACTGCTGCTGACATAAAACCAGGACCCTTTCTCCACAGGCAGGCTCATTTCACTAAGCTCCTCCTTTACTTTCTCTCTCCTCTTTGATGTCAAACGCCTTGAAAACAAGCCTCCACTTCCCCACACTTCCCATTTACTCTTGAGACTACTTCAATTAGTTCCCCTACTACACTTTGCTAGTGAAACTGCCCAGGCAAAGTGCACCTCAAATCTTCTAATTCCAAGATCCAATAGGATCTCGTTAATCATCAGTTCCTTTGATCTCGCTGTAAGATTTGTCAAGGCTGACTACTCACTTCTCCTTTAAATTCTTTCCTACCTTGGTCCTGCCTCTTTGAGTATATTAGTAGGTTTTTTTTATTTGTTTGAGACAGGGTCTCACTCTGTCACCCAGGCTGCAGTGCAATGGCGCGATCTCAGCTCACTGCAACCTCCACCTCCGGGTTCAAGCGATTCTTGTGCCTCGGCCTCCCTAGTAGCTGGGATTACAGGCGCACACCACCACACACAGCTAATTTTTTTTTTTTTTTTTTTTTTTTTTTTTTAGACGGAGCCTTGCTCTGTTGCCAGACTGGAGTGCAGTGGCACGATCTCGGCTCACTGCAACCTCTGCCTCCCGGGTTCAAGCCATTCTGCCTCAGCCTCCCAAGTAGCTGGGAGTACAGGCGTCTGCCACCATGCCTAATTTTTTTCTATTTTTAGGAGAGACCGGTTTTCACCACGTTGGCCAGGATGGTCTCGATATCCTGATCTCGTGATCCGCCTGCCTCTGCCTCCCAAAGTGCTGGGATTACAGGTGTGACCCACTGCGCACAGCCCCAGCTAATTTTCATATTTTTAGTAGAGACAGGGTTTTGCCATGTTGCCCAGGCTGGTCTTGAACTCCTAACCTCGGGTGATCCACCCACCTTGGCCTCCCAAAGTGTTAGGATTACAGGCATGAGCCACTGCGCCCGGCTGAGTGTACTAGTAGTTAAGAGAATAAACTAGATCTAGAATCAGAGCTGGATTCAATTCCTGTCCTTCACATTTACTAGCTGTGCAACCTTGGGCACATAACTTAATGTCTTTGAGCCTTAGTTTTTTCATCTGTAAAACAGGGATAATAACAGCACCCCATAGAGTTGTGACGAGGATTGAGATAATCTAAGTAAAGCACAGTCCCTAGGACATAGTAAATGATTCATATATCCGAACTACTGTTATAATTATTCCTTCTTACTCTCCTCTTCTAGCATTTCTTCCAATTATTACAGTCCTTCAAGATTCCATTTCTTAACAGTCTCCAATCCCATCTATTCTCTGCCTTTACTATATGTTGACCATTCCAAAGTTCTTATCTCTAGCTCAGACATCTACTACAGCACTGTGATGCTTTATGCAACTAACTGTTTACATATCTGTCCCCTGCTACTAGATTGTGAGCTCCTTGAGGGAAAGGAACATGATTTATTTGTCCTTTTCCCCCAGCACCTAGAGTAGTGCTTGGTGCATGATAGTAGGCCTTCAATAAATTTTTTCTAAATGAATGAAATCTTTCTGGACAAGGTTACCTTAATCCCATGCCAGCTGTCCTCATCCTCTAAACCGTTCATAGGCAGCAGTAAATGTGCTCAGACAGTTCTGATTATGGACTCTCCTAACACATTCTAATTCTCAAACAAATGGTTTTGTTGTCATTGTTTTTTCTGGCTCCAAATATACCCACTGTATCAGTCAGGGTCTTGGAAGAAATAGATGACACACTCAAATTGGGTAATATGATGACAGTGTAATAAACGGCAAACAGTATTTACAAAGATGAGGGCAAGATTTGGGAAAACCATCAAGGAACAGTGCAAGTGCCTCTGAGGCTAACAACAACAAGGTGCTGGCACTAGCCCTAGGCATCAAGGGGTAAGGGAGGGAGTGGTTCCCAGATCACCAGAGAGTAGCTGTAAGACAGGGCTGCCAGGAAGGAGTCATGGCCTTTCTTTGGTGGAGGGGTGCAGCCAACCTATGGGCAGGTGGCAATGAGAGATCCAGGGGGATAGACAGCTCAATTTCATGCTCTTCCCATTCCAGTCTTGAGTCCCTAGGAGTAAAGTCAGAGCCTTTCATGTGGCTGGGGAGGAATTATGGAGATTGGGTATACTGGATGTCATCCATTTGTCCCACCCAGACCTATTCTCCATCCTTCTCCATCTTGTCCTATGCTTAGCAAGGCTGATTCATATGGCTGGCATCCAAGCATTCTCCTGGGCTTTGGTTTCTGCTTGGGTTCCAACAGTAGGAGGATATTATGGATTGAATTCTATTCCTCTCCTCTCCCTCAAATTCACATGTTAAAGTCCTTTTTTTTTTTTTTTTGGCCGGGCCCGGTGGCACACACCTGAAATCCCAGCTACTTGGGAGGCTGAGGCACAAGAATGACTTGAAACCGGGAGGCAGAGGTTGCAGTGAGCCAAGACCACACCACAAAAAAAGATAAAAGTTTTTTTGTTTTTTTTTTTTTTTTTGAGACAGGGTCTTCACTCTGTCGCCCAGGCTGGAATGCAGTGGTGTGGTCACGGCTCACTGCAGCCTCAAACTCCTGGTCTCAAGCGATCCTCCCACCTCAGCCTCCCAAGTAGCTGGGACTACTGGAATTACAGGTGTGCACCACTAGCTTGGCTAATGTTTTCTGTATTATTATTATTTTTTTTTGAGATGGAATCTTGCTCTGTCGCCCAGGCTGGAGTGCAGTGGCGCGATCTCGGCCTACTGCAAGCTCCACCTCCCGAGTTCACGCCATTCTCCTGCCTCAGCCTCCCGAGTAGCTGAGACTACAGGCGCCCGCCACCATGCCCGGCGAATTTTTTTTATATTTTTCGCAGGACAGGGTTTCACCGCGTTAGCCAGGATGGTCTCGATCTCCTGACCTAGTGATCCGCCCGCCTCAGCCTCCCAAAGTGCTGGGATTACAGGTGTGAGCCACCGCGCAGGCCTGTTTTCTGTATTTTTTTTAGAGACAAGGTGATACTATGTTGCCCAGACTGGTCCCAAACTCATGAGCTCAAGCAATCCTCTGGCCTTGGCCTTCCAAAGTGCTGGGATTACAAGTGTAAGCCACCACACCCAGCCAGATGTTGAAGTCTTAACTCCCAGTACTTCAAATACGACCTTATTAGGAAATAGGGTCATTGCAGATATAATTAGTTAAGATGAGGTCAGGGCCCTAGTTCAATATGATTGGTATTCTTATAAAAAGAGAAAATTGGACACACATACACACAGAAAGAAAGCCAAGTGAAGATGAAGGCAGAGAACAGGGCGATTCTTCTATAAGCCAAGGAATGACAAAGATTGCCGGCAAACCACCACCAGAAGCCAGGAGAGAGGCATGGAACAGATTCTTCCTCACGGTTCTCACACAACTCTCATGACACCTTGATCTGGAACTTCTAACCTCCAGAATTGTGAGACAACCAATTTCTGTCATTTAAGCCAGTTTGTGGTACTTTGTTACAGTAACTCTAGCAAACGAATATAGAGGATATCAGGGGATGGGCTACACAAGTCACCTATACTTGCCGGCTTCCCGTTCTCCCTATTTCATTCTTTCCGCAACTCCTCCAAAATGGATCTCAAGCACCCACTTTCCTGATCCTGCTCTCTCCAAAGTCATCGGTAATTTGATTTTCAATGGCCAAATCTGACCCTTTCTGTCATCATTCCACTTGACTACATATATTAGGGTATCTCCCACTTCAAGATCCATGTCTGGATAATTTCCATTGCCTTCCTTCATTCATTTATTATTATTATTATTTTGAGACAAAGTCTCCCTCTGTCACCCAGGCTAGAGTGCAGTGGCGCGACCTCGCTCACTACAACCTGCGCCTCCCAGGTTCAAGCGATTCCCCTGCCTCAGCCTCCCAGGTAGCTGGGATTACAGGTGTGCACCACCACACCTGGCTAATTTTGTACTTCTAGTAGAGACAGGGTTTCGCCACATTGGCCCGACTAGTCTTGAACTACTGACTTCAAGTGATCTGCCCGCCTTGGCCTCCCAAAGTGCTGGGATTACAGGAGTGAACCATGACAACCTGCCCAAATCCTTTATTTTTAAATGTACAAATTCCCTGAGGCTATACCCTTTATCCTTCTCTATAGCTACCACCAGAAGTTGCAAATTATTGCCATATCCCCCCCCTCAGATGTTTTATTTGGTCCTTCCCTACACAGAAACCCCACAGGTACCACAATGCCTAGCAGATGAAGTCCAAAGTCTTTAGCTTAACATTTAAGACCCTGACCAACTTGACATGAGACAACCTTTTCTATGTTTTCTGGGAATTCCCCACCTCTAACCTAAGCATATCCAATTCCTTATTTTCCAAGGTAATTGGAAATAGAGAATGCAAAGGCTTCAAGTCAAAGATAATAACATTATCTGTAAGCATCGGAGTGGACTTTAAGCTAATGACTGAAAATGATTTTTCCAGCCTCTTTCTGGGACAGTATAGCGTATTGTTTAGATTGCAGGGATTAGTCAGATAGTTTGAATCCTGGGCTCCCCTACTTATTATTGGCTGCATGCCTTTGGGCAAGTTTCTAATCTTTCTGACCCAGTTTCTTTTTTCTGTAAAGGGAAGATGGGGTATCTATCTGCCTTATGGGATTAAGGATTGAACTCGATAATGTATGTAAACTTTTTTTTTTTTTTTCAGACAGAGTATCGCTCTGTTGCCCAGGCTGGAGTGCAGTGGCTCGATCTCGGCTCACTGCAAGCTCCGCCTCCCGGGTTCACGCCATTCTCCTGCCTCAGCCTCTCGAGTAGCTGGAACTACAGGCGCCCGCCACCAAGCCCGGCTAATTTTTTGTATTTTTAGTAAAGACGGGGTTTCACCGTGTTAGCCAGGATGGTCTCGATCTTCTGACTTCGTGATCTGCCCGCCTCGGCCTCCCAAAGTGCTGGGATTACAAGCGTGAGCCACCGCGCATGGCCTGTAAATTGTTTTAACACAGTAGTTAGATGGTCCATAAATGGTACCATTATTACTTTTATGATTGCTGCTCCACCTCTGAGCACATTCATACAATTCACTCAAGTCATTATTAGAGCACTAGATTGAGTGCGAGTCAGACCTGGATTCCCACAAACTTCTTTGTATGACCTCGGGCACATCCCTTCCCTGGGCCTCCGTTTCTCCATCTGTAAAATATGGATTTGTTGTCGGGGTGGGGAGGCTGCACCACGCACAGGTTAGACTAATGGATCTCTAAGGTCCTCACATCTTTAAAGCCCCAAGGGGATAAGCCACAGTGCCTCCTGTAGGGCAGTCTAAGCTTATCTTCCAGATAGGCAGGTTTGAATACCGATCCTTTTTCTTGACCTTAAGGAATTCATTCACCCTTTTCAACCTCATTTTCCCTGTTTGTAAAACAACAGCAAACGAGACAAACACACGTTACTTCCTTTCTAGCAGGGTTCCTACCCGGCGCCAAGCAAAAGTGGAATGTACCCTAAGTAGCTCTGGCCTTCTTCCTGCTCCCAAGCTTCCCAATTCCGTCCCCTGCCCCGCTGCCGCCCGCGGCTCTCCTTCCCCTTCTAGGAACGGCTCAAGCGCCTTGGGCACTCCATCGGGTTCTGCACCGAGTTCTGCATCATAAATACGACTCTCGTGTAGGATTTAAGTGTGAACTTCTGCAGGTTCTCGGACCCTGAAGCACCCGGGGCCAGACATTCCGAGCTCGCGGCGGTGGAAGGCACGCAAAAGGGCGAACCGAGACGACTCCAGGACGCTGAGGCAGCGCAGGCCCCACCCGGCCCCGCCCTGCCCCGCCCTGTCCCGGCCGGCTTTCCAGTACTAGTCCTCTGGCGCCGGCTCCCAGCCCCTCTCGTACCCTTCAAATCGCGCTCCGCCGCTAGACTCTCGTGATAGCTGAGACTTTCCCCGGAAGGCCCGCCCCCTTCGCCGGAGAGGCCAATGGGCTAGGGCAACGGTTGCGACGGTTGGATTTTGAAGGAGCCAATAGGCGCTCGGAGCGGAGAGTTTAAGAGGCGTAAGCCAGGCGTGTTAAAGCCGGTCGGAACTGCTCCGGAGGGCACGGTGAGAGGTGGTGGGGCTGAGCCGAGGTGGGGCCGTGGCCAGGGGGAGGGGGTGCTAGGCCGGAAGGGGCTGCAGCCGAGGGTGGCCCTGATTTTGTGGCCGGCCAGGAGCGAAGGGGTCCCTTTCTGTCCCCTGAGCACCGTCGCCTCCTTTCCTCCAGGGCTCCGTAGGCACCAACTGCAAGGACCCCTCCCCCTGCGGGCGCTCCCATGGCACAGTTCGCGTTCGAGAGTGACCTGCACTCGCTGCTTCAGCTGGATGCACCCATCCCCAATGCACCCCCTGCGCGCTGGCAGCGCAAAGCCAAGGAAGCCGCAGGCCCGGCCCCCTCACCCATGCGGGCCGCCAACCGATCCCACAGCGCCGGCAGGACTCCGGGCCGAACTCCTGGTCAGTGAGGTGCCAAAGGAACTGAGTGAGAGCAGCCTTCATACTTTCTCCCTGGGGAGCCTGGTCAGACTGTCTTCTCTTTCTCCGCCCCAGGCAAATCCAGTTCCAAGGTTCAGACCACTCCTAGCAAACCTGGCGGTGACCGCTATATCCCCCATCGCAGTGCTGCCCAGATGGAGGTGGCCAGCTTCCTCCTGAGCAAGGAGAACCAGCCTGAAAACAGCCAGACGCCCACCAAGAAGGTATGTGTCCCAGAGGGGCTTAAGGCACGGGACCTGACTGTTCTTTGGATAATACCATCTTGCTCCTTCACTACCCTTTATGCCAGGAACATCAGAAAGCCTGGGCTTTGAACCTGAACGGTTTTGATGTAGAGGAAGCCAAGATCCTTCGGCTCAGTGGAAAACCACAAAATGCGCCAGAGGGTAAGACCCGAAGTTCCTGGTTCCTGGAGGGAGGTGTCAGTTCATCTCCAGGGCTGAGCACAGATATCTGTCTCCTCTTCCTATCTAAGATTGAGGGCAAGGGAGGTGTTGATTTTCCCAGCGTCTAGACTCACTCCGTTGCCACAGGTTATCAGAACAGACTGAAAGTACTCTACAGCCAAAAGGCCACTCCTGGCTCCAGCCGGAAGACCTGCCGTTACATTCCTTCCCTGCCAGACCGTATCCTGGATGCGCCTGAAATCCGAAATGACTATTGTAAGTGCATCCTTATCCTCGCCTCATGCATGGAGAAAGAGGGCCTGGGACCACACAAACAAGGAAGCTCATGCTCTTCTCTCCACCTCTGACAGACCTGAACCTTGTGGATTGGAGTTCTGGGAATGTACTGGCCGTGGCACTGGACAACAGTGTGTACCTGTGGAGTGCAAGCTCTGGTGACATCCTGCAGCTTTTGCAAATGGAGCAGCCTGGGGAATATATATCCTCTGTGGCCTGGATCAAAGAGGGCAACTACTTGGCTGTGGGCACCAGCAGTGCTGAGGTGCAGGTGAGACGTGTCCAGTGCTGTCATTCTCACCAGTCCCAATGGGCTTGCACAGCTGGAGGATATTAATGCCAAGTCCCAATCTCTGATCCTAGTGGGCTTCTCTCTCTAGCTATGGGATGTGCAGCAGCAGAAACGGCTTCGAAATATGACCAGTCACTCTGCCCGAGTGGGCTCCCTAAGCTGGAACAGCTATATCCTGTCCAGGTCAGTGGTTTTTGTTGGTCTATGGTAGTCTGATATTTGCCCACCCTCCCCTTGACTGTACACCCCTGAACTGAACCAGCTCTGGCTTGCTTGCATTTGGTGCTGCCACAGAACCTGATTCCCTTCTTTCCTCCTCCAGTGGTTCACGTTCTGGCCACATCCACCACCATGATGTTCGGGTAGCAGAACACCATGTGGCCACACTGAGTGGCCACAGCCAGGAAGTGTGTGGGCTGCGCTGGGCCCCAGATGGACGACATTTGGCCAGTGGTGGTAATGATAACTTGGTCAATGTGTGGCCTAGTGCTCCTGGAGAGGGTGGCTGGGTTCCTCTGCAGACATTCACCCAGCATCAAGGGGCTGTCAAGGTGAGTAGGGTTGGGCTGAAGCCTCTGCAGACCCTCACCTATAATCTGGGGACTGTTAAGGGGAGAAGGGATGGTAGGATTGGACTGGGTTAATCTGTGACCCCTAGAGCTCCTTGTCTGGCTCTAGTACCTGCTGACCCCACCTTTATTCCATCTAGGCCGTAGCATGGTGTCCCTGGCAGTCCAATGTCCTGGCAACAGGAGGGGGCACCAGTGATCGACACATTCGCATCTGGAATGTGTGCTCTGGGGCCTGTCTGAGTGCCGTGGATGCCCATTCCCAGGTAATCTTTTGCCTGTTCCTGCCTCTCCCACATGCATTCTTACCGGGCAACTACATTCACTCCAATGGCTTCACCAACTCTATGCCCTGGTGATTCCCAAACTTCTAACTCAGCTCTCACTCATGAGCTTCATTTCCAACAGTCTGTGGCTATCTCCAATCCTATGTCCTATAGGCACCACCACCTTGATCTGTCCCAAATTAACCTTGTCACTTCCCCTTGCCTCCCTGAAATGTGTTCCTTCCTGTCTCACATTGCTTTGGAATGGCAGAACCTGCTCAGAAATCTGAGAAACCTCCTAGAATTTTTCATCCTCCTCACCAGGATCTATCAGTTTTACCTCAAAATATCATTGACATCTGTCCCCTCCCCTCAGCCTCATCCTTCCAAGTGGAGGCCCACTACAATGGCTTCCTCACTGGTGTCAAGCATTCTTTGTTATCTCCTGCAATGCATCCTCCATGCTGTGGTCTGTTATACTGTACTGTCCTTAAACCTGTGATGGCTTCCCATCACTTATGGCATATAATCCAAATCCATTAGAAAGATACTTGAGGCTCTCTCCTTCCACTCCCCCCACATTCAGCCTTCACTGTAGATATGGACTCTAGAGCCAGATGGCCCAAGTTAAAATTCTGGCTCTGTCATCTACTAAACTTGAATGTGACCTTTGGCAACCTATTGAACTTCCTTCTGATTGATTCCTCATCTATCCAATGGATAATACAGATGCTCCCTGATTTAAGTCCCAGTAAACCCACTGTAAAGGTAAAAAATGGTTACATCAGCGAGTGTCTATAATTTGCCTCTCAAGGAACTTTTGTATGGACTATGATCATTCAACTCTGAGTCTGGAGCATGTGGCAGGGTGCCTAACACTAGAATGGGCTCAGTTCTGATTTAAGTAGCCTTGGCTATATGTCATGCCCACACCAGCTCCTCTCCACAGGTGTGCTCCATCCTCTGGTCTCCCCATTACAAGGAGCTCATCTCAGGCCATGGCTTTGCACAGAACCAGCTAGTTATTTGGAAGTACCCAACCATGGCCAAGGTGGCTGAACTCAAAGGTAAGTGGCTAGGTGAAAAGCCGGACATAAAAGGCCACATAATGTATGACTGAAATGTCCAGAATAAGCAAATCCAGAGAAAAAACACATTAATGGTTGCCAGGGGCTGAGAGAGGGTAATGGGAAATGTTGAAAATGTCTTAGAATTAGTTTTAACAGTTGTACAATTTTGTGAATATACTAAAAATCACTAAACTGTACACTTTAAAAGGATGCATTTTATGGTGTGTGAATTATATCTCAGTAACACCATTGAAAAAAAAGGGAGGAGGCCAGGCACGGTGGCTCACGCCTGTAATCCCAGCACTTTGGGAGGCTGAGGCGGGCAGATCATGAGGTCAGGAGATAGAGACAATCCTGGCTAACATGGTGAAGCCCTGTCTCTACTAAAAAACACAAAAAATTAGCCAGGCGTGGTGGCAAGCACCTGTAGTCCCAGCTACTCGGGAGGCTGAGGCAGGAAAATGGCATGAACCCAGGAGGCGGAGCTTGCAGTGAGCCAAGATTGCGCCACTGCACTCCAGCCTGGGTGACAGAGCAAGTCTCAAAAAAAACAAAAAGGTAGGTGGGTGGCCCAGTGCCTCCTTTATGGCTATGGCTGCATCAGCATTCGTATGTACTGTTCTCATTTGCTCCAGGTCACACATCCCGGGTCCTGAGTCTGACCATGAGCCCAGATGGGGCCACAGTGGCATCCGCAGCAGCAGATGAGACCCTGAGGCTATGGCGCTGTTTTGAGTTGGACCCTGCGCGGCGGCGGGAGCGGGAGAAGGCCAGTGCAGCCAAAAGCAGCCTCATCCACCAAGGCATCCGCTGAAGACCAACCCATCACCTCAGTTGTTTTTTATTTTTCTAATAAAGTCATGTCTCCCTTCATGTTTTTTTTTTAAATCTGTTTCAGCTAATGCCTTTCTTCTTTCATGACCTATGTCCCAGCAGCCTTCCTAGGGGCTCTACTCTACTGGGATCAGAGAGCTAGATATGTCCTGTGGGAGCCTGGACCATCCATCCCTCTTGTTTGTGGACAGGGCTAAGCGTGTTGTGTTCCCCCACCTCCTCTGTTCACATACGTATACACACAGCCTCCGTGGTTTCCTCTGTCACTTTTAATTAAGACACAAGTTGAGTAAGCAGCCTCCACAGGCTGTATTCCCAGGCCCCCGCCCACCCTGACCTTTGGCCCAGAAGCTACTGCTTCAGTGTGTGGGGTGGAGGAGTGAGACTGGGTCCACAGTGACATTATTGCTGACCTCTTCTGTGTGAGGAAAAAGGCCACGAGACCCTTTGTGGGGCCAGCCCTGAGTGCTCCTCTCCCAAGTTTTAAGGCAGGGAGGGGGAAATAACTGTACAGCCCTTTTAGCCCCCAGCTCTGGAGTGGCAGACAGCAATGAGGCCACATCCCTGGAGCTGCCCGGGGGAAGTGGGTGAGGAACCAAAGCCGTGGTCCCTGTAGAGCAGCTGTGGGGAGGGGAGGGCCAGTCCCCTGCTCAGTCCTGACCACATAAGCCTTGGTCACAGGTGTAGGTGGAGAGGGCACTGACGGACACTGCCCTAAGGTGCAGTCCTGAGGCACTTAGGTGGGCGCCTATCTAGGCCATGCTTCTCAGTTGGCCTTGACCTTGGCAATACCTGGAGCTCCATTTTGCTGAAGTGCACGGGGCAGCCGCTTGCCCTTGGTATAAGAGTGATACCAGAAGTTGGAGAACAGCATGAAGAAGATGGTGCCATACATCCAGATGAGGTGAATAATGACTGGGTACTGGTAGTTACAGCTGGACATAAAGTAGTACTGGGAGATGTGCAGTGAGACCAGGACAAACTGGATCTAGGATAGAGAAAGACCAGGGTCAGAGGGAATAGTGAGAGGACTAGAGGGGAAGAGGGGGTAGAGAAAGAGACAAACGTTGAGTAGGGAGAGATGGGGTCAAAGGTGAGACAGACTGGATAAAGGCAGGATCCAGGCTAGGAATGTGGGGGGATGGTTATAGGTAAGTCAGGCCAAGCCCCTCACCAGCTGAATGGCTGTCATGTGCTTTTTCCACCAAAGGTAGGGTTGTGCCACAGGGCCAAAGGCAGATAATCCGTAGTACAGGTACATTATGACATGCACGGAAGAGTTTATCATGGCATGGAAAGAGCCCATTCCTCCTGTGAGTGGACAATAAGACAGGGTCAGCAGAGTCCAGCCTCTGGTGCCCACCCTTTCCCATAGTGGCCTTCACCACTCACCCGGGGCAATCTTTACCCCCCACCACCAGCTCCAGGGAAGCACAGAGTGATGGAAGACATGTAGGAAGGTCACCTGCCCGTCTTTCTTTCGGAGAATAAAGATCACCTGAGAGAAGAGTGAGGGAAGGGGATTCAGAACCTGGGCTTCTCCACCTCATTCTCCCCTCAAGTTCTCACATCTCATATAACTACTCACTGTGTCCATCAGCTCAATGAACTTGGAGAAGAGGAAGAGCCAGGCCACCCGAACCATCTGCAAGAAGTTGGGATAGCCTTAGGACCTCATACACTATTCTAAGAGCCTCCCTAAACTGGGCCTTGAGCACAGGCCCCAAACTGGTCATATCTACCAGGTTGCTTATGACCTAGCCCCAGCCCCTACTTACCCTAAGTGCCTCAGGGCTGTTGGAATAGTCCACAGGGTCACAGCGCCAGGTATAGGTGCTCAGCCAGCCCGACATCAGGAACTGGGAAGGGATGTGGATTAGACCACCAGAGTTCTCCCTTCCCAGCCATCCCTCCCCTTCGCTAGCTGAGGACATGGATCTGAACCTCTCTGGAAAGGAGAAATGCCATGCTCTGGCTCTATGGCCTGCTCCTTATCCTGCTGACAGAAATTAAAGCCCGGCATCCCAGGGGCCCACCTCATAGACAATGTAGAGGGAGAGTGCCACCAGTGAGAAGTTGTAGACAATCATGAAGCCACGGAGCTGGAAGGGCTTCCGATTAGCCATGATGCGAGGCCCAAGTGAGAGAACGAAGTACACGTAGGTCAGGAGAATGGAGGTCATTAGCAAGGGGGACCCCATCAGAGGGTAGCCCTGGATCCGGGGATCTATGAATAAGGGTCAAAGGAATCAGGAAGAGTCACAGGGTTCGAAGGGTCTTCATTTGAAGGGTCTACAGACATGAGGTCAGGTCACAGGATCAAGGGTTTCATAGGAACTCTCCATTAGAAGACAGCCGTAGATCCAGGGATCCCGGGAAAGAAGGAAGGAAAGGGCTGGTGGATAGCGTCTTACCTGCGTGCTTCATCACCTCTTGGTACAAGTTCACAACAGCCTCCATCCTGGCTAAGGACTCTGGGGAGGTACAGAGGGCGGATGTCAGACAGATCCCACTGCACACCCCCATCCCACAGAGATAAGACACAGAACCAGACAAGACACCTGCAATGCCTCATTGCAGAAAGGACAGAACAGTGAAAGGAAGGAATTACTGGGAACTAGGGGGAGGAGGCAGTTTGGTTGAGGCATCTGCTCCCCACACATCCTGCTTGCCTGGGAAGAGCTGTTCCACCCTTCCTCTCCACACCTTACTCTCCTCTCCTCTCCACAGTTTTACTTCCTGGCCTCCCTTCCCCTCTTCCTCCACAAGATAACTCTCAATTCCAGGTCTCTTACTGGAGAATCTTACCTTCTCACCAACAGGGAGCTCTTGAACTCCGTCTCCCTTCCTCACCCGAGTCCCTCACCTCCCCAGCTCTGGGTCTTTCTTCTCTCCAGGGATTCTCCCCTTCAATCTCTCCTCTCCTGCCCTCTCCTCTTCCCATCCCTCTGGACCCTTCCTGAACTCTCTTCTCCCCAGGGTCCCTCCTGTCCCTGCCAGGACTCTCACCTCTCTGGGCCCTTCTGTCCCTCCAGAACCTTATCCTCGGATTCCTCCTTGCCTGTGCTGGGACACTTATGTCCCTACGATTCTCCTCTGCCTTTCCTGGGACTCTCACCTCCAGCCTCTCCTCTCCAGCGCTCTCCTCTCTCCTCTCGCAGAGCCCTTCCTCTCCTGGAGCCTGGCTCTTTGAGACTCCTGCCCCGGCGGCTCCACCTGTCTGACTAGATCTGGCAGCAGCCCCGCCCTCTGCCCGCCCCTGCTGTACTGTGCAGGGGGTGGAGGGTGGGTCCGGGCCACAGGTCAGTGCCTGGGGGAGCAGGACCCACCAGGATTGGGAAAGCCAAGTAAAGCCCCAGACTCGCCACCCACCCACCCACGTGGGACCAGCCTGATGAGCTAAGGTCCTAGATTCTGAGCCAGAAACCTCCTCTGACCCCAGCCCCAGCCCCAGCCCTGGCCCAAAGCACTGCTGAAAATCCACACCCAGCATCCTCTCCTAAGCCGGCCATAACTGCTCAGTTTGTCCTACTTCAGAATGGGTACAATCACTCTTCCCTTCCTGGGAAGGGCAGGGAAGCCAGTGGCATGTGAAGGGGTTGGGGAGTGGGGGAGGTCGCAGGAATCTTCCCCTCCCTCAGGGAGGGGCCCCGTTGGGCTAGGCCCCCTCCCCCTCAGGGCCTGAAGGAATGTCGGGGGAAGGCTCCCAGGGACACAAAAGCCTCTGGCCAGACCCAGGAGAGCATGGTACTGACAGTCCCTGAGGGACAAGGCATTCTTGGAACAGAGCAGGGCCCAGGGCAGCAGGTGCCCCAGACTCCCTGCTTCCAGAGAAGCACCTCTGCAGATGCCAAGTGAAGAGGCGCACCTCTGACACCTCCCTGCCCCGCACACCCCTCACCTCCAGGAGGCCCGGCTTCTTTAGGCCCACCGTGGTCAGGCCCCAAGCCTGCGGTCCACACCCACCTCTCACCTAGCTCTCCACCCCCAACAGCGAAGGTGCCACGCCGAGGGCTGGCACACACGTCTCCTGCCTGACACACCACGCAACACCTCCGTGGGCTGACACGCATGGCTCCCGGCCCTCACGCAGCTCGGCCACCGCCCAGGCACACGCACGGGCTCACCCGCGGGGCCACTCACACACGTGTGCGCGCTGCCTGGCCACGCTCGGATCCCCTCCTTACTTGCTCCCCCACCATCGGGCTTGCTGGCCGCCCATCGCCGGCAGGGCCCAGGCCGGGGCGAGGGCGCCAACACAGGTTCCTCCCTGACACATGGGAGCCAGCCAGCCTGTTATCTCTCAACCACCAGCCCCCAATATCAACCCACACACCCGGCAGGCCAGGAGGGACCAAGGCTCCTGGGAGGACCTCTCCCCAAGCTGCAGGAAAATCTGGGTGTGTCTCTCGTCGGGGAACTCAGCCCGTCCCTTCCTTCCTTTAAGATGGATGGAAGGGAAAAGGTGCCTGGCAAAGTTAGGGTAGCGGGGGGAGGGAGGGGAGAGGAGGAGGGAGAGAGGTAAATGCAGGGGTGGTGGAGGAAGGCCCGGGTGTAGGCAAATGGGGGCCAGAGACGGGGGTGTGGGGGAGGGAGGGTGCTGGCGAGGCCCGGCCCCAGGGAGCTGGGACCTCCCACCCACTGGCCCCGGGAACACCCTCGCCCACAGCCTGGGCAGGGCAGGGCAGGGCTGGGCCGGGCTGGGCCGGGCTGGCCAGGCAGGGGGCGCCGGCACGTGGAGAGTCCGTGGAAGGTCCAGACTCACCCGTAGGGGCCAGGCGGGCAACGGCGGAGCGCTCGGAGGGAGCAGGGCCAGAGAGAAGTCCCCGGGGCCAGCCTGCCTGCCTGCCACTTCCTCATCTGCTGGGCCGACTTTCTGTCACCAGAGGGGGAGGGGCGGGCCGCGCGGGGGGCGCCCGCTGATTGGGCGGCCGGCAGGGCCGGAGGCCGGCAGCGCAGGCTCGGCCGGGGCGGGGGCAGGGGCGTGCCGCCGGGTCCCAGCAGGAAGCGCCGCGGCCCGGGCTTCCCACCCCTTCCCTCGCCGCCCGGGCCCGCCCTGGCCAGTTGCAGCGGCCTGGCCACCTCAGGAGCACGCTGTCTCTTCCCGACGTGCAGCCCGGGGCCCGGCCCTGTCCCCGGGTGACTGCTCCCCGGCAGGACTGCACATCTGTGGCGGCAGGCCCAGCTCAGGGCTCGGGGGAGGTTCGGCCTTGCCTTCAAAGAGCTCCCTCTCCTGCAGGGCGAGCGCAGAGCGGCGGGCGAGACCACACTGCGTGTGCTGAGGGCGCACTGGTCTTAGCGGGAGGGAAGCCTCACGAGCCTGTACACTTGGAGGAGCCCTAAGCGTTAGGATCTGCTGCGAGGGCTGCCTGGAACGGAGGTGAGAGGATACAAGTGGCCCGGGGCAAGCATAGTGAATCACTGGCTAATCTGGCCTTCGAGGTAGTGAAAGGAAAAAAGGGAAATGAAGCTGACTGTGGCTGAATGTAGTAGGTCTTGAAGGCCAAATGGGGCGATCTGATTTTTATTCTAGAAGCAGAGGAGAAACTAAAGATTTTTTTAGGAGACTATATTCAAGCTTGTATCATTAGTTCATCAGACGTTTATGGACCACCCACCGTCCGTGCACTCACGGGGCTTGCAGTCTATCTGGCTGAATCACTTTGGCAGCCAGTGTGAGGAGGGCACAGAAAGGAGACCAGGTGAGAAAGCCAGCCTGACCAAAGAAGATGTGGCAACTGATGGGATTGGAGGAGGCGGACAATGTCCTCCAGACAGCTGGACTGGCTCTCTATATATTTATTTATCTCTTCTACACCTCCAGCCCCCACCTCCACACTCACTAACTGGACTCAACTAGTGGGGGCAAAGGACAGACTAGATTTTAGTGAAATGGAATTTCTACCTCCAGCGGCCCCTGGAACAGTAGCACACAACGATCTAACAACTGCTTGTATGATTGGATGGTGTAAGTGCGGACAGAATTAGGGAATTTGGGCTACTCTGGGCACACTGCTTATGGGGCAGCCCTGCTCCGCAAGGAAAATAAACACATTTTTTTAAAAAAAGGCCGGGCGCGGTGGCTCACGCCTGTAATCCCAGCACTTTGGGAGGCCAAGGCAGGCGGATCACGAGGTCAGGAGATCGAGACCATCCTGGCTAACACGGTGAAACCCCATCTCTACTAAAAATACAAAAAATTAGCCGGGCGTGGTGGCGGGCGTCTGTAGTCCCAGCTACTCGGGAGACTGAGACAGAATGGTGTGAACCCGGGAGGCAGAGCTTGCAGTGAGCCGAGATCGCACCACTGCACTCCAGCCTGAGCAATAGAGCAAGACTCTGTCTCAAAAAAAAAAAAAAAAAAAAAAAAAAGGCCGGGTGCGTTGGCTCACGCCTGTAATCCCAGCACTTTGGGAGGCTGAGGCGGGCAGATCACCTGAGGTCAGGAGTTTGAGAACAGCCTGGCCAACATGGTGAAACCCCGTCTCTACTGAAAATACAAAAATTAGCCAGGCATGGTGGCGCAAGCCTGTAATCCCAGCTACTCGGGAGGCTGAGGCAGAAGAATTGCTTGAACCTGGGAGGCGGAGGTTGCAGTGAGCCGAGATCAAGCCACTGCACTCCAGCCTGGAGTGCAGGGCAAGACTCCGTCTCAAAAAAAAAAAAAAAAGGGAATTCGGAGACCAGCCTGGGCAACACAGTGAAACCCCATCTCTACTAAAATACATTTAAAAAAAAATTAGCTGGGCATGGTGGTGTGCGCCTGTTGTCCCAGCTACTTGGGAGGCTGAGGCAGGAGAATTGCTTGAACCTGGGAGGCAGAGGGTGCAGTAAGCCGAGATCATGCCACTGCACTACAGCCTGGGCAACAGAGCAAGACTCGTCTCCAGAAAAAAAAAAAAAAAAAAAAAAGATGTTCATAAATGGTAGGATAGGCTGGGGATGGAGGCTCACACCTGTAATCCTAGCACTTTGTAAGGCTGAGGCAGGCAGATCACTTGAGCTCACAAGTTCGAGCCTGGGCAACATCGTGAGACCCCGGCTCTACAAAAAATACAAAAAATCAGCTGGGCATGGTGATGCATGCCTATAGTCCCAGCTACTCTGGAGGCTGAGGTGGGAGGATGACTTGAGCCCAGGAAGTGGAGGTTGCAGTAAGCCAAGACTGCGCCACTGCACTCCAGTCTGAGTGATAGAAACCTTGTCTCTAAATAAATAAATAAATAAATAAATAACTCCACAAATGGTGGGATATAGCTATGTGAAAGTTTAGTCCTAGAGTTTAGGTAAGAGGTCTGAGCCAAAGTACAGATATGACCCAGCCTATTAGTACCCATCCTTGAAAGGAAATGGCAGAATTCACTGTTTAAAAGGCTCCAACACTAAGGTCCTAACTGATCTGGTCCCTGCCTTGTCCTCTCATTCTACCTGTGACACTCTCCTGGGCCCCACCCAGTGCTTTAACCATTCCCCGAGGATGTCAGCATCTTTCATACCCCCCTCAACCCTCAAACCTTGCCCCCTGGCTCAGCACAAGGAACAGTCAGGTCTCCTAGGCAGTAAATCACTCCCTCCTCTTGCTCCCACAATTGTAATTATATGCTTATCTGCATCGCAAAACTATAAGCTCCTCTCAGCATGGGCCATGTTTTGTCATCTCTGTATCTCCAGCATCTGGCCCGTTATCTGGTACTCAGTTGGCCCTCTACCTTTGTTGAATGAATGTTAGTGTGAATGGGATGACGTGGGAAAGGAAGAGAGGCCAAGGGAACCAGAGTCAAGTGGAGAGGACAATAAGAATTAGAAAGCCTTTCCATTTCCCTTGGGAACAGTATCACTGAGTCCATAAATATTTATTGAAAGCCTGTGTTCCAGGTATACTCTAATGACTTCAGGTTCACACCTGACTCCAAAGCCATGAGTTTAAATGTTCCAATTAGTACCTGTGTGACCTTATGTAAGTTGCTGAACCTCTATAAAATTGGAGCAATAAGAGTTCCTATCTCATAGGATTGCTGTAAAGACTGAAAGAGATAACACATGTAAGGTGTTCAGCACTGTTTCTGTCTCAACATTTAATGGACAAGGTGGGAAAGTGCCCAAAGTATCAGGAAGGTACATACTTATATGTAGATTCATGAGCATTCTTTTAATAATCTTTCCTAAACAGTTACTGTGTGCAAACCACTGTTGTGAGAGCACTATTGAGAGATTTTGGATTAAATGTCCATCATAAGAGTGCACTAGAGACAAAGCAGACTATTATAGATGATGAAACTGTCCCAGAGGCCAAACACAGCAGTGATAGGAAACTTCAACTGTGTTTTTATTTACCTGGACCACATTTGTAAATGACCATGGCAGGCCCTCAATAAATGCTGACTGACTACATGAATGAACATGCTCAAAGACAGTTGTTCAGCTCTTGTCCCAGGTTCTATCATACCCCTCTCCCCCTTCCTGAGTTTCTTTTGTTCAGTTTGGCAAACAGTGAATGGATGTTTGCCAAATATTTGAGGATGCTCAAATATCTGATATAGACCACTTAGCCCCAAATCCTACCAAATGGCATCTTCATGGCCCTGGGGTTCCTGCAAAACACTCAGTCTGATGGAAAAGACAGACATATAGATGAGCAATTATATATGTGGTGAGTGTTCCCATAGAGATAAACCCAGAGGGTTATGAAAGCACTGGGGTGCGGGGGCACCTTAACTCAGTATGGAGGCTAATTCTTAAAGGTGATGCAAAAATGACACTTAATTGAGCATTAAAGGTCACTTTCTAGGCCGCGTAAGGTGGCTCATGCCTGTAATCCCAGCACTTTAGGAGGCTGAGGTCGGTGGATCACCTGAGGTCAGGAGTTCGAGACCAGACTGGCCAACATGGTGAAACCCTGTCTCTACTAAAAAATACACAAAAATTAGCCAGGCCTGGTGGCAGGCGCCTGAAATTCCAGCTACTCAGGAGGCTGAGGCAGGAGAACCACTTGAAGGCAGGAGGCGGAGGTTGCAGTGAGCTGAGGTTGTACCACTGCACTCCAGCCTGGGCGACAAGAGCGAGACTCCATCTCAAAAAAAAAAAAAAGAAAGAAAAAAAAGGACACTTTCTAGGAAGCAGGGAAAGGCATTCTAAGTGGAGCGAAGCATGTATGTGAAGGCATAGAAGCAAGAGATGTGGCGGGTTTGGGAACGCTAAGTAGTTTGGTATGACTCCAGTTCAGAGGGCATATGGGAGGGCAAGAAAGGTAGGCATGAGTCAGTTTATGAAGAGCCTTGTATGCCACAGCAAGAAGACTGGATTTTATTCTGTATATGTTTTTCAGCCCTGGCTGCAACTAGAATCAACTGGGGAGCTTTTAAAATATCAGTGCCTGGCTCTCACCTCCAGATTGATGCTAGATGGTTGTTCTTAATGGGAAGAGGCCAAAGCATGTTTATATGCTGTATGGAGAGTGACAATGGGATCCAGCATACACATGAAGAGAGTAGCCTCTGGCTAAGGAGAACGGAAATAGAGTAAGTTCGTCAGTGGAATGGGAGGAAATTGAGGGAGTTTTGTCTAAAGGAGTCTATTTTTTCCTTCAGTCAGATGTTAGGTAGTTGCTGAACATGGGGGATGGGTAGGTGATGGGATAAAGAATTGTAGGGAAGTGGTTCACTCTGGAGTAACTGATGATGGAATGCTGGGAAAGCTTAGTGAACAGCTAAGTGGAAGGCCCCACTGGGTGGGAGACCATAAGGAGTGTACCAGTTTAGAAGGCTGTGATGTTTTCCGCAGAGCTAAGTGAGTGGGAGTCAGGAGAGCAGAAATAGGACCATTTGGGATCTGCAGGGAAGCGAGATGGAAGGCCTTGCTTGGGAGAGGGTTCAGTGAAGGCTGAGTAGATGAAACTAAACCAAGGGTACACTGATAAACTGGATAAACTGAAGAGGTCAAGGAACTCATAGGTTTGATAAGGATGAAGGCCAGGTGTAGTGGGGAAAGAAAACCCAGTCCAACAACTAAAATTCCATCCATTTCATGGAGCCTTCCTGACTAATGGGAAATGAGGTGGCAACTTCCCCCAGGTCCCACCCTGTCTGACTCACTCCTCACTCACTGCTCTTCAAAGGGCCCGTCTCCATCCTCTTTCTCAAGAAGAGAAACCATGGATGTTGTTTCTAAAAGTTCAGCCTGAAAACCACTGTCTGTATGAACTCAATTCCCATGATTTTTTGAGGCTTTATATGTTTCAGCACAAATATTAAATGGAGGTAGGATAGAGAAGCAGAAATGGCAATGAGGAAAAAAATGGAAAAAGGTATGCCTGCATGTTCATGAGTGAGTCAGCAGAAGAGTGGAGGGAAAAGACAATAAGACACGGGGTATCAGCTATGAATAGGAACTGAAGGTCCAGATTGAAGGGCAACAGAACTGGCAGGTGGAGATGGAAGCAGCCTCCTGGGGGCTGTGTCAAGCTTCTCCATTCTCCATCCTGTAAAGGACAAAGGACACTTCCTACACAGTACCCACACAGAAGAGCTGATGGGAGGGTTAGCCTGTGAGGACGAGAGAGTGAAGATGAGGGCAAAGGGTTTGCCAGTTAATAATTCTGCATGTTTCTTGGGCCCCAGCCAGCTAGCTGGTATCCTCTTCCAAAGCAGGCTGGGACCTTGGCTGAAGGAACCAGGGCTGGAAAGACATCGGGCTGGCAGAGGGGAGAGACTGCATGCAAACATTCTTTGTATCTTCTGCAATTTGAGAGTTGGCCTGGAACCCTGAAAGTCAGGGCCAATGTCTGATCCATCAGTGGGTAACCAGTGCCTACATACTATGGGTATCATTCACTGTTCATTGAACTGAACAAAAGAAACTTAGGAACGGGGAAAGGGATGTGATAGAACCTGCAGGAAAAGCTCCGGAGAGAAAGGAGAGGCTTTTTGTTAGGGGGCAAACCAGGGGATGCTATCAAGATGGAGGAAAGGGAGTTAGCAAGATCCAGAAGACACGTGAGAAGGACCAAGAGGGGAATGAGAAGCTTATAATTCTATTAGTACTTTTTCTGGCAAGGATGAAGCCAGCTGCATTCCCTATGTTCGAATGTTTCCATCCTGTCAGGTAAGTTCTATGATCACCTCTTAATAGATAAAAAAAAAACTGGAATCAGAGGTTGAAGGCTTTGCTCAAGGTCACAGACCGGGTAAGGTGAAAGCAACACAGGTGTTTCAGGCTGAGGAAAAAGCACAGACAAAGGAATGGATATAGGAAAACACAGGACAGGTAGAGAATTGCAAGGGATTCTGTTTGGCTAAAGCAACAGTCCCCAACCTTTTTGGCACCAGGGACCAGTTTCGTTTTGTGGAAGACAATTTTTCCAAGGATGGGGGCTTGTGGTGATGTGGGGGGCAAGGGGCAGGGGGATGGTTTCAGGAGGAAACTGTTCCACCTCAGATCATCAGGCATTCATTAGATTCTCATAAGGAGTGCACAGCCTAGATCCCTTGCATGCACAGTTCACAATAGGGTTCCCACTCCTATGAGAATCTAATGCTGCTGCTGACCTGTCAGAAGGCGGAGCTCAGGCATTAATGCTTGCTGACTTGCCCACCACTCACCTTCTGCTGTGCGGCCTGGTTCCTAACAGGTCACAGACCAGTACTGGTCCATGGCCCAGGGGTTGGGGACCCTTGGGCTAAAGGATATGGCTAACGAAAGGCCTTCATATGATAGAAGGTTAATGAGTGGCCCCAGATCATGAAATGTTTTGAATTTTAAAAAATGAGTTTACTTTATATTGGGGTGTCTCTGAAGATTTTTTTTTTTTTTTTTGCGACAGAGTCTCACTCTGTCGCCCAGGCTGGAGTGCAGTGGTGCGATCTTGGCTCACTGCAAGCTCCGCCTCCTGGGTTCACACCATTCTCCTGCCTCAGCCTCCCGAGTAGCTGGGACTACAGGTGCTCGCCACCACACCCGGCTAATTTTTTGTATTTTCAGTAGAGACAGGGTTTCACTGTGTTAGCCAGGATGGTCTCGATCTCCTGACCTTGTGATCCGCCCGCCTCGACCTCCCAAAGTGTTGGGATTACAGGCGTGAGCCACCACGCCCGGCCCGTCTCTGAAGATTTTAAGTGGCAGGCTGATATGATCCCCACTGTATTTTAAAAAGACAAACTTGGGGACGGGCATAGTGGTTCACACTTGTAATCCCAACAATTTGGGAGGCCAAGGTGGGTGGATCAATTGAGGTCAGGAGTTAGAGACCAGCCTGGACCAACATGGTGAAACCCAATCTCTACTAAAAATACAAAATTAGGTGGGTGTGGTGGCGTGTGCCTGTAGTCCCAGCTACTTAGAAAGCTGAGGCAGGAGAATCGCTTGAACCTGGGAGGTGGAGGTTGCAGTGAACCAAGATCATACCACTGCACTCCAGCCTGGGCGACAGAGCAAGACTGTCTCAGAAGAAAGAAAGAAAAAAAGACAAACTTGGCAACAGCAAGGTATATTATCAAGAGGAAAGCAGAAGAAGGCAGGGATATCAGCTGGGAGCCAGCTCAGAGGTCTGGGTGTGACATAACAAAGGCCTGACCTAGAAGAATGGCAGTGAGAAGGAAGAAAAGGGGATACAACAGAAAGAGGACCCAGAACTGACAGCAGATGTCCAGATGGATAACTCAGGTGGGACAGGATGAAGAAAATGAATGCAGTTTGGGACATCCTGAGTTTGAGGTGAGATGGCCCATTCAACAAGCAATCTAAAACACAATACTGTGCATTCAGGAGAAAGGACAGAGCTTGAGAAAAAAATCTGAGGATTCTCTATACAGAGGTGAAACCACACAAAGTGGACTGGAGTGTGGTAGCTCTAGTTTTGGCTGTATTCAGAAACTTTCCCATCCCCTGCTTTCATTTCCTTTGAGAAATTCCCTACCCCATTGGCTCATTAATGCTGGTAGTCTCCCCTACTTCCTCCCAGTCCAAGCTCCTAATGGCACATAATCCAAGCAAAACCAGAGCTCTCCCATGAGATGAGTTCGAATAATGTAGAGTGGAGAAATGCAGAGACAGAGTCCAGACAACATTTGAGCCTCTGAGCCCACCTAGAGGCATCCACATAACCCAAATACAGCTGGTTCTCTTTTTTTTTTTTTTTATTAAGCCAGTTTAATTGTAATTTTGATTAGGCTAGTTTAATTGTAATGTCTTGCAATCAAAACAGTCTACTAGACCATCACATAAAAATGAGATTGCTCAGGAGAAAGTAAAAGAGACTAACAGTTACCACTTGAGTGTTGACTATTTGCCTGAAGGGCCTTTTTAAGAAGCTTGGACTTTATCTGGTAGAAAATTAAGAGCTACCTAAAGATTTAAATTTAACTTTAAATATGTTTTGTTGAAGGTGCTCTTTGAAGTTGGTACTATAATCCCATTCTATAGAGCTGGAAACTGAGGTTCTTGTAAGTGAAGTAACTTTCTAAGGCCACACAATGGATAAGTGTTCAAACCAGGATATGAACTTGAAAATAAATAAACTGCAATAGAACTATGGGTGCTAGAATGGAAGTATACAGGGCACAGGAGAGGTACAGTTTAAGAATGGTCAAGTGTACAGGGGAGGAAGTAGTAAAGACTTTACAGGAGTAGGTGACATGTGAACTGGAAGGATGAATTGTTTATCAGGTGAATAAGGGGTTTGGAGCAGGAAAGAGAGAGGGTATTCTGCGTAGGGCAGAGCATGTATAAGCCATGGAGGTATGAGGCAACACCTGACTCCCAGCTATTTCCTTATGGCTACAGCTGAGAGCACTTATGGCAAAGTGGCAAGAGTCGTAGAGTATGCCATGACAAAACAAAGTCTGAAGGACTGGTGGTCAGTGTGGCGGGAAGAGAGGCAAGCATGGCACCAAAGAGCTCCGGTTTTGATCTCCAGTGAATTACACACAGCCACCCACGAAGAACTGAGCCCGACCTAGCAAGCACAGACAAGCGAGGCAAGAATTCATCACAACTGCACAGAGAAAGCTATGTGTGGTGAAGGGCCTCCTTTAGGGACTGACTGTAGAAAAACTATGGAACTGAGTGGTTAGCTAGTCTAGACAGGGAAGAGATACAGTTCAGAAGGCATGAAAAAGAACATTTCAGGTGAGAGGTCTTATCATTTGGCCTCAAGTCAAAAGAACACAATTTCTTAATGAAAGAACGTAGGCAACAACTAGGTGGGAGAAATACAATTCACAAAACTAGATTTGAAATTGACTTATCATGTCAGGTAATCCAATGTAAAAATGCTCCAGTACCTACTCCACACATTACTAGGGAGATACCATGGGGGACGAAATATGCACAAAAAGCGTCTCCTGAGGCTAAGCTCCTGAGACATGAGCACAGGGGAGCTGCAGAGGGAAGGAGAGGTTATGACCTCTTAGAGGAATTGGTCAATCGTTTTTTTCAAGCAACAATCACTGAGAGCAGAGAGTTCCAGATGTTACCCTATGAATAGATAATATGTATTGTGCTTCTACTGTTGTCAGCATTATCCTAAGCACTTTATATATATTAACCCATTTAAACCTCACAGCAACCCTATGAAATAGCCATTATTATCGACCCCAGGAATAAGGAGGCAAAGGCATAGAGAAGTGAACTAACTTGCCCAAGGCCACACAGCTGGTAAGTAGCACAGCTAGGATTTGAACTGGGGCAGTCTGGCACGAAAACCTGCTTTTTAAATCAAAATGTTATTTTATACTACTTCTCCAAAGACAAATCATAATAGTAATAATAGTAGCACTACCATTTATAGTGTTTATGATATGGGCTAGATGCTATAGTATGCCAGGCACACACATTATCTTGCCTAAGATCACTCAGCTCTCAGGTGGAAGAGCTGGATTCAAAGTTCAGGATGCTTGAATCTGGGAGACAATAAAGTGCACCAGGAGCTAGAATAAGTTTGTACAAGGTACAAATGTGGAGCATAAAAGAGGAGGTAATTAATCTTACCTGGTGGGAGTGGTATTGAGTTGTGGGTTACTGGAAAACTTCACAACTTCACACAGGGGTGACTTTTTTTTTTCTTTTTTTTCTTTTTTTTTTTTGAGACAAGGTCTGGCTCTGTTGCCCAGGCTGGAGTGCGGCGGCACAACCACAGCTTACTGCAGCCTTGACCTCCCAGGCCCAAGCAATCCTCTCACCTCAGCCTCCCGAATGGCTGGGACCACAGGTGTGTGCCACCACACTTGGCTAATTTTTTAGTAGAGACAGGGTCTTCGTGTGCTGTCCAGGCTGGTCTCGAACTCCTGGGCTCATGCAGTCCTCACGCCTCAGCCTCCCAAAGTACTGGGATGACAGGCGTGAACCACTGCACCGGCAAGAGTGGGGTGACTTGTGAGCTGATTTTTGAAAGATGATTGGGTATTCATCAGACAGAATGATAGGGCAGTGTTCCATGCAGAGGGAACAGTGGGAATAAAGGAATGGAGGTTTGAAAGAGCTGTCACATTCAGGAAACTGCAAGCAATGTTGATGGCTTGGGAATTGAGTGGGTGGCATGACAATAAGAAGGAGGCAGGGGGCTGCATCACACAGAATCTTACTTGCCTTTCCAGAAAATCTGAGCTATTTTTTAAGTTTTTCCAATGAAGTAAATGTAATGGCCAAAAAGAGTAAATAAATATCCCTAGGGAATCTGGTGGCTTAGTCTGAAGCTGTTCAGACTAGTAGGAATTCTTTGAAGACTATTTTTTCTTAATAATGCATGCATGCTGGCTGGGTGTGGTGGCTCATGCCTATAATCCCAGCATGTTGGGAGGCTGAGGCAGGAGGATCACTTGAGCTCAGGAGTTTGAGACCAGCTTGGGCAATGTGGCAAAAGCAATCTCTACCAAAAATTAAAAAATTAGCCTGGTATGGTGGCGCACGCCTGTAGTCACAGCCACTTGGGGGCTGAGGTGGGAGGATCACTTGAGCTGGGAGATGGAGGTTGCAGTGAGCCAAGATCGCACCACTGCACTCTAACCTGTATGACGCAGTGAGACCGTGTCTCAAAATAAAATAATAATGCATGCTAAATGTGTGTTCTCTGTTTTAAATTACTCTTAAGTAAAATGAACATTCCAGGATGATTTTACCTTGTAATTTTCAGTATGCCTGGCACACCCACCCCTACCAACCCACCCACCAGGTATGTTGTCCATATGCCCCCATCTCTACCAAAAATACAAAAATTAGCCAGGTATGGTAGCGAGTGTCTGTAGTCCCAGCTACTTGGGAGGCTGAAGTGGGAGGATCGCTTGAGCCTGAGAGGCGGAGGTTGCAGTGAGCCAAGATCGCGCCACTGCACTCTAGTCTGGGTAACAGTGAGACAGACCATGTCTCAAAATAATAAAATAACAATACATGTTAAATGTGTATTCTGTTTTAAATTACCCTTAAAATGAACATTCCAGGAAGATTTTATCTTGTGATTTTCAGTATGTCTGGCACACCCACCCTACATGGGGAGTAAACTATCAAAAGGCTTTTAATCAACGGAATAATGTGATCAGATCTGCAGTTCAGAAAGACCTATCTGGCAGCCTTTTGGAAGACAAGTTAAAGTGGGCAGGACTGGAGATAAAGGATTTTAATCAGGGGAGTAATGTGATCAGATCTGCAATTTAGAAAGACCTATCTGTAGCCTTTTGGAAGATGAGTTAGAGTGGGCATGGCTAGAGATATGGAGTCTGAACAATACTTTTAGTAAGAGAGGCCTAGAGCCTAAACTGTAGGACAGGGTGGATGGACACTGGGGAGACAGAATTGGTAGGATTTAGTATCTGATTAGGTATGAGGGGGTTGGGGACCCAGAGGGAGAATAATTTAGAATGGTTTCCATATTCCTGGCTTAGAAGAGAAACAGGTGTGTAGGCTAGAATAACTGGATTTGGACATTCAACCAGCTGTGGATCATACAGGTAGAGATATCCATCAGGAATCTGCAGCTCAGCAAAGAGGTCTGAGCTGAAAATAAAACTCGCTTAAATTATGCACATAAAAGTGGTGGTCACAGAAAGCAGGTAGAAGAAGAAGAAAAGGGGGTTAAGGACAAGTCCTAGAGAATAACATTTAAGAAGCAGGAAGAAGTATAAAAGTCCAAAAGCTGCAGAGAAGGAATGGCCAGAGAGGAGGATGAACAAGGAGAGCATGTGCCATAGAAGCCATGGGGGAGAAAGAGACTAAAGGAAATGGTCAGCATTAAATGCTGCAGATACATTACTATGAGGATTGAAAAAACTCTGGATTTAGCCATTAGGTCAACAGTGATCTCTGAGTTTCTGAGGAGTGGTGGAAGTAGAAGCCCAAACACAGGGGTTGAAAAGTGAATGGGAGGTAAAAGAAACAGTGATTCTAAGCACTTTGTTTCAAGAGCATGGCGCGAGTGAGTCAGTGAGAGGGGATGTAGGGTTAAGAAGGATCTTTTAACATGGAAGAGACACTAAAATGGCACTATCTAAGGCCATGAAATGTAGCCCAGAGAAACTGGCAAAAAGAATGAAGGATAGACTGGGTGTGGTGGCTCACACCTGTAATCCCAGCACTTTGGGAGGCTGAGGTGGGAGGATCGCTTGAGCTCAGGAGTTTGAGACCAGCCAGGGCAACATAGAGACCCTGTCTCCATTAAAAATAATAATAATTTAAAAATTAGCTGGGCATGGTGGCACATGCCTGTGGTCCCAGCTACTTGGGAGGCTGAGAGGTGGGAGGATCACTTGAGCCTAGAGGACCACCTGAGTTGCAGGATCACAGTGAGAGGTGATTGTGCCACTGCACTCAAGCCTGGATGACAGAGTGAGACCCTGTCTCAAAAAAAAAAAAAAAAATGAACAAAGGATATCTACGTAGGGAATGTGGGCAAGAAAAGATGAAGAATCAAAATGACCACAAACTAGGGAAATTAGGGTGAGAATTAGGGAAAGCAGTGGAATGGCAGAGAAAACATAGGAAGACGAGCATCCCAAGGCACTTATATTTGATTCAGTAGGAAAGGTTATCTTCATGTGGAAGAAGTATAATTTATTGCCTATACTGGAGGAGTCTCTTTGGTACATGTATCTTGCCCAAGGAGAGAGAGATGTGTGAGGGGGAGGGCGACTTCTAACACACAAGGTATGTCAGAACTTGTAACTTGTGATAACTTTGTGGTAACTTACCATCTCTTTGATGAATCTTCACTTAGAGAAAGATGTTTTAGAAAACAGTTTCAAGGTTGTGGTCTACAAGGGTGTTGGTATGTTAAGGTGTAGGTGACAGCGAGGGAACTTCAGGAACAGTTTATAGGAGTCTGAGGGACTTGGGGGCTTATCTAGGAAAATTTTGGCCTATTTATGTAACAGTCATGCACCAAGGAAAACAAAACAAAACAAAATGCCTGGGGATAAATGGGTTTGAAAATCATTGCCACAGACTTTAGACCTAAAAAGGATCACTGGGATCACCAAGTGAGAAAACTGAGGCTTAGGGAAGTGAGATGCCTTGTCCACGATGTACTTAGGGAAGCTGCCATGTCCAAATGGCATGTGACTCATTGAGAGACCACAACAGGAACCCAAGAGCTGCCTCAGTGACACATGGAGCTCAAAAAAAAAGAGAAGTTAAAGGGAAGAAGAAAGGAACTTTGTCTTGTGGGACAAAACACATGCTGAAGTGATGGGGCACCATGGTCCCATCAGATGCGTTGGAGTTTGCCTTCTGTTCCAATCATAAAGCCCCATCTGCACAGTGGCAAGCCCTTTCCAAGGGTTAGTCCCCATGTGTTTGAGGTTTCCAGGCAAGAGCCACATCGAGCCTCCATAAGCAGGCACTGTGAACCCTCAAGACTGAACAGAAAAGGACCACATCCCCTGTTCCTACTCCTGGCCCAATGCTAAACTTCAGTAGGCTATTCCCCTAATTCTGGAGCAGATAGGAAAGGCAGATGGAAGAGAATGTACACTCCTTCGTAGTTCATCTGGACAGTAATCAGGAGCTGACCCAGGGTGGGCGTTTGGAAGGACTCAGCCTCCGTCCTGCCTGGTGCTGGGATCAGCTTACACAGCTCCTGTGTCCACAGGGCACAGAGAATACATTGTCCATAAGGAGGATTATTCTGTACAAGAAGCTCAGACAAAGGGAGAGGTTGTTTCCAGCTGCCTGGGGGAGGTGAGAGGGGGGTGGGAAAAGGGACCAGCCTTGCACTGGGGCATTCCTGCAGAGTTCAGCTTCTTCTCTGTGGCAGCACAACAGGAGGTGGGCAATTACACCCCCTCCAGCTCAATCCTAATGCTGGGACCCATTATGGAGTTCTAAGGAGCACTTGGCTACAACCTATCTATCTTGGCTGTTTCCCAAAAAACGACAGGGTTGAATGAGGTACACCAGCTAAGTAGGGCAGCAATAAACACCAGAAGGGGAACAGAATGGGGTGACTGGCACAATGAGCAAAAGAGAGGTTCAGCAATGACTGAATCCCAGGCTCAGGGCAGAGCTGGAGAGGGAGAGATCCTAGGCAATGGGCCTTATGCTGACATTGATTGGATAAGCTTCCGCCTTCAGCAGGATGAACTCTGTCCTGTAGTAAGCTCTTGACGTTTCACAGCTGCTGCTTCTTTCTCCATCCTAGACACAAACCTAGGAGACAATGGCCTAATCTCTTTCTCCAGGGGACCCAAGAATAGGAGAAAGCACGATCTCCAAGCAAAACAGGACAGTCAAAAACAGAGGAATGTTACCAGAGTAGGCCAATAGTCACCTTTTGCAAATCCTAAATCTGAGCCAGTAAATAGGTCATGTCCCCTTCTTCAAAGGAAAACTGTATATGTATTCCCTCCTGAGGGAATGAGTATGTTAGGGGTGGGAGATACATACTCTCTATTGAGGCATTTAATAGGCTGTATGGACCCCAAAGTGGGAGACACTACTGAGATTTGTGTACTCCAGATGATTTGAGGATGGGGGATAAAAACGACAGCATGTGCTCCTACGGTGATGAATGTAGAGGAGTCCCTCTAGAGGAAGGAGTGTTTGCTTAGGGGAACAAGATGTAGGTGACATCCTGCATATGTTCCTGTTGGGGCAAGAGGATATTTCCATTCTTGGATGACAAGGAATCCATTTTAATAGTATGGTGGGGATGAAGTCAGTATTTGCCTGGGACACAAAAAAACTTGGGGTTGGTGCCATTCAATAGGAGGGAATCTTTTGGTGGAGTAAAGGACAATAGTCACCAAAAGATGCTCCAGGAATTTCAGAGAAGCACAGCTCAAACTCTACCCAATATGCCAGTTAATACTGACATTTCCAGTGGGAAGGGAAGAGGTGAGAAGATAACACCTGAGTGGGCTGATGAGCCGGAACAGTTTAAGTGGGGGAAAGGTCTGGCATTGCCTTAGAGCTGGTGACCAGACTCCCCTACTGCTATGTATTGTGGTCAGTGAGCTTTGTGGATACCATTCCTCACCTTGATGGAATGGTAACAGATGTGACATCTGGGACCACTTTTCCAGTCCTTTGCTGCCACAGCCTGGCAGAACTTTGTTTGGCACTGAACAAATGCCAAAGTACCAGTGTGTGACAGAACAGAAAAAAGGCAGCTGGAAGGTATGAGCAGGAGGGAAGTTTCAGGATTTTTAGATCAAAGCTAATTAAAGATACGGAAACTTTTTTATGGAGAACAAATTAGAACTGCCTTGCAGCACTCTTGAAACTGCCCCTCTGATCCCTATGTAGTGCTCTCATAAATTACTGTCAGACAACCCTGAGCCAGTGAACATCAATTTAAATAACTTTATTCAGAGGAATCCTTTGGTCCACTTCTGCTGACTCAACCCCTGCCCATGCCAACAAAGGAGTACTAAGAAAGGCAGGTTAGCCTGAATGTCTAAATTCAATTTGTTCAACTTTATAAAAGCAGGCAAAGCTACTGGGGGTTGCCCCCTCCCACCATCATTCTGGTCCACCATTTGGGCCACAGGCTTAGGGAAATGAAGGAAAGTCGTTTTCTTTGAAGGAAATCCTGGCCAAAGTCGAGAAAGTGGGCACCATTATGAGGTCAACTAAACCCTGATGGCAGTGTGAAGTGCAATTCCCTTCTCCCTCCAAAATAAGAAACATGAATCCAGGGGAAGGGGCTTTTTCGTGTGCTAAGGAAAAACCCTTTCCCACATAGTCCTGCCTGGCAGAGCCACTTCCTGAGAAAGCCTCGTGTGTATAAGGTGGGGTAAAGGATAGGGGACTTTATGACTATTTGACAGGTAAAAGCCAAGTTGGCTCCTTAGAGGATGGAAAGGAGAGCAGGCCCAAGCTTCACCAGAGCTGCAGGTGGGCATTTTTTTTTCCTTCCTGGCCCAGAAGCTTCTTCACCTTGCGCCTTAGAGGGATAGCCAGAATGAAACCCAGGCAGGAGGGCCTGCAAAAACAGTGTGCCTCTAAGAACACAGAGGTTGCTACAGTTTCTGGCAGCACAAAATAAGCATAGCCTTATTTGATCTTGTGTCCATCAGCTCACCATTGACGTGAGGCAGTATCAGATTAGGGTAAGTTCTGGATCAAGGACTGTGGAGGGTGGTGGGGAGAAGGATCTGTAGAAACTATCATTTATTGAATACCCATTATTTCATATACTGTACTAAGTGCTTTACATTCATTTCCTCATTTTAATCCTCACAACAACCCTATGAGGTAGGTATTATCACCATTTACAAATGAGAAACAGGCTCAGAAAAATTAGGTCACTTGTCCAAGGTCACACAGCTAGTCAGTGGTGGAAGTGGGATTTGTCTGCTGCTGAAAGCCCATGTTCTTTTTATTGTACCCATCTAGGTGAGCCTTGAGCAAAAGGTAATTTCACTGCCCAACTCTGCAAAGAGCACCAGGGAGTCGAGGTTGCCAGCCACACTCACCGCTGGTAGGGATGCATGGAAGCCGACTTGATGTTGGTTTTTATTCCACTTGGCATTTTCCCTGAAAGGAACATTAAAAAAGTCATCTTAAGCAAGGTAAGACTTTCATGACAAATCAGAAATGTGGTACCTCAGGTTCCCTCTGTCACTTCCTTTATCATCTCAGAACCTCTGCGGCATCTGACCCTGTTTGACAGAGGTCAGAAGTATGATTCTTCACCCAGCTGTCTCCCTGAAGGTGTCCAGGAGGAAAGAAGTGACATGGGAGAATAGTCTGTTCATCCACTCCTAGAACAGATAGCTAAACCTGTGTGACTCCCATTTAACGTCACAGGTAAAAGAGTACTATGTTCTCTCATTGTTTTTCTTTTTTTATATCATAATAAGTGCAGAATCTCTCTTTAATTGTCCCTTTTCCTAGACAGCTTGGAGGAAATAACTCTTCTAGCTGCCTGCATCTAGACTGTTCTAAAAATGAGTAGGAGAGAAGGCAGGAAGCCAAGAGCAAGAGAGGCAGGATACAGAGAAAAGAATACATGTAGGACTGGAAAACTGGCCTGCGTGTCAATTCCTGATGCACCTACCAAATGGTCTTAAGATCTGACTGCTGATTTCTCTACCTAACAAGAGACACTGACAACATATCTAATACCAGAATAAATGGGATAGAAGGATAGTTGACACAGAGATGTGAGATGCGGATGAGAAATTGGAGCAGTTTCTGTTACTCAAAGTTCTTCCTCACTCTCTGGTGCCTGTTGCAGAGTCTCAGATGAGATTTTTTTACTTCTGAAAATTATTTCCTGGGTCACAGTGAAAAGGAGAAATAGAGAAAACCTCTAGGTCTAGAGATGCTGGAGGCCCAGATAATCTAGCTTATTCCCTCCCACTCCTGCTCAAAGTCAGCTTCATTTCAACCCCTGCCACCTTACCTGGTTGACCTGCCTGAGCCATTTGTACCCCACTGAGCATTGGCTGCTGCTGGCTTGGAGCTCCTGCCATCTGCACCTGCTGTAATCCTGAGGTTCCTGCAAGGATCGTCCCAGCTCCTGGCTGGCCTGCCTGGCCAGGACCACTGCTGCCTGAAGGTCTCCAATTAGATAGTCCTTTCCCAAAGGCAACAGCTGCCACCAAGGCATTAGTGTCTGTAGGGTTAAAGGTCTGCTTGTTCGGCCGGAGACCTGAAGAAAAAGTAATGGGGATCCTGAAGTATGCTTCTGATGCAGGACTGAACGTGGCAGCTGGAAGACCAGTATGAGTGCCAGGGTTTGGAGTTCTGAATTCAGCAACATCTAGACTCCCTCACAGCCCAGAAAAAGAGCCAGAGGACCCCCAAGCCTATCTCAGAATTCTCTCTTCTTACTTTGCCCATTTCCTCCACTGCTTCAGTGCTGGCCTTAAATACAAAAGGCTAACAGAATGGATACAAACCCCAAAGCAGTTCACCCTTGTGTCCTAACTTCACTACTTCCAAAACAACCATTCCCATTCCAGTGATCTTATATACCTCTCCTTCTCTGTTTAGCCACCAGTCCCATCATACCTCCACTCTCTGATTCTCGCTCCTCTTTGCTGATTTTCTCCAGAAGGTTTGAACACATTTTATTCAAGCTCTGGATCTGCTTCTGTAACACACAAATTTGTGCAGAGATTAGGGTAACTAGGAAACGATATGGAGAAATTTATTCCTTGGGTTCTGCCAGAAGCAACTTAGGCGCAACCAACTATGTATCCCTACTAGACAGGAATGGTAATGCCTAGCTTCTCATGATGGGATGGGGATGGGGCAGCAAGGCAGTGACTCAGTCCAACCTGGGCTGCATCTGCACCAATGCGGGCAGCATCTGTCGTCAGTTGCTTCTCCTGTTCTTCCACTTCAGGGTCAGGCTTGGTTCTCAGATGGTCAGGGACTACCTCATGGCTGAAAACAGGCACCCGTCCTTCAGTCTGCCGCTGTAACACACAGATTTTATTGATCCTACTCTGTACTCCAAGAAGATTCTATCTGGCCTGACATAAAGTCCCATCCACAGGCAAACAGTGCATTTTCAAGGAAAATACAACCTGAGACATAATATCTAGTTTGCTAGGACACACTCTCCTTTACTCCATCCTTCATTTTTTGTGTCTTCTCACATCCCTATCTCTACCAGACCTAGGGGCAAATTAAACTATCACTGTCTGCCACGCTTCAAAGACTGGAATAGACAAAGTCACAAAAGGGCAAACTTTGTGGCTTGAGACAGATGTTGGAGAAGAAAGGTATCAGCCTTGGTGACATACCCCTCAGGTTATTACAGCACTATTTGGGAGTGGCTCTCCCGCCTTCAGAAGAACAAAAAGCAAGGCCTCCAAAATTATTTCTAGGCTCTCAGCTAATAACTTAATTTCCCTAAATACTAAAGAAGCCTAAAAAACCCCTTAATTTCCCAAGTTGTATTCTTTTTCTCCTCTTACCATGAGATCTTCATCTCGGTCTGGAGACAACACCAGAGGAATGATGACCTGGTTACGGAACAGCGGTGTTTTTTCATGCTTCAAGACCTTGTTCAGAGTGTTCAGCTGTCCAGAAAGCAAGGCAAAGCTGTCCAGGACAGATGGCCTGGTGGTGGTAACAAGGTGTAAGAATGTTGTACCCCTTCCCTGGGTGGTTCTTAGTAAAATAGTCCTAGTTCCTTCAGGCTAGGAACACTTGGATTCACCTCCAAAAGTCTCATAGCCCTATGACTAGCCTAAGTGGGAACAGACTAACAGGGATGACAGGGCTATGAAAGAGGGACATAGTTTCAGTTTATGAAACAGACGTAGAAAAAACCCAGTTCATTGTTTGAATGGGGTGAGGAACAGTGGCAAAATAGGAACCAGGGCTACACTGTTATAACTAAAACTTCAGAAACCGGGTAAAAGCCTCCTTTCCAGCCTGGAAATAAGATCCACACTTCAGAGTAGGTTGGCTCTAAAAGACTCAGCCACATCTGTGGCAAGAGATCCAGCACGAATAGAGCTGTAGTGGGAGGACCTCCTCACCAGAGAAGTCAAAGGGTAAGAATTGAAAGCTAGAAAGAACTTGGGTTAGGAAACTGAGCATTTCTCTACTTCCTTGCCATGGAATCCACTTGCTAAATGTTAGGAAACCCAGCTCTTTCCAAATCAAAAGATGTTTGCAAACTGATAAATGGTTACATCATTAGAAATGTCCTATTCATCAGGAGGCTAGGCCCCCCCACCCATAAGCCCTTCCTAGCTTGCCCTGGTAACTCTTACCAGGTCAGCCGGCCATACTCGTTCTCCAACTTGCAAATGAAACTCCCCAGAGAGTTCTTCAGATCAGCCACTTGACTCAGCAGTGCATCTAATGATGCCTCAAGCTGCTTCTCCTCTCTCTGCACCAATAGGAACAGGTTGGTCACCCAGATAAACGAGTATGACACATAGAAAGGAGGGCTGGAAAGCCAAGGAGATGGTGTGCAACACCAGTCAGGTAACACAGGATCTCATTGGCATAGGATAGCCAGGTTGTTTTCTATCTTTGGTATTTGGGTTATAGACAGCATCAACCCTGAGACCTTCCAACCTGTTTGCCTGACCCCAAGTCCTTCCACCAACTGATTCCTTTTCCCCATCACCTCCTAATCTATGCCTGGTTTTTCTCTGTGTTAGGTACACCCTACACTCCCTCACTGAGACATTTTCGACAGACCTAATGCCAGGAGATCATTCTCTCATGTGCACCTCTGTAGCACATGCACTCCAGCTTCCTCCATCCTAGCATCTGTGAGCCTGGCTGTCTTGTCAGTCTCTGGGAAATCTGCCTACTCATGAAGACTTCTCTGAACACCAGTCCTGCTCTCCCCTTTCCCTCCCCCAACCAACGACTCCAGCTTTCCATCTGCTCTCATCATTTTGTTTCAACCTTCTCCTTGCTGAATTAATATGCAATCATCTATCTCTGTGTCAATATTCCCGTGCCTCTTTCACAAGCTCAGTCAACCCATTAACATTTATTGAGACTACCAGCTGCAAGAAACTAAGTGACAAATGAAAAACAAAAACCACACATGCTTCTAAGCACTGGACAAACAAATTAAAATGCTGGGGGTCTGCAAAGCATTTCCTTCCCATCGGTGGTCTCCTGTTTTACTCCATTTCTTCACCCTTAACAACTATAGGGCACAGGCTGGGAAGAGGGATGCAAAACTGTCTTGCAAACCTGCCTGACAGAAACTTGATCCCGGGTTCCACCATGGCCTCTGATTATAAGCTGCTTAGCTTTCAGCCATCGCGGCCCACAATTCCCTCACTGCTTGGGCTTCTTTCCAATTAGATCCCCTGCTATATCGGCAACCAACAGCCTCCATCCAGCAGCTTAGGACAGGGCCTGAGCCAACCCACCACCTTCTTGAGCCGTCTTCCTTGGACTGCATCTCAGCCTCCCCGTATTACAACCTAATCCTTTCCCACGCCAAGCAAACAGGTGCTGCCTCCTCCCTCCGGATTTAGCCCGACTGTCTCCTGTCAGGCAAGCTCCACCCCCACCTCTAATCGCCGCCGCTCCCGCTCCAATTAGCCTCGCCCCCCAGCCCACATTCCCTTATCAGCCGTGGGTTCTGCCCTCTCTTCTCAGTCCCAACTCTTCATTCTCCTTAGCCAGCCCACTCTCGGTCCCTGTACCCGAAGCTTGCCAGCCGCTAGTACGCCCAACGCAACTCTCACCTGCATTGCGGCGGCCGAGGCGGCTGCCACGATTTCACTTCCGGTTTTCCAGTCAGCAAACGCCTACGAGAAGGCTTCGTCCACCAATCAGAAAACTGGAACTCGGCCCTCCCACCAACTTCCGGTTCCTGCTGGGTGCCGAGGTAGCGAGGTCAGGGGTCAAGAGTGGAACACCCTCACTGGCCCGGGCCGGCGCGGGAGGGCTGTGTGATGGCCTCGGAGCGCCCGGAGCCGGAGGTGAGGGGCGGGCGGGCGCAGCACTGGGCCCCGAGATCCGAGGGGGAGGGTCCGGCGGGCAGGCGTGGCGTTGGCCTCCTCTAGGTCTGGGGGTGGCCGGGCTGCGTAGCCTCGGCAGGGACCAGCCCAGCCCGGAAGGCCCGACTATGGTACCCCTGCGGACTGTGTATGGGACGCGGTCCGCAGTTTCCTCGGGGAGCTAAAGGAGTAACTGTTCGCTTTGTTTTGTTTACTGACATGTCACCCGCGTCGTCGTCTCTAAGACTTATAGCGGTGTTAACAAAACTTGTATTTTGACTTTCTGTTGCAGTTTCAATGGGCAACACGGCAGTAGATTTACTTTGCTGGTTTTTGCATTTCTTTAGGCATTGGAATACCATAAACAGCATGAATTTATTTAGTTCTAGGGCTCATGCTTTTAGAAAAGCAGCTTTAATTTCATGAAAAAAACATTTGAGTCGGACTGAGACCTCGTTCCAATATTGGCGCTGTCATGTAGCTAATCTGTGCAACCTCAGGCGAGTCTTCCCGGATCCTGTTTCCTTCTTTATAAAATATCTGTCTTATAGTGTGTTGTGAGAATCACATGTAATAAACCAGAAAGGTGATATGATATATTCGTTAAATGCTAAGGAACATGCAAGGAACCTTATATATGTTGTGTCATTCAGACTTGTGCAAGGAAGGTGGCATTCTCACAGAGGAGAAAACTGAAAAATGAGAAAGATTTAGTACCTTACTCAAATGCCACTCATCCAGGAACTAGCAGTTTGGAGTTAGAAGATCTGAGCTTAAAATCTCAGATTCGGATAAAACACCACCACCAGGAAAGGTGCCAACATATCAGTAGGTGGGAAGGGTGAGAGATGTGTATAATGATAGAAATAGTATTCATTACTGCATACATACTGCATGCTCAGTACCATTCTAAGCTCTTTACCAATATCAGTTAATCCTCAGCCCTATGAAGTGGACACTGTATCATCTCCTTTTTTTAGTTTAGGAACTGAGGCACAGAGATATTAAGAGTAACAAAGTAAGCCGGGCGCAGTGGCTTACACCTGTAATCCCAACACTGGGAGGCCGAGGTGGGCAGATCACCTGAGGTGAGGAGTTCGAGACCAGCCTGACCAACATGGAGAAAGCCTGTCTGTACTGAAAATGCAAAATTAGCCAAGCATGGTGGCGCAGGCCTGTAATCTCAGCTACTCGGGAGGCTGAGGCAGGAGAATCGCTTGAACCCGGGAGGTGGAGGTTGCGATGAGCTGAGATCATGCCATTGCACTTCAGCCTGGGCAACAAGAGTGAAACTCCGTCTCAAAAAAAAAAAAAAGTAACAAAGTTACACAGCTATTAAGTATTAGAGTCAGGACTCCAAAACAGATGGCCAGGCTCCAGTCCTTGTGTTCTTAACCATATTGTTCATGGTATAAGTAATAAAGTAGCCACAGAATGGTAAATCTCCAGTTCACTGGGATTTGGTGTGGTAAGACCCAACATTGAATATGGTGGTAGGAAACTATGCCTTATTTAAAATAGTCATGTTCACAGAGGTGGTAGAATAGCTCATGCATCAGAAATATCAATCAAGATCAATCAGAAATATTAACACAAGAAAAACTATGAAACAGTTTAGAGGATGTTTCATTATAGATTAAAGTGAAAGGAGGTGGAGGGATGTTGTGGGGAAATGCAACATACCTTTTAGGCAGATAGTCTAGGACAACACCGTCCTGTAGAAATCTAAAGCAAGCCACATGTGTAATATTAAATTTTCTGATAGCCACATAAAAAAATGAAACAAGGCCGGGCGCGGTGGCTCACGCCTGTAATCCCAGCACTTTGGGAGGCCGAGGCGGGCGGATCACGAGGTCAGGAGATCGAGACCATCCTGGCTAAAACGGTGAAACCCTGTCTCTACTAAAAAAAATACAAAAAATTAGCTGGGCGTGGTGGCGGGCGCCTGTAGTCCCAGCTACTCGGGAGGCTGAGGCAGGAGAATGGCGTGAACCCGGGAGGCGGAGCTTGCAGTGAGCTGAGATTGTGCCACTGCAGTCCAGCCTGGGCGACAGAGCGAGACTCCGTCTCAAAAAAAAAAAAAAAAAAAAAAAAAAAAAAAAAAAAAAAAAAAATGAAACAAATGAAATAAAATGTAATTATATATTTAACCCAAAACTCCCAAAATTTTCAAAATGTAATAAAATACAAAACATCGTGAGATATTTAACATTTTTTTTGGTACCAAGTCTTTAAAATCTAGTGTTGTATTTTACACTGATAGCACATCCCATCTTGGTCTAGCAACATTGTAAGTGCTCAGTAGCCCCATATAGTAGTCTTTACCATATAGAGCAGTACAGATCTAAAGTAATTTCAAGTCAAGACACACAATCCTGGGAGTCTCAGCCAAAAGTTAAGCTTTTTTTTTTTTTTTTTTGAGACGAAGTCTCGCTCTGTCGCCCAGGCTGGAGTGCAGTGGTGCGATCTTGGCTCACTGCAACCTCCGCCTCCCGGGTTCACGCCATTCTCCTGCCTCAGCCTCCCAAGTAGCTGGGACTACAGGCGCCTGCTACCATGCCCTGCTAACTTTTTGTGTTTTTAGTAAAGACGGGGTTTCACCGTGTTAGCCAGATAGTCTCAATCTCCTGTCCTCGTGATCCGCCTGCCTCGGCTTCCCAAAGTGCTGGGATTACAGGCGTGAGCCACCGTGCCCAGCCTAAGTTAAGCATTTTTTAACTCCCTGATTTGCATTTCTGAAAATTTTATCAGAAGGTAAAGAGATTGAAGAGTTCTGCCCCTGGGTGTAATAAAGTTATTGACTTTTAGAGGCTGTTAGGATCCCAAGAGAGAAAGATTGGGTATAGTCAGATTTAGGAAATCATTCATTCATCACACACTTGAAATATTTTACGAGTGCTGGTAGGAGTCAGAATTGTGCTAAGTATCAGGGTGGATACAGAGCCGTGTAAGACAGACATGCTCTCTATCTTTATGGAGTAAACAAGGATTGAATTAGGATAATAAGTGCTGTAAAGGAGTGAATTAGGGTGTTTAACAGTGGTTCTCAACCTACCTTGTTAAGAAATGGGGAGGCAAGGGGTTGTGAATAGGAAGACTCAGAAGAATGACATTTAAGCTGAAGCCTGAAGAATAGGTAGAAGTTTTCTAAAAGAAGAGGCAGAGAGCATTGCAGGCAAAGGGAATAGTGAAGATCTTCAGGTGAGAAGGAGCCCAGTGGAGCCTTCAGAGAACTAAGAGGAAGCAACTCCTTGTGTGGATGCAGTTTGACAATGAGAATAGCTAGCACTTACTGAATGCTTACTGAGTATCATCTGATACTCAAAAATTATCTGAAAATAAGCACTTTTATTATCTGTGTTTCACAGATGAGCTAACTGAGGCATAGAGAGTGTAAGTCTCTGCCAAAACTATATAGTTAATAATCAGCAGAGCAAGCATTTGATCCTAAGTGCTCTAACACTGGAATACATGCTTTTAACTGCGTGGGGATTGGTGAGAGATAAGGCTGGAGAAGATGCAGCTTGAGGCCATGCTAGAGGCTCAGGACTTTGATGTATAGTGGTAAGAAGATTTTAGCCAGTTCAAGAGGGGAAATAATCCACATTATTTTGTGGGAATGTGTTAACAAAAGACAGCACAAGGGTTAGAAAAGGCTGAACAAATCAGACCTTAATCACAAAGGGACAGGCACAAAAAGACAAAGCAACAAATTAATGAGATGGACCATGCTTCATTCTTCCTGGTATACATGGTATGCAGCACAGTGCCTGGTAATGTTTTATTCATCTTGGTATAAATGGTATGTAGACCTCAATAAATATTCCAAAGAATGATAGCCTTCCTCTCCTGTTTAATTGCAACGACATCCCTATGAAGATATTCTTATCCACATACTATCAATAAAGAAACCGAGGCTTGGAAAAATTAAGTAACTTGTCCAAGGTCACCTATATAGCAAATGATAGAATCAGATTTGAATCCAGGTCCCTGACCCCGAAACTCTACTTTGTCTTCCTTGCCAGACTACTCTGAGAGTAATGAACTTCAGACTCAAGGAGGATTCATATGAGGACTTGAAGCTCCATGTGAGTGTGGATGCTCTGAGAACTAATTCAGGGATTCTCAAATGTTAATGTGGAAGAATCACTTGGAGACCTTGTTAGAATGTAGATTCTGGAGCCCATCAACTCTTTTTTTTTTTTTTTTTTTTGAGATGGAGTCTTGCTCTGTCGCCCAGGCTGGAGTGCAGTGGCGTGATCTTGGCTCACTGCAACCTCCACCTCTCAGGTTCAAGCAATTCTTGTGCCTCAGCCTCCTGAGTAGCTGGGACTACAGGTGTGAGCCACAGCACCCAGTCTGGAGCCCATCAACTCTTAATTCAGTTGGTCTGGGGTGGTGCCTGGGACTCAACGCTGTATTTTCATAAGCACTTCAGGTGATTTTTCATGCAGCTGGTCCTTGGATCCCACTTTGAAAAACACCATTCTAGCTGCTTAAATTATTAAGTCTTCTAGTTATGATAAATTACATCTTGAAAGTGAAGAGAACTTAGAAATGATGTTTTGAAAATATAGTTGTTGGGCTGGGCGCGGTGGCTCATGCCTGTAATCCCAACACTTTGGGAGGCTGAGGCGGGTGGATCACCTGATGTCGGGAGTTTGAGACCAGCCTCACCAGCATGGAGAAACCTCGTCTCTACCAAAAATACAAAATTAGCCGGGCGTGGTGGCGCATGCCTGTAATCCCAGCTACTCGGAAGGCTGAGGCAGGAGAATTGCTTTAAATCCAGGAGGTGGAGGTTGCGGTGAGCCGAGATGGTGCCATTGCACTGTAGCCTGGGCAACGAGAGCGAAACTCCATCTCAAAAAAAAAAAAAAGAAAAGAAAAAGAAAATATAGTTGTTGACTTTGAAGGATCATATGTAAAGGGGGATGTTGCAAGAAGACTAGGCAAATGTTCAGCAAATGTTCTTGATTTCAGGAAGGTGGATTCTGTAAGAACTGATTGATGAGCTAGACTTCATTGTGCCTTTGGAGAGTCAGTCCATCATTCAAAATAACCTTCAAGGAAAGGTGGGAAAAAATGGAAGCTGTACAGTAGTAAAATTTAGTGGCCTACTAACTGGTAATTGGAAGAAAGCTTTCTAATAGTCTGTGCCCTCTGTCTCGTTTACCCCCATTCTCTCCTCACTTAACAAACCTTGCTCAACCTTCAGCATCACTTTCTCTTAAGGTATTAGCCTGAACAGGTTACTTTGTTACTTGCTTGCTTTTTTGGGAGGAGGGGGAGGTCAGGGAGTGGGGCAGGGTCTTGCTCTGTCATCCAGGCTGGAGTGCAGTGGTATGATCATGGCTCACTGAAGCCTCAACCTCCCTGGGCTCAGGCGACCCTCCCACCTTAGTCTCCTGAGTAGCTGGGACTACAGCCACATGACACTACACCCAGCTAATTTTCATAATTTTTTGTAGAGACAGGGTTTTGCCATGTTGCCCAGGCTAGTCTCAAACTCCTGAGGCTCAAGTAATCCGCCCACTTTGGTCTTCCAAAGTGCTGGAATTGCAGGCATGGGCCACTGCACGTGGCTGTTACTTGTTTTTGTAGAACCACATTCTTATCCTTCGGAGCACTTACTCAGTGTGTAATTATACAATAGTCACAGTGATTATTTGATCAATGTTTTTGTCCTTCACTATAGAATATGTTTTATGAGAGCAGGGAATGCATGTGTTTGCTTTTCATTGTATCATTAGGACCCAGCCCAGTGCCTAGCATGTACCAGGCTTTTCATAAATTTGTTGAGTGAATGCATGCATGCTTACCTTGCCTTTGTTCTTTTTGGAGTTCGATGAGGACATGATGGCACCCTGAACAAGTTAGCATGGAAATCAAACTGGAGAGATTTAGTAGAAGAAGAAACAACACTCTTAAGCTTCACCATAAAATAATAGGCTGAATTTATCCAAGTGACAGGACTAATTGAATGATCGTATGTGTCCAAAAAAGCCAGGTGCATGAGGATAAAATGGGAGATGTGTTTGGACAGCAGCACAAGTGAGAAAGTCATGGAGGTTTCCTGAGCAAGTATAACCTAGGAGAATCTGAATCTGTGACCTCATTTGAGTATTATGTTCCATTCTGGTCCCCACATTTTAAGTTGTAAAGTAGACCAGCCAGAATTCATTCATGGGCACATAATCTAAGATATAAAATAGTGAGGAAACTTGAAACCATGCCATTTGAGACACACTTAAAGAACCCAAAGATGTTTGTTTTAGAAAAGTAAAGACTCAGGGCTGTCATCACATGTTTAATAGACTCTCGTTTGGCAGAGGGTCAGATTCTCCCTGTGTGGCCTTAGAAGGTAAAACAAAAAGTGGGTTAGATATTTTCAAGACAACAGATTTTAAGAGTAGGTCAAGATATTATCAAAAAGACAGATTCTGGCTCTATGTGAGGACATTCCCAACTCTACCAACTAAACAGGTATGGGCAAAAAAAACAAAGAAACAACACTGAAGTGAATGGCTGTGCAGGACTTCTGACTCAAAGAAGAGAGGTAAACAGCAACACTTTGTTATTACTAATCTGTGCATTTATACACGTTACTTTTTACAAGGTGCTTTCACACATCATTGGGCTAGCTGGTATTTTTACACAGGAGGAAGCTCACCCAGAGTCTTAGCTGTCAAATCACAACACTTTCTTTCTGTAACACTGTTCTTTCTAAAACAAAGCTAATGGAACATAAAGCAAATCTGTTAGAACCCCCATTTGCACTCCCCCAGGGTTCCAGGAACAATAAAGAAGAAGATACTAGTGAAAATGTGGTAAAAACGATGTTTGTGGAAGCAAAGGAAAAACTCCAAAAATAGAATAGCTTACCTTGTCCATAAATGATTGAAAGATGAAGTGAATAAAGGACAGGAACTCTTCGTCAACAAAAACCATGTTGATAGAAGAGTGAAAAATTAGAAATTATTGGTAACAAATTAAGAATAGCTGGAAACAGAATAAATACAGCTTGTGAGATTAGTTTTCCTTGTTCATACATGTATTCAACAGTTATTATTAGAACACTTAGTATGTCTTGGCACTGTGCTAGGCTCTAGGGTTACAGCAAGAAACAATGTATAGGCCAGGTGTGGTGGCTAACACCTGTAATCCCAGCACTTTGGGAGGCTGAGGCCAGTGGATCACCTGAGGTAGAAGTTCGAGACCAGGCTAACATGGCAAAACCCTGTCTCTACTGAAAATACAAAAATTAACTGGGTGTGGTGGCACGTGCTTATAGTCCCAGCTACTGAGGAGCCTGAGGCAAGAGAATCACTTGAACCAAGAGGCGGAGGTTGCAGTGAGCCAAGATGGCACTGCTGCACTCCAGCCTGGGTGACAGAGCGAGACTCCATTTCAAAAAAAAAAAAAGAAAAGAAACAATATGTAGACATGGCCTCCACCTCGCTGGATCTTCAGACTTATACAGGAAACAAACATTAAAGTATACAAATTCTTTTTTTTTTGAGATGGAGAGATGGATGGAGTCTTGCTCTGTTGCCCAGGCTGGAGTGCAGTGGTGCAATCTTGGCTCACTGCAGCCTCCACCTCCTGGGTTCAAGCGATTCTCCTGCCTCGGTCCCCTAAGTAGCTGGGACTACAGATGTGCTCCACTATGCCCGGCTAATTTTTGTATGTTTTGGTAGAGGTGGGGTTTCGCCACATTGGCCAGGCTGGTCTCGAGCTCCTGGCCTCAGGTCATCCACCCACCCCGGCCTCCCAAAGTGCTGGGATTACAGGTGTGAGCCACTACGCCCGGCCCCTACAAATTCTTAATTATAAACTCTGGCAGGTGTCATGAAGAAAAAATACAGAGTGCTGTGTGAATGCCCAACATAGGACCCTAACTTAGTGCAGACAGTCATGGAAAGGTTCATTTATTAAACCTAGATTTGCCGTGATTTTAGTCCTAGAAGATGAGGTGACCACGTGCCCAACTCTGTCCTTATAGTGCTGACCCACAACCATGTGCTCTTCCCCTTTTAACCCTGGCCTTACGTGGGCCAAAACGCTTTTCCTTGGTTTTTCCTTGCATAGCTGAAACAGGCTGGCATTTGAAAACAAAAAGTATTTAGTACCAAAGAACAAAAGGAAAGTAGTGTTGACACTAGTGTTAAGGTGATCTCATCTTGAGAAAAGTTGTACTAATTATGATTAGTTTTAAATGTCCAGTTTGCCGTGCTTAGAACATATAGCGAGAGGGGAAGAGGTGGTGGTGGGGAGAAAAAACCATAGCGAATTCACTTATTTAGAGAAATGTTATTGAACATCCTATGTGCCAGGCACTGCACTGGGCTCTGGAGACAGAGTGATAAACAAATGACTGCTGAATTAGGATAGCCTTCCTATTCTGATAATGCTCTGAGCCCCAAACCATCCCTTAACAAAAAAATTCTTTTTTAAAACTCCAGTAAGTCTCTTGTACATGCTTTTTTAGATAAGAACTTTGGCAGTATCCAGCATAGTCAACACATAATATCCCACCCACACTAGCTAAGTCAAACCTGAAGGAGAGGTTGCCTGGTTTAGTATCCCACCCTAAAACCAAGGATCAGAGAAAGAAAGGGTGAGTAATTGCTGTGATTTCCTTCTTTGCCAATAAATAGACCCCTTTTCTGTTTTTAGGAGCATGGCGATAAGAGTGTACAATTTGATGGGACTTTTCGATGGGGTGTGGTAGTCAGGAATAACTATCTACTTTTTGTAGCTAACTTAGAAATCATTTTGCAGTAGGTTGGGTGCGGTGGCTCACGCCTGTAATCCCAGCACTTTGGGAGGTGGAGGCGGGCAGATCACAAGGTCAGGAGTTCGAGACCAGCCTGGCCAATATGGTGAACCACCATCTCTATTAAAAATACAAAAAATAGCCAGGCATGGTGGCATGCCCCTGTAGTCCCAGCTACTCAGGAGGCTGAGGTGGGAGAATCGCTTGAACTGAGAAGGCGGAAGTTGCAGTGAGCCGAGATTGCGCCACTACACTCCAGCCTAGGCGACAGAGCGAGACTCCGTCTCAAAAAAAAAAAAGAAAAAAATCATTTTGCAGCGTATTGGTTTCCAATGCTACTTTAATCATCCTTGATACCTTCCTTTTTGTTACTTTCCTCCTATGTCCTGACTTATAATTAATCACCAGTTCTTTTCTGTCCTATCCTAAAGATCCCTTGAAATACAACTAAGTTCACTGTTTAGTTCAGCTGACTTTTTGTTTTCCATAATAAGACTTTCACCGTGAAAGATAGTGGTGGTTTTGCATCCTGGCATTATCTCATCAAGACCCAGTCTCACACAGTTCACAGAATGGCTACTTTGAGTAGCTCTAGTCTAAGCCACTGTCATCTCCCCTAGTTGTTAGTCTGCGGTGGGAGGGTGCTTTCTAAATCACACAGTAGCCAGAGGGAATTTTTTTTTTTTTTTTTTTTTTGAGACGGAGTCTCGCTAGGCTGGAGTGCAGTGGCGTGATCTCGACTCACTGCAAGCTCCGCCTCCCGGGTTCACGCCATTCTCCTGCGTCAGCCTCCTGAGTAGCTGGGACTACAGGCACCCGCCACCACACCCAGCTAATTTTTTGTATTTTTAGTAGAGACGGGGTTTCGCTGTGTTAGCCAGGGTGGTCTCGATCTCCTGACCTCGTGAACCGCCTGCCTTGGCCTCCCAAAGTGCTGGGATTACAGACGTGAGCCATGGTGCCCGGCCACCAGAGGGAATTTTTTTTAATGCAGATATAATGTTACTGTCTTGTGGAATTCCTTTAGTAGCTTAAACTCACTCAAAGGATGAATCCAAAATCCTAGCCAGGACCTGTCTCAACACAGTGTTGGAAAGCAGTGTAACAGAGAGTAGTATCTCCCAAGGTGTAATTTCATTTTATTATTATTTTTATTTATTTTTTGAGACAGAATCTTGCTGTTTTGCCCAGGCTGGAGTGCAGTGGTGTGATCATAGCTCATTGCAGCCTCAACCTCCCAGACTTAAGCGATCCTCCCACCTCAATCTCCCAAGTAGCTAGGACTACAGGTGCTCACCACCATGCCGAGCTAATTTTTGTATTTTTTTTTTAGAGATGGACTTTCACCGTTTGCCCAGGCTGTTCTCAAACTCCTAGGCTTAAGTTATTTGCCCGCTTTGGCCTCCCAAAGTGCTGAGATTACAAGTCTGAGCCACAGTGCCTAGCCCCAAGATGTGATTTTAGATGTTACAGAGAGAATATAATACGCAAGTGCAACATATTGATATTTAAATTCTCTTTTTATCTTTCTGATTATGTCAAAACATCCTTTCTGCTCATTACCCCCATTGTGCTCCTTTTCATGACTTAAAATCTCTTCTGCTCATAAGCCCTCAGTTTTATCCATTTGTCACTCTCAGTAGATGGGCTTTTGCAGCTCACCAGGCCTTGGTTTGACTTCTGAGCCTACACTTACTACTTACGTTGAATCACTTAACTTTTTGGACCTCTGTTTTCTCCTGTTAAATGTTTTGTTGTGAATACTGAATGAGCTTACTTAGGTAAAAAACTTGTATAGGGCAGGCGTGGTGGCTCACGCCTGTAATCCCAGCACCTCGGAAGGCCAAGGCGGGTGAATCACCCAAGGTCAGGAGTTCCAGACCAGCCTGGCCAACATGATGAAACCCAGTCTCTACTAAAAATACAAAAATTAGCCGGGCTTGGTGGCGGGTGCCTGTAATCCCAGCTACTTGGGAGGCTTAGGCAGGAGAATCACTTGAACCCAGGAGGCGGAGGTTGCAGTGAGCCAAGATCGTGCCACTGCACTCCAGCCTGGGCAACAAAAGCAAAACTCCGTCTCAAAAAAAAAAAAAGAACCTAGTATAGTGTTGTAATAGTTAACTGTAATAAATAGTTAACTTTTTTTTTGGACAGGGTCTCGCTCTGTTGCTCAGGCTGGAGTGCCATGGTGCCATCATGGCTCACTACAGTCTCGACCTCCTGGGCTCAGGTGATCTTCCCATCTCAGCTTCCAGAGTAGCTGGGACTACAGGCACGAGCCACTACGCCTGGCTAATTTTTGTGTTTTTAGTAGTAGAGTTGAGGTTTCATCATGTTGCCCAGGCTGGTCTTGAACTCCTAGGTGCAAACGGCCTGCCCACCTCAATCTCCCAAAGTGTTGGGGTTATAGGCTTGAACCGTTATGCCCAGCTGTTATTGTTAACTTTTACTCTTACCAGGCATTGTGCTGAGCACTTCATATGCATGATATTCCTTGATCCACAGAACAGCACTTTAGATTGGTATTAGAATTCTCTATTTTACAAAGGAGGACATTGAAGCTTAAAGAGGTGATACAACCTTTCCACTGTCTCACAGCTAATAAGTGGATGAATTGGGATTCAAACCCAGACTTTCTGAACCTGAAATTCTTGAACTTGGCCTCTACAGAGTACTTTTTTTTTCTTACTTTTTATTTTATTGTATTTTTTTGAGATGGAGTCTCACTCTGTCGCCCAGGATGGAGTGCAGTGGTGTGATCTCGGCTCACTGCAACCTCCGCCTCCTGGGTTCAAGCGATCTCCTGCCTCAGCCTCCCAAGTAGCTGGGATTACAGGTGCCTGCCACCACGCCTAGCTAATTTTTGTATTTTTAGTAGAGACGGGGTTTCACCATGTTGGCCAGGCTGGTCTCGAACTCCTGACCTCAGGTGATCCACCCGCCTCGGCCTCCTGAAGTGCTGGGATTACAGGCATGAGCCACTGCGCCCAGCCCTTTTTTTTTCTTTTACATAGTACTTTTGCATATATCTTAGATGCTCAATAAATGTGAGTTCCTCCTTCTTGCCTTCTGCTATCATCCTTATCACTTTCCAGTACCTCTTTCTGTATCTTTTTACCCCTTCCTTCTGTCTTGGAGCAGAAGAAAGACTACAACTTCACAGCCATTGTATCTGTTCTCCACACTTTTCTCTGACATCAGAAACTCTTCATTATTGGTTTTCCAGGGCTTTTTCAGTCTTCTCTCCATGCATGTTTCCCCATTTTGGAAAAAATAATTCTTCACTTTCTTTCAACATCATGTTTCTCAACAGGTAGTTATTAACTTCTGTTCGTTTCTCCTCTACTACCTGCTCTTCAGTTCTTGCCACCTGGTGTTCTTTCCCTCATTAATCAGGGACACAGGAGGAGAAATTTGCCATTTGTGTAGGACAGACAAGAGAAAGGGAGTAATGAATGTGACAGATAAGCATTAATCAGGAAGAGACATTGGGGAGTTCAGACCAATTGACCTTTATTTCCTCAGTGAACTGTGGGCAAGTTTATCTGCTGGGAGGGGATTGAGAGATTGGAAAACCTCCTGTGGGGAACAGGAAAGGCTGCTGGCCAGGAGAATTCAGAGGACTGGTAAAGGCCTGCTAGAGTGGGCACTGCTGGCAAGGTGACAAGTTTCTTTCTGTCCAAGTGCAGCTGCCATAGTATATGTGTGGATAAGGGAAAATGTCAGATTCATCCCCAGATAAGATTTGACAGGACATGTGTAGTGGAAGGACAAGGACATGGGCAAGGGAACCGATGCTTGTTAGAGCATTGTTGAAGTGGCCACCTATGAGGCAATGGAGGCAAGAACTAGAGGGCTGACAACTGAGAAGTGCGGGGGTGGGGACTGTGACCCACAGAGGTTTGATTTTGAGGTATTTGGAAGGCTTGCTATTCCTTCGGTGAAAATTTCTTCGGTGCCTGCTGTTGTCAAGACTTGTTAGGAGTAACTGTCTGGCATTCGTGTAATGTATTAGGGACTTGTCCTGGTATTTGCTCTGTTTGTAGCAATTTGCCAAGCACAGGGGCACAAAAGTAGAATCAGACACAGCCCCTGCCCTCAAAAGCTTATAGTTTATAGGTGAAACTCACATAAACTTTGTGGAAACAATATGGAAAGGTCACTTCATCTATATGGAGGTCTGTATCGGGCAAACAGGAACAGAGAGTTGAGAATTGACTCCCTGGGAACACCTTGCATGGAGGTTGGGGTAAACTTTTCACTTCTGCTGTTTTCCCTCTCATTGATGGTGAGTTCCTTGGGCAAATTATTTGGACAGTGATCTGTGTGTTCCAGGTACTCGGTGCCATTTTTTAAAGATGTATTAATGTCTCTTTGTTCCCAGGTGGAAGAAGCTGGGCAGGTGTTCCTGTTAATGAAAAAGGATTATCGAATCTCCCGAAATGTTCGCCTGGCTTGGTTCCTCAGTCATCTGCACCAAACTGTGCAGGCCACACCCCAGGAGATGCTGGTGAGGCTTAGACACACGAAAGGTGTGAGGGGCCAGCCCAGAAGGATCTGTTTTTTAGGAGAGTGCTAGAAACAGACAGGGTGGGAGACTAACTCTTAAGTCTGGTTAGGGCAAGGGACTGCCTACAAGATGATGGAAATTTTAAAAAATAATTTTTCCAGAGAGTGAGAGGAAGAGTATACGGTTAGATTGAGGGAGGTAGAGCCAATGATGTGTCATTTGGGATATAGAAGGCAGGTCCTGGGAAGAAAGGGATACTTCGCTGATCCTTTCCTTTTCTTTCCATCCTAATTTTCAGCTTCAGTCTGAACAGGAATTGGAAGTCCTCAGTGTCCTGCCCCCTGGGTGGCAGCCAGATGAACCAGTGGTCCCAAGGCCATTCCTCCTGGTACCTTCCACCCGGGTCACCTTCCTGGCTTGGCAGTATCGGTTTGTCATTGAGTTGGACCTTAGCCCATCTACTGGCATTGTGGTAAAGGATTGAAGGGAGACTGTGGGAAGAAAGGATGGGGTGGGGTGTGAGGAGAGGGAGAGGCCTGTGGGGAAGTGAAAAATGGTCCCAGCCTACCATTTTGGAGAGAAGACAGGCTTATAAAGGAATGATGGGTGTTTAAAAAGAGCACTGGGCCAGCTGTGGTGACTCATGCCTACAATCCCAGTGCTTTGGGAAGCCAAGGCGGGCTGATTACTCGAGCTCAGGAGTTCGAGACTAGCCTGGGCCACATGGCAAAACTCCCTCTCTATAAAAAATACAAAAATTAGCCAGGCATGCTGGCATGCACCTGTCCTAGCTACTCGGGAGGCTGAGGTGGGAGGATTGCTTGAGCCCAGGAGGTCGAGGCTACAGTGAGCCGGGATCAGGCCACTGCGCTCTAGCGTGGGCAACAAAGCAAGACCCTGGTTTTGTTGTTTTTGTTTCCAAAAAACACCCCAGAAACTGTTCCATGTGTGGCACTGTATTTGGGTGTGCGATCATCCATAAGTTAAGTGTCCTACTGACCCATGGAAGCTGCATGTTTCTGCCCTCTGGTTAGGGCTGCCTTTGGACCCCCTTGAGTGCTCTTTCTCTGCCCTCAGGATGATTCCACAGGGGAGATCTTGTTTGATGAAGTTTTCCATGCCCTGTCCCGCTGCTTAGGCGGGCTGCTTCGGCCCTTCCGAGTGCCTGGATCTTGCATCGACTTCCAGCCTGAGATCTATGTAACTATCCAGGCCTACTCCTCCATCATTGGACTGCAGTCCCACCAGGTATTGCATCATCTCTCCAAGTTTGTACCCTCAGACCAAATTTCTATTAGTCCTCTGACCAAGTCCTTATCCTGTCTCTGCTGTTTGTCCCCAAAGTCCCGAGCTCTGCTGGCTTCTTGAACCTGTTTTCTAGTCATCCTCATGAGTCTCTCTCTCCTTGAGAAGAACCAGTTCCTCTGGACTTAAAGGGCTTTCCTATAGACTTCGGGTCAGTTGGTGTTGATTGGACACCTGCCTTTTTCACTGCTCCTGTAAATCTCTTTGATTCTGACCACTGGATGTCTGTTTTCTCCATTCCCCTCTTCTCCTTTAGTTCTGTTGGATGGTTTGCTGATGCGCTGGCTCTGGCTAGTACCCTCAGGAGATGGTCTTTTGGAATAGTTTTGTGATTTTGAAAGACAGCACATAACCCAGAAATGTAATTGGTTTCAAGGATAGAGGAGGGTCATTTTTTGTTGTTGTCTTTTTTTGAGACGGAGTTTCGCTCTTTTTGCCCAGGCTGGAGTGCAATGGCACAATCTTGGCTCACTGCAACCTCCGCCTCCTGGGTTCAAGCGATTCTCCTGCCTCAGCCTCCCAAGTAACGGGGATGATAGGCACTCACCACCAGGCCCAGCTTATTTATTTATTTATTTATTTTTAGTAGAGACGGGGTTTTGCCATGTTGGCCAGGCTGGTCTTGAACTCCCGACCTCAGGTGATCTGCCAGCCTCGGCCTCCCAAAGTGCTAGGATTACAGGCGTGAGCCACCGTGCCCAGTGTGGGTCATTTTTTTTTTGAGGGCCATGTGAACTGTTGGTTATAATGCTGACCACACAGATAATTACAGGGCTTATCCAGCACTCAAGGAGGCTATCACAAGACACTCCTTTTGGAGAATGGCCAAGTCTGTTACTGGAATATCTGTTTATGACTTAGATAAGCATTGGCCCAGTTTCCCCTCATCTGCTTTTAACTACCCTTAACTCATTGGTAAAGGCTTTCCCTGAAACTGTCCGTGATGGCTGCATTGTCACCTTAGCTATCAAACTGGATTTGAGAGATAAGATATTGGGAACATGATCTAAGGGTCTGAAACATACAGCAACAAAATTGGTGCATACCTGGATCCCAGGGCAGGGATTGCCAGCCCTCTGCCCTAGTTTAAAGTGCTTTCCTAGTATAGCCGTTAGGACTATCAGTTGTGGGCTGCATCCCCAGATGGGGGCCAGGTTTTGCAGGCACTGATAGCCAAGGCAGGGAGAGCATGGATGTTAGGTAATCACTCAAAACTTGGTTCAGGTTGGCAAACACTTAATGAAGCCTGAGCTATACCAGGCCTGAGCAGGTCCTGAAGACACAGATGAATCAGACCTTGTCTTTCTCCTGATGTGAAGAGTTGAGATTTTAGTGGGGGAGATAAATATTAAAGGGAGGTAATTGTAGTTGAATGTGATAAGGGCACCGATAAGATGACTCAGGTGCTATGGGAGCACCAAGAGGGAGCACCCAACCAAGCATGGGGCCACAATAGAGAAGTCTTTCAGACAAAGCAGCATTTGTTTTTCATGTTTTTGAGACAGAGTCTTGCTCTGTTGCCCGGGCTAGAGTGCAGTGGTGCAACCTTGGCTCACTGCACCCTCCACCTCCTGGGTTCAAGCAATTCTCCTGCCTCAGCCTTTCAAGTAGCTGGGATTACAGGTGCCCACTACCACACCCGGCTAATTTTTGTTTTTTTTGTTTTTTTTGGTAGAGACAGGGTTTCACCATGTTGGCCAGGCTGCCCTCGAACTTCTGACCTCAAGTGATCCACCTGCCTCAGCCTCCCAAAGTGCTGGGATTACAGGCATGAGCTACTGTGCCTGGCCCAAAGCAGCATTTGAACTGAGTTTTGAAGAAAGAATTGAGGTTAACCATTCAAAGAAGGGGAAATGGACTTTTCTGACAGAGGGACCAGCAAAAGCAAATACATGGTACTATGAACCTGTACTCTCAATCACAGGTGTTTTAGGGAACTACATATTATTCAGTGTCAACAGAGTAAAATTTGAATGTGGAAAGGGATGGTAAAGAGGAGACTGTAGACATAAGTGGGAGCTGGTTATGAAAGGCCATGAATGTGACACTAAGGACTTTGTGCTTTATTCTATGGGGGAGTTCAGTGTGGAGGATAAGAGCACTGGATCTGGAATCACATTGCCTGTGTTTGCTTCCTGGCAGTACCACTTACTGGTTGTGTGTCCTTGAGCAAGTTACTTAACCTTTCTGTGCATCTGTGACCTTTTTCCAAAGGGGATATTAACATTGCTTATATCATATGGTGATTGAATTAATACATGTCAAGCACTTAGAACTGTGCTTGCCACATACAGAATGTGCAAATGTTAGCTATTAAAATAATTAGCCATAGGTAGCGGAGAACTACTGAAAATTTTAAACAGACAGTAACAGGATCACATGTCTACATTGGGAAGATCACAGTATTTTGTGGCTAATATGGAGGATGGATTTGGGGACAAAGTCTGGATGGGAGAATAGGCGAAGATTATTGTAGCATGGGAGAGAGGAGGAAGCCTGAATAAGGACAGCAGCTATAGGGAAGGAGAGGATTTCATCAGTTAAGCCCCAGGGCCACTTGGCCGCCCTGAGCCAGCCTTTTCATTTTCTCTGTGGCTCCCTCAAGATGTATCCTGGCTGGGCGCAGTGGCTCATGCCTGTAATCCTAGCACTTTGGGAAGCCAAGGCAGGTGAATCACATGAGGCCAAGCGTTTGAGACCAGCCTGGCCAATGTGGCAAAACCCTGTCTACTAAAAATACAACAACAACAACAAAAAAATTAGCTGGGCGTGATGGTGCATATCTGTAATCCCCGCTGCTTGGGAGGCCGAGTCATGAAAATTGCTTGAACCTGGGAGGCAGAGGTTGCCATGAGCCAAGATCACGCCACTGTACTCCAACCTGAGAAACAGAGTGAGACTCTGTCTCCAAAAAAAAAAACAAGATATATCCTGTTAAATCACAGCACAGCAGTGCGTGCCTGTAATCCCAGCTACTTGGGAGGCTGAGGTGAAAGAATTATTTGAGGCCAGGAGTTTGAGACTAGCCTGGGCCACAGAGTGAGAACCTGTCTCAAAAGAAAAAAGTTAATTCACATATATAATACATGTCCACAGAGATTTGAAAAATACATTAAAATATAAAGAAAAAACAAAACTCATCTATAATACAATACCCAGAAACAACAGGAGTTGTGCAAACAACAGTAGTTGTTTCTGGGTATCGTATTAAATTCTAACCTTTTTTTTTTTTTTTTTTTTTTTGAGACAGAATCTTGCTCTGTTACCCAGGCTGGAGTGCAGTGGCATGATCTGGGTTCACTGCAACCTCCACCTCCTGGGTTCAGGTGATTCTCCTGCCTCAGCCTCCCGAGTAGCTGGGACTACAGGCGCCCGCCACCACGCCCGGCTAATTTTTTGTATTTTTAGTAGAGACGGGGTTTCACAGTGTTGGCCAGGATGGTCTTGATCTCCTGACCTTGTGATCTGCCCGCCTCGGCCTCCCAAAGTGCTGGGATTACAGGCGTGAGCCACCACTCCTGGCTTAAATTCTAACATTTTATGGAACTTTCTTCTAATTTTGTGAGTGTGTCTTTATCCTCCCTCACCTCCATCTCTTTACCCAAAGAGAAAGGGAGAATCAAGAGGCTCATTCTAGACACGTGATTTTATGTCCTGTTTTTTGTTTTGTTTAAGAGACAGGGTCTCACTCTGTTGCCCAGGCTGGAGTGCAGAGGCATGATCATAGCTCAATGTAACCTTCAACTTCTGGGCTTAAGTGATCTCCCACCTCAGCCTGCCAAGTAGCTAGGACTACAGGTGCATGCCACCATACCTGACTAATTGTTTTAAATTTTTTTGTAGAGACAGGATCTTGTTATGTTGTCCAGGCTGGTCTCAAACTCTTGACTTCAAGTGATCCTCCCACCTCAGCCTCCCAAAGTACTGGGATTACAGGCATGAGCTGCTGTGCTTAGCCTGTCCTGCCTTTTTTTTATTTTTTTAACATATAGTATGGGCATTCTTGTGTGTCACTAAATATTCTTTGAAAATGTGATTTTTAATGTCCTGTTAACTTACTGTTTCATCATATCTTACCATATGTTTAGCCAGCCCCTACTTGGCCACTTGAGTTGTCTCAGTTTTCATTATTCTAAATAATATGAATAGGAACATCTTTCTCACCTTTTTATGGCTCCAGTTCTGCTCGTTTTCCTTCCCATGGGCCTGTAGAGTGAGACAATGTCCCACTTTCCCTTTTCTGGCTCGCCCGACCCACTTATCCAGTTGGGAACAGGGAGTAAAAAAGTAGTTGTTCCATGGGGTCAGGGTCCGAGAGAAGTGGGCATGTGGGGCAGGTTGTACGAGTGTGATGGGGAAAGAGGGGTGAGATCCTGAGGGCCACCGCAGGGACTGCTGGGTCTATATACAATTTTAGGATGGGGATACTTATTTATGTTTGAAGTAGAAGAAAAGGAGCCCATGGAGAAAGAATGAAGATATTAGAGAGACAAAAGGCTCAAGATTAGATGGACAGATTAGCTACAGGGAAAAAGAGAAGGAAGAGGAATCCTTGCTTCAGCACCTTGAAGGAAGAACAAAGACACAGATGTAAACCTTCAGTAGACTTTGGGGGTGCTTTCAGAGAGTTAGAGAGTAGTGTACCCTCCAGTTTGGGGTAAGCAGGGCGTTCCTATTGACTGACTTGCTTTCTCTTTGAAGAGGGCACAGGGCAGGAGTTATCTGCTGAGGGTAAAGGGAAGGAAGGAGCATTCATTAGGGGGATAAGGAGAGGATTTTGAGCGTAAAAGAGAGAAAAGTGAAGGTCTACCTAGAATAGTCAGACAAGAGAAAGAAAGAAAGGTCATCCAAACTGGAAAATAAGTCAAATTATCCTTGTTTGCAGATGATATGATCTTTTATTTGGAAAAACCTAATGGCTCCACCAAAAAACTATTAGAACTGATAAACAAATTCAGTAAAGTTGCAAGATACAAAATCAACATACAGAAAATCAGTAGCATTTCTGTATGTCAGCAGCAGACAATGTGAAGAAGAAATCAAGAAAGTAATCCCATTTACGATAGTTTAAAATAAAATACCTAGGAATTAACCAAAGAAGTGAAAGATCTCTACAATGAAAACTATAAAACATCGATGAGAGAAATTGAAGTGGACTCCAAAAATTGGAATGATATTCCATGTTCATGGATTGGAAGAATCAGTATTGTTAAAATGCCCACACTGCCTAAAGCAGTCTACAGATTCAGTACAATTCCTATCAAAATACCAATGACATTCTTCATAGAAATAGAGAAAACAATCCTAAAATTTATATGGAACCACAAAAGACCCAGAATAGCCAAAGCTATTCTGAGCAAAACAAACAAAACTGGAGGAATCACATTACCTGACTTCAGATTATACTACAAAGCTATAGTAACCAAAAACAGCATGGTACTGGCATAAAAACAGACACATAGACCAATGGAACAGAATAGAGAACCCAGAAGCCATATATCTACAATGAACTCATTTTTGACAGATGCCAAGAACATACATTGGGGAAAGAACAGTCTCTTCAATAAATGGTTCTGGGAAGACTGGATATTCATATGCAGAAGAATGAAACTAGACTCCTATCTCACAAAAATCAAATCAAAATGGATTAAAGACTTAAATCTGGCCAGGCGCAGTGGCTCACACCTGTAATCCCAACACTTTGGGAGGCCAAGGCAGGTGGATCACGAGGTCAGGAGTTCAAGACCAGCCTGGCCAAGATGGTGAAACCCCATCTTTACTAAAAAACTACAAAAAAACTAGCCGGGTGCAGTGGCAGGTGCCTGTAATCTCAGCTACTCGGGAGGCTGAGGCAGGAGAATCGCTTGAACCCGGGCAGCAGAGGTTGCAGTGAGCCAAGATCGCGCCACTGCACTCCAGCCTGGCCGACAGAGTAAGACTCTGTCTCAAAAAAAAAAAAAAAAAAAAAAAAGACTTAAATCTAAGACCTCAAACTATGAAACTACTAAAAGAAAGCATTGGAGAAACGCTCCATGACACTGGACTGGGCAAAGATTTCTTTTCTGTGTCTAATCTAGCAGATTAACTCAATATCCTGCTCTATTTAATACTGTTAAGCAGAAGGAAATAACTAATTTCAATTTTAAACTCACAAAACAAAGGAAACAAAATCATCTCACTACAGGCCTTTGACAAAGAACATGAGTCATTTGCTATAGCTGCCAGGCATCAGTGTATGGCGAGGAACGGGGGCTTGAGGTTGCCCAGGCAAGGCCTCTGAGGTGGGGTATATTGGGGGTTGGGGGGGGATCTTGATAGCACTGAGTTGCTGGATCCTGTGCTGCCCTGCCTGGGTGGGGAGCAGGGTGAGGGAGGCCATTCCTCTTCTGTAGAAAATGCCAACCCCCAGTACAGGGACTCTGGCAGCTGAATTGGTGACTGTAAAGCCTGATCTATATGAAATCAAAGGCACATGTGGAAATCCACTCCCAGCAAAGGGGGAGTCCTTGGGGGAAGCCAGCTGGGTTTCTGTAGGATCCCCTCTGAAATGTCAGCATTTGAAAAACACAACCCAAAAGTAGAGGATCTACAGGGAACTTTATTCTCTCACTTCTGTCTTCATGGAGGGCACTGCCCCTTGGGAAGACCAGGTTGGCTTCTGGCACAGGTATCCCCCATCTTCTTGGGCACCTGTGGCATTGCCAGCAGGCCAGAGGGGGCAGCTGGCAGTGTTGGCTCTAGCCTGACCCAGGGGGCCCAGTTAGGATGCCCTCTACCCATGGCAGGGGTGATGGCTACTTCTCCATGGTTCATGCATGAAGCTTCCAGCCCTTTCCAGCTCAGGGAACACATGCAGAATGACAGTCACCCAGCAGACTGGAAACTGCCTCCTCTCCAAAAGTCTGGCTCCTGAACACCCTCCTCCCTGGGAAGGGCTTTAGCCCCTTTGAGATTGGGCAGGAACCAGAAGAACAGTTTCTCTGCTTTGCCATGTCTGCAACCTAGGGCTCACCCAGCCCCATCAAGTGCTGAGCTCCAGCACTGTCCACACAGTGGAAACCAAGTGAAATGACTTTGGCTTGTGGAGGGGGAAGAATGAAAAACAAAAACAAAAGCAAAATCACCTGCCCACAAGATAGAGCAGAAAAGTTCATCCACTATCTTTTTTTTTTTTTTTTTTTTTTTTTTTGAGACAGAGTCTCACTCTGTCACCTCGGGTGGAGTGCAGTGGCATGATCTTGGTTCATTGCAACCTCCGCCTCCCGGGTTCAAGCAATTCTCCTGCCTCAGCCTCCCGAGTAGCTGGGATTACAGGCACCTGCCACTACGCCCAGCTAATGTTTTGTATTTTAAGTAGAGACAGGGTTTTACCATGTTGGCCAGGCTGGTCTTGAACTCTTGACATCATGATTTGCCCGCCTCAGCCTCCCAAAGTGCTGGGATTACAGGCGTGAGCCACCACACCCGGCGACTTCATCCACTGTCTGTCCGCTTCCTGTGTAAGGCCGACCACCCAGCCCCCAAACAACCCTTAAAATGAGACCCAAACCAAAGACCTAACATATAAGCCTCAAATCAGTAAACCTCTCCTGAAACAGGCAGAGGAACTGCCTGCCCAGAAATACTCACAATAGGCTGTGCAGATTGTAAAGAGATCAACAGCTTCACCCACGCTCTGCATAAACTCTGGTACTGGCTGTGTTCTCCATAGAAGGTCTCGCTGTGTTGCCTGGGCTGGAGTGCAGTGGTGTGAACACAGCTCACTGCAGCCTTGATCTCTTGGGCTTAAGTGATTCTCCTGCCTCAGACTCCTGAGTAGCTGAGACCACAGGTGCATTTCACCACTCAGCTAATTTTTAGTTTTTTTGTAGAGATGAGGTCTCTACCAAGCTGGTCTCTAACTCCTGGGCTCAAGCGATCTTCCCATCTTGGCCTCCCAAAGTGCTGGGATTACACATGTGAACCACTATGCTTGGCTCAAAGATTTATTGATAATACCCTGCAAGCACAAGCGTGCAAAGCAAAAATGGACAAATAGGATCACATCAAGTTAAAAAGCTGCACAGCAAAGGAAACAATAAACAAAGTGAGGAAACAACCACAGAATGGGAGAAAATATTTGCAAACCACCCATCTGACAAGGGATTAATTACCAGAATATATAAGGAGCTCAAACAACTCTATAAGAAAAAAAAATCCAATAATCTGATTTTAAAATGGGATTTTTTTTATCTTAAAAAAGATCTCAATAGACATTTCTCAAAAGAAGGCATACATATGGCAAACAGGTATATGAAAAAGTGTTCAATATCATTGATCATCAGAGAAATGCAAATGAAAACTGCAATGAGGTATCATTTCACCCCAGTTAAAATGGTTTTTATCCAAAAGACAGGCAATAACATGCTGGTGAGGATGTGGAGAAAAGGTAACGTTGTGCACTCTTGGTAGAAATGTAAATTAGTACAACCACTATGAAGAACAGTTTGGAGGTTCCTCAAAAAACAAAATAGGCTGGGCACGGTGCCTCATACCTGTAATCCCAGCACTTTGGGAGGCCGAGGTGGGAGTTTGAGACCAGCCTGGCCAACATGGTGAAACCTTGTCTCTACTAAAAATACAAAAATTAGCTGAGCGTGATGGCAGATGCCTGTAATCCCAGCTACTCGGGAGCCTGAGGCAGAGAATTGCTTGAATCTGGGAGGCAGAGATTGCAGTGAGCCGAGATAGTGTCACTGCACTCCAGCCTGGGTGACAGAGCAAGACTCCATCTCAAACAAAAAACAAAACAAAACAAAACTGAAAATAGAGCTACCATATGATCTAGCAATCCTCCCTCCTAGGTGTATACCCAAAAGAAAGGAAATCAGTATATGGAAGAGATATCTGCACTCCCATGTTTATTACAGCACTATTCACAATAGACAAGATCTGGAAGCAGCCTGAGTGTTCATTGACAGATGAATGGATAAAGAAAATGTGGTACATATATACAATGGAATACTATTCAGCCATAAAAAAGAATGAGATCCTGTCATTTGCAACAACATGGATGGAACTGGAGGACATTATGTTAAGTGAAATAAGCCAGGCACAGAAAGACAAACTTGGCATGTTATTTATTTGTGAGAGCTAAAAATTAAAACAATTGAACTAATGAAGATGGAGAGTGGAACGATGGTTACCAAAGGCTGGGAAGGGTAGCTGGGGGAGGTGGAAGGGGAGATGGTTAATGGGTACAAAAATAGAGTTAGAAAGAATGAATAAGATCTAGTACTTGATAGCACAGTAGACTGACTACAGTCAACAGTAATTTATTGTACATTTAAAAATAACTAAAAGAGTAAAATTGGATTGTTTGTAACACAAAAAATAGGATAAATGCCTGAGGTGGGTAGGCATGGTGACTCATGCCTGTAATCCCAGCACTTTGGGAGGCTGAGGTGGGTGGATCACTTGAGGCCAGGAGTTTGAGACCAGCCTGGCCAACATGGTGAAACCCCGTCTCTACTAAAAATACAAAAATTACCTGGGTGTGGTGGCCCATGCCTGTAATCCCAGCTGAGGAAGGCTGAGGCACAAGAATTGCTTGAACCCGGGAGGCGGAGGTTGCAGTGAGCCAAGATCGCACCTGCACTCTAGCCTGGGCGACAGAGCAAGGCTCTGTCTCAAAAAAACAAACAAACAAACAAAAAAAACTTGAAGTGGTGGATACCCCATTTACCATGATTTAATTGTTATACATTGTATTCCTGTATCAAAATATCTCATGTGCTCCATAAATATATACACCTTCTATGTACCCACAAAAATTTTTAAAAAAAAATTTTTTTTTATACAGTCTCACTCTGTAGCCCAGGCTGGAGTGCAGTGGCGTGATCTCTGCTCACTGCAACCTCTGCCTTCCAGGTCCCAGTTAAGCAATTCTCTTGCCTCCCAAGTAGCTGGGATTACAGGTGCCCACCACCATGCACAGCTAATTTTTGTAAAATTGAAAAGGTCCAGAATAGCCTCTGTGTGTACAGAAGGTAGGAGTCTCCATGGTGACAGCTGATCTTGGGCTGGTCAGTATGCTTAGAAATAAAAAAGCATTAAAAAGTATGAGAATAAAAAAGGCTTTGCCGGGCTGAGGAGGGGCAGCTCATAAGACATCCTGTAGGCCAAGGTAGAAGAAGCTATTAATAGAAGATCTTATAGTGCCCCCATGTGGGGGGTTGGGGAAGCCCAGTGTGGAGGACCCTAAGCAGAGGGAAGTTGTGACCCCAGATAAAGATGACTAATGACTAGGGACCTGGGCTGAGGACTGATGGAGATTGGATAAGGGGGAAATTGGCTGTGGAGTCATACCTTAGACCCTGGTTGGGTAGGAAGTCAGGATCGCCTAGATGGAGCTATGGAGAATAAACAGAGCAGAAGTGTAGTGGTCTGTGCCACCCTGACCGTCCTGTCTCAGTCTTTCCCATGTGCTTCTTAGGTGCTGGTACAGGGCTGCCTCTTGGACCCTTCCCAGCGGGAGGTGTTCCTGCAGCAGATATATGAGCAGCTCTGCCTCTTTGAGGATAAGGTGGCCACCATGCTGCAGCAGCAGTACGATCCCCAGAGCCAGGTATGTAAGAGAGAAAGTGGGCAGAGGCAACTTAGAAAGAGGAGCAGCTAAGGACAGAGGGCAGAGAGGAGGGATAGTCCAAATAGGGCAAAAAAGGGCTAAGAGCTGGGGCAAAATGAGACAAGGATAGGCATGCTCATGACACACTCCCTGTTGGAGCAGGACTCAGATATACTCCCCAAAACACAGATTCTTTCAGGGAAAAAATGTGAAATCCATTTGTTTGCATTTTTTTTTAGCCCCAGATCTCCTCCAGTGGATCTGAGAAGGTGATTATGCGTGGCTTTGACCTCTAGTTAGCATTTTGTACAATCAGGGATAAAGCTGCCTAGGCCCACTAGACTTCCCTGTCTCATCACTTTGGGTACCCCAGAAGTAGCCAGGCAAATGGCAGTCCTGTGTGCCTGATGACTGGTCATGTAATTTGATTGAGGTATAAAATATTTCATAACAGTGATGGAAAAATGTGGAAAGGGGCCCTTCTTGGCAAAAGATGGAGAAGCCCTACTTCAGTACAGTCTGAAGCTTCATCTGATGCCGAACTCCCTTCACCTCTGAGGTTCAGTATCTGAGCACACACAGGGAGGAAGCACAGTCAAGACTCAGCCGCATAGTAGGGGAATTGAGGTTCTCACAGGATTCGGCCTGTCTGGCCTGAGAAGTGCTGGGCTATAAATTCTGGCTTTGCTATGGATGGGGCAGCAATGCCATCTGCCCCATTCTGTCTTTTCTGTAACTTGGGGCAGGCAGAAGACCAGTCCCCAGACTCAGGGGACCTACTGGGCCGGAAGGTAGGCGTCTCCATGGTGACAGCTGATCTTGGGCTGGTCAGTATGATTCGTCAGGGCATCTTGGCACTGCAGTTACTACCCTCGAACTCTAGTGCAGGTCAGTAGAAGGAATATTGGTGGGACTGGGGAAGCAGGGATACAGGAAGGGTGGGGCTGACTGCTAACAAAGATAGCAGTTCCAGGGAATCAGTGGGCCCCAGGGAAGAGGATCTGTTTCCTTGTTTGCAAAATGTAAGTCTGTATTAGTGTGTATCAGGAACCCTCGACTCTGACAACCATCAGAGACCCTAGAAGGAGTAGAGCTCCAAGGATATCACTTAGGGGAGGTTATGATCTGGCATTCAAGAGGAAGAAGCAGGAGGGTAAGGGAGAAGGAAAGGTGTTTGAAGTTTATAAAACTTCACAGTTTATGAAACTGCCGACATTGGTGGGAAGACACTGAGCCGTTCAGGACCCTGTCAGTTGGGTGCCTCCCTGTGAGTTTGGTCTGGCCAGTGTCTCCAGGTCTGATCTGGTGTTTCCTGCTCCAGGGATTATCGTGATCACGGATGGGGTGACCAGTGTACCTGATGTTGCTGTCTGTGAGACACTGCTGAACCAGCTTCGCAGTGGCACTGTGGCTTGTTCCTTTGTCCAGGTGAGGACTTTTTAGGAAGGACGAGAGAGATATGGAATATCTCACACAAAGTTGGGATGGCTGATTACTTTCTTACAGGCAGTGATTTCCCAGATAAAGTCAATTACTTAGTTACATGGGGGGAAGGAGTCATATCTAGAAGGTAGGTAGCATCGTGGGAGAGGACTCTTATTTTTTTCCTCTTTCCTTAGGATTTTGGAAATAGCTGTTAAAGCAAAAAGAATGCAGAATTTGAAATCTGACAGTCATTTCCAGTCCCACCTCCCCTTGTAGATTAGTCATTATTGTTTTGAGTGCAAGGGTCAGAAAACCCCGCTCAAACTAGCTTAACCAAAGGGGGAAAAGGCATAGCCAGGGACTGCAGCTAATTTGGATTGATGGACTGTAGGGAAGGAGGTAAAAAGCTATGGGAAACAAGGCTGAAGGGGTAGGCACAGGCCAGAACATGAAAATCTGGTTCTGCTTTATTAATGAGGTTAAGCATGATTCTGTGGGTGATGCAGATAGATAGAAGGAAAGTCATTAGTTGGGTTTATGTTTTATAAAGGTCACTCTTGCTGCTGGGTGAAGGACGGGGGAAGTCGGGGAGGCTACTAATTGCAGTGAGAGAGGATCAGGGCTTAAATTAGGGGTAAGAGGATTGAGAAAAATGAAGAGGCAGAGTCAACCTGACTTCATGATTAGCAAGATGGGGGTAAGGAGATGAGAGAGAAGCGGGCTTAAAGTTGTCTCCAAGTTTTTGACTCCAGTGATGACTGGGTAGCAGCAGAGCAAAAGGAAGAGAAGCAGTTGTGGTAGAGTGAGGATAAGATGATGAATGCAAGTTTGTGTATGTTGTGTTCGAGGTGCCTGTGGTTCAACACAGACAGTTAAGAACATCACCTTTGGAGTTAGGCATGCTGGTCTAAATCCTGACTGCACTTACTAACTGTGTGACATTGGGCACATCACTTCACCTCTAGGTCAGATTCATTTGTAAATGGAGATTGTAAAAGTACTTATCTCACTGGGAGGTGAGATGCATTTAAAGTATGTAGCATTGTACGTAATCACTTAAGAAATGGCTGCTATTTGTAGCAGGTAGCAGTTGAATACACAGATCCTGATATTCAGGAGACAAACACTGCTTGAGAGGTAGAGATTTAAGATTTATCAGGGTACAGATGGTAATTGAGAACAGAAGAGGGTCCTGGAAGAACTTTGGGGAACACCAGTGTTCAAGGTCTTTCATAGGAAGAGGGCCCAGCAAGGAATGAAGAATCAGCCAGGAACCAGAAGATTGTGATGTCAGAGAAGGTCAGAATTTTTGGAAGAAAATTTTACTGGATCTTTCTGCTGCTTCTCACAATGGTAACTACACTGTGAGAAGTAGCAAAAAGATCAAGTAAAATGAGGAATGAAAAGTGCCCTTTGGATTTGGTGATTAGGAGGTCACGGGGATCTTTTTCAGAGCCATTTTAGTGAAGAGGTGGTGAGGGGATTGAAGAGTGGATAGAAGGAAGGAAATAGGGACAAGTGTTGACAAAAGAAATTTGGCTGTTGAGATAAACAGCAGAGCAAGAGAGAGAATGGTAACCAGAGGGAAGTACAGGGTAAAGGAGTGTTGTGTTTTGTTTTTAAAGCTAGAGACTTAAGCATGTTTCTAAGGATCTGTAGTGAAGAAGAGTTTGAAAATAAAGGAAGGAAAAAGGAGGCTGGTGGAGTAAAGTCCCTAAATTGACAGGAGGGCATTGTCTTAAGAAACAGATTGAGGGATTCTTTTGGAGCAGGGAAGTGTCGTTTCTTTCTTTGAAAATAGAAAGAAGTGAAGATGTCTGCGAAGGGCCTCCGATTTCTCTCTGAAGTAAAAGGTGAAGCTGAGTACTGTAAGGAAGAGGCCAGAGTTGGGAAGAAGGAACAGTATTAAGGACTGCCCTGAAGGACTAGCTGAGTTGGGTGTCATATGTTTTGATGTGGTGCCAACCTACACAACTGTCAGTTTTCTCTGGGCACCACTGGCCAAGAATAGAGGCTATGATCGTAGTTGGGGTTTCGAAGAAGCAGATGAGAGTGAAGAGGGCCAGGGATTTGAGAGCGATGCTTATGAAGTTGTCTGAATGTAGGGTCCAAGCTGGGTCGAGAAAGGAGGGTCAGGACAATGTGGATAGATTTGGAGAGAGCAGAGGTTCAAGGCCTGGCAGTCTCAGTGAGGTCAAAGAGCAGCAGCAGGAGGAGGGTGGGAGGAAGCTAAGGGAATAGTGTTGTATGTAATCAGTGGGTTATGGCAATTTGAAATTGCAAAGATGAATTTGTTCCACATGAAGCCAAGAGCCAGCGTGTAGCCTATAGGCAGGTGAATGGAATAGAGTAAGTTACTGGAGATGAGAGTTAAGGAACTGAGAGGGCAGGGACTTGAATGAGTAATCTGGAGCAGGTCTGCAAACACTTTCTGCAAAGGCCAGTCAGTCTTTAAGCCTTGTGGGCCACTTGGTCCGTCACAGCTACTCAGCTCTGCTGTTGAAGCGTGAAAGCAGCCACAGACAATACAAAATGAATGTGTGTGGCTGTGTTCCAATAAAACTCGATTCACAAAAATAGGTGATGGACTAGATTTGGCCCTCAGGGTATATGTAGTTTGCTAATTTCCCACCTACAGCTATTGTATTCAAAATGTAGTCCACAGACCAGCAGAAAGCTTGTTTGAAATGCAGAATCTCAGGCCCCACCCCAGACCTACTGCATTTTAACAAAATCCCCAGGTGTTTTTCATACACCCTAAAGTTTGAGAAGTGTTGGTAAGCTGAAGTCTCTCAGGATGATGACAGGAAGTCAGTGAACCAGTTGCCAAAATCTTTAGTGAAGGAGGTGGTGGGCCTTTAGGTATCGAGGAGGAAGCAAAGAGGATGCTGTGGCCGGTTAGCATGGGCATCAGACAGAAGGGCTTAAGGAAGGAAAGACACAGACAGTGGTCTGTCCTGGGAAAACACTGGCCTACTTCCCACTCTGTGGTCCAGGGAATGGGAGCAGCCACCTAGCCCAGTCTCTTTCTCTCCTGTTCTTCCTTCTCCTATGCCTCTGTCAGAGCTAGGTCTTCAGTTGCTCACTTTTTCCAGGTGGGAGGAGTTTACTCTTATGACTGCAGTTTTGGCCATGTGCCCAATGTGGAATTAATGAAGTTCATCGCAATGGCAACATTTGGGTCCTACCTGTCCACTTGTCCTGAGCCGGAGCCAGGCAACCTGGGTCTGACTGTCTACCACCGGGCATTTCTCCTCTATTCCTTCCTGCGCAGTGGGGAAGCACTGAACCCTGAATATTACTGCGGTGAGAGGCACACTGAGGTGGGTGTGGGAAGGAGGGAATATAGAATGGGCCCAGAGATGATGGGGCCCTGGAGGACTGAAAGTGTAACTGGGGCTGGCTCTGCTGGCACTGTTACCTCACAGTCATTTCAGCATAGCCCCTTCCCCCTACAGATCTGTCAGTTGGCAGATAACCAGTTTCTCCTTCCCCATCTCCACTGGTCTTCCAGGCTCTCAGCACCGCCTATTTAATGAGCACCTGGTCTCTGCAAGCAGCAACCCTGCCCTGGCCTTGCGCCGGAAGAAGCACACTGAGAAGGAGGTGCCAGCCGACTTGGTCAGCACTGTGTCCGTACGGCTTCGAGAGGGCTACAGTGTCCGAGAGGTCACACTGGCCAAAGGTAAGGGTCATTAGGCCCTGCTGTAATCCCATAGATCTCTCAAGAATTTGTGTGTGGGAAGACCCACATGTATCACACATGAAAGAGTGTCACATTGAAGTCCTTATCACTTGAGACAGTGGGTTTTGAATTGTCATCAGGGCTTAATTCTCTTAGCATGGAGCTTCCCAATTCTATCTCCTTTTGCCCAAGGTGAACCAGCTGAGGGTGGTATAGGGTCCTGAACTTGGCTTAGTTTTCAGATTGTTTCTACAAACTTGTGTTTGTGTCAGTGGGCCAACTCTGGGCCTGAAACCTGTGGAACCATGCTTGGAACCTTTGGCAGGACTGGGTTCCATGAGGTAGGTGGGGGTTTCAGATAGAACTCGATCCCAGGCCTAGAGTCCTATGCCTTCTCCTAACTGGCCCTTCCGCTTCTCCCTAAGGAGGGTCCCAATTGGAGGTAAAGCTGGTGCTGCTGTGGAAACACAACATGCGCATTGAGTATGTGGCTATGGCACCCTGGCCCCTGGAGCCTGAGGGCCCTCGAGTAACACGGGTGGAAGTGACGATGGAAGGCGGCTACGACATTTTGCATGATGTGTCCTGTGCACTAAGGCAGCCCATTCGTTCATTGTATCGTACCCATGTTATCCGGCGTTTCTGGAACACGCTGCAGAGGTCAGTGAAGTCATCACTCAATGAGTGCTGCCCCATTTGTTGTATGGAGGGACAGATTTGCAAAGGCGGGAGCTGGGGAGCATCACCCAGAGAACCAGGCTTATATCCAGGGTCCCATGTCCCCCTAAGGCTCCCCTCATCTGCACCCAGCAGAGTCAGATATGGCTCAGGCCTGGCCCTTATTCTACAGCATCAACCAGACAGACCAGATGCTTGCCCACCTTCAGTCCTTCTCCTCAGTGCCTGAGCATTTCACGCTTCCTGACAGCACCAAGAGCGGAGTGCCACTCTTCTACATCCCTCCAGGCTCCACCACCCCGGTGAGTAGCTCTGAAGTATAGTAGCCCCATTTCATGTCAACTTGGGTTGCACAGCATCTGGAGCCCAGGACCACCACCTTCTATTCCTTTCTGTCTCACGTCTAAGGCACCTAAGCCAGAAGCCCAAGCTTTAACCTTGAGAGCTTCTCTTCTCCCTAAGGCCCCGGGGAAGAGGAGGATCTATACAGACAGGCTGTCCTGAACAGAGCACAGGTGGCAGAGGCAAAGACTCACACAGTGTCTAGGTGGTGGTATCCCAGTCCCAGCAGACCGTGAGCCCTTGCCCCATCTCCACGTGACATACTCTGGGCTTCCCCAGCCGCCTTCACCTGTGTGCATCCACCACCAGCCACCATGAACTGTGTACTCCCTGAAGACTACAGCTTCCTTGGTCCTGTGCTGTCTTCACACTCAGTCCACGCTGTCAGCCTAACACTGATGGGAAGGTGGCTTATGCTAGTGTGCAGTGGCCACATCATGAGGTCCTGCCACCATTTAGGGGCTTTTCTCCCAAGTCGGTGACATAAGCTGGGCTTATGGTTCCATCCTTCTGGATTCAGCTTTAAAGGGCTACACAGTCTGTCCCTGGGCTCAGTCATCCAAATCTAGCCTTCATAGTGGAAACAGTTTTTGCCTGTGCTTCAGGCTGGGCTGTAGCCTCAAACCACTGCTGTCTCTGACTCTCTGAACGGAGTCCACCCATGGTTTTGTTTGCTCTTTGGAGTTTGTACCCTGGTCCTCTGCAAATGCTCCTATAGTGCTGTCCTTCCTGTCCTCAGGTGCTCTCCCTCCAGCCCAGTGGTTCTGACTCATCCCATGCCCAGTTTGCTGCCTACTGGAAGCCAGTGCTGTCCATGGATGCAAATTCCTGGCAGCGATGGCTGCACATGCATCGCCTGGTGCTAATCCTGGAGCATGACACGTGGGTGCCCTTAGGGCTGGGCCATAGTTGGGGTGGAGTATCGGGGTCAGGGGGATAGGGAATGATGGGAAGGGGAGCAGCAGATGAGCTCTTACCAACTGTGGCCAAGGAAAAACTATAGCCTTTTCCTTGCCTCCCTGCTCTTCAGTCCCCATAACCTCAGGCAAGGCCTAGAAGAGAGTGATAGTAGTCTATTCCTTTTCTCCAAGCCTGGGGCCTGGAGGTCTAACCTCAGTCCACACCCCTCTTCCTAGACCAATCCCCAAGCACTTGCACACCCCGGGCAGCAATGGGCGCTACAGCACTATCCAGTGCAGGATCTCCCACTCCTCCCTGACCTCTCTGCTGCGGGACTGGAGCAGCTTCGTACTAGTCGAGGGCTATTCTTATGTTAAGCTGCTCTCCAGGTGGGCAAAGTGATGTCCCTTCACCCCCCGCCCCCCCACCCCCCCGCCACCTCATCCCATGTCTCCCTCTAACCCCAGACCTCACTGCTACTTCCTGCCAACCTTGGGCTGCTCACTGACTCCCATTTCTCCCCAGTGCCCCAGACCAGCCCCCCAATTCCTTCTACATGGTCCGTATCATTTCCAAGGCCCCATGCATGGTTCTTCGCCTGGGTTTTCCCATTGGCACACCAGCACCGGCCCGGCACAAGGTAAGCTGGGCCCTGACTGACTCTGACCAAGGAGCCCTAGGGTGTAGGATAGCTCCCTCTCCCCAAACCCCACAGGGCCAGGTCTAATAGAGGGAGGAGCCCCCAGACCAAGGAAGACCTGGAGAAGAGGGCTGTGTCTCACTTTGTCTGTGAGCCCCTTCTCCCAGACCTGTAGGAGATGGGAGTAAGAGGATGTGACCACATTTTCCCCTCAGATTGTGTCAGGCTTGAGGGAAGAGATCCTGCGGCTGCGTTTCCCCCACCGGGTACAAAGCAAGGAGCCAACGCCCAAGGTGAAACGAAAAGGGCTAGGGGGTGCTGGTGGGGGCAGCTCTCCCTCCAAGTCACCCCCCGTGCTGGGGCCACAGCAGGCCCTGTCTGACCGGCCCTGCCTTGTGGTCCTGCATAAGCCACTGGACAAACTGCTCATCAGGTTGGTACAGAGGTGTGGAAGGGCGTGGCTTAGCAGGGTATGAGTGGTACAGAGGTGTGGAGGGCATGGCTTAGCCCGGTGTGAGTAGTATAGAGGTGTGGAGTGCGTGGCTTAGTGGGGTATGAGTGGTACAAAGGTGTGGAAGGGTGTGGCTTAGCGGGGTGAGGTGTGGAAGGGCGTGGCTTAGCAGGGTATGAGTGGTACGGAGGTGTGGAAGGGCGTGGCTTAGTGGGGTATGAGTGGTACAGAGGTGTGGAAGGGCATGGCTTAGCGGGGTATGAGTGGTACAGAGGTGTGGAGGGCATGGCTTAGCCCGGTGTGAGTAGTATAGAGGTGTGGAAGGGTCTGGCCTAGTGGGGTATGAGTGGTACAGAGTTGCAGAAGGGCGTGGCTTAGCGGGGTATGAGTGGTACAGAGGTGTGGAAGGGCATGGCTCAGCGAGGAATGAGTAGGTCAGAGGTGTGGAAGGGTGTGACTTAGGGGGGTATGAGTGATACAGAGGTATGGAAGGGCGTGGCTTAGCGAGGTATGAGTAGGTCAGAGGTGTGGAAGGGTGTGGCTTAGCGGGGTATGAGTGGTAAGGAGTGTGGAAGGGTGTGGCTTAGCAGGGTATCAGTGGTACAGAGATGTGGAAGGGCATGGTTTAGCAGGGTATGAGTGGTACAGAGGCATGGAAGGGCGTGGCTTAGCCGGGTATGAGTGGTACAGAGGTGTGGAAGGGCGTGGCTTAGCCGGGTATGAGTGGTACAGAGGTGTGGAAGGGCGTGGCTTAGCCGGGTATCAGTGGTACAGAGGTGTGGAAGGGCGTGGCTTAGCCAGCTGTGAGTGGTACAGAGGTGTGGAAGGGCGTGGCTTAGCCGGGGATGAGAGAGATAGCTGGGGAGTTGTCCCATTTCCTAGGTATGAGAAGCTGCCCTTGGACTACCGGGCACCCTTCTTGCTGACATTGGAGCCACCAGGTCCACTGCCCTTGGTGTCAGGCCGCTCAGCCTCTTCTAGCCTGGCGTCACTGTCCCGCTACCTCTACCATCAGCGCTGGCTTTGGAGTGTCCCGTCAGGACTGGCCCCTGCGCTGCCTCTCAGTGCCATTGCCCAGCTCCTCTCCATCCTCACTGAGTATGTCATCCAAGCCTGCCAGGTCACTCGGGGCAAGGAGAGAGCAAGTGTAGACTGGGACACTAGCAAAAAGCCTATAGCACACACTTCTCCTCTCTAATTCCCAGTCTGAAGTATAGAGCAGCATCTGCTACTGCCCTCCCTGTCTCCTCCCATCACCCGATTTGTTTTGTCCTCTCTCATCCTCACTGGATTTGTTATACCCTGAGGGACCGCCAGTCTAAGCAGGGCCAGCAGCAGACTTGGCTCCTTGAGGACTGCTGGGAGGTGGGTGTATGTGGGGAGAGCTTGTAGTCTCAGTGTCTCTTCTTCCCTTATCCTGGCCTTGCCCCGGCCTTTATGGGGCTTCAGAGTCCGACTTTCTGAAGGATTCCACTTCGCCTGCAGTGGGGAAGGAATCATCAACATGGTTCTGGAGCTTCCAATTCAGGTACGTGCCATCCCCCATGACACCTCCCTGCCAAGGTCTGTCATAATCCCAGGGACACTCACCTCTGAGCTGGGTTGGGACTGCTGGAAACTGCCTCACAGGGACCCTGTGGCCAGAGGATGCTCAAGGTCTGAGGCTGCAGTCATAGGACAATTTGGTGAGGGAACTGAAATTCTGAGGGCCAGAGCTAGGCCAGGCCAGATCTCTGCCTTGGCTGGGATTTGCCCAAGATCTCCCATTTTGCCCACAGAATGAACCACCAGGGCAGGCTGCAGCTGAAGAGAAGCACACCTGTGTTGTCCAGTACATCCTCTTCCCCCCACACTCTACCTCCACCAAAGACAGGTGAGACAGGCCATCTGTGAGGGCCGCCTCTGCAGAGTCAGCCTTCTCCCCACCATCCCCTAGAGGTCTGGCTCCCATATCCTGAGATGATCTTGATCCCAAAGTCAGGGAGGGGGTGCGGTGTTTAGATGCTTCATCAGGCAGACGCTGGTCTGGGAAGGCCTTGTATGACTCGTGGCTGTCCTCTGTGCCTGCCTCCTTCCCTCCATGAGGTTCACTCCCTGCCATGAGGCTGTGCATTGGACTCAGAGCCCTTCCTCCTTTAGCTTCTCGACAGATGATGACAATGATGTGGAAGTGGAGGCCCTGGAGGGAGACTCAGAGCTCAATCTGGTCACTGAGGTGTGGGTGGAGCCACAGTATGGGCGAGTGGGACCTGGCCCTGGAATCTGGAAGCACCTCCAGGACCTGACGTATTCTGAGATCCCGCAAGCTGTGAGTGTCCTCAGAACAGTACCCGCACCTCTCTCACTGGATTGGGGTGCCATCTCTTTTGGAGTACTGCAGTCTGTGGGCTTCCTGGTCCCTCTGAATGGCTGGGACTGTTGAAGCTTCCTGAAGAGCTGGAACCCAGGGTATCCTGGGCTAAGAGGGGTTGACTCCTGACCTCTGATGTTCTTCCTGTAGCTCCACCCACGGGATGCTGCCTGCATAGGCTCCATGCTGAGCTTTGAATACCTGATACAGCTGTGTCAGAGCAAGGAATGGGGTCCTCTGCCCCCAGAGCCGAGGGTCTCTGATGGTGAGTGGGGCAGGCGGCCCACTGGTGGAGCAGGGGAGTGGGTAGGGTAATCTGCGTCTCACTGTGTCCTGTCCTTCCTCCCTCGTAGGATTGGATCAGGGAGGAGACACCTGCGTCCATGAGATCCCTTTCCATTTTGACCTAATGGGATTGCTGCCACAGTGCCAGCAGCTCCAGATGTTCTTCCTCTTGCTTGCCAGAGGTAGGTGAACCTGGTACCCTTTCACCCCACACCTAAAGGGCCAGCAAGCCTGGAAGTATTAGAAAATAACAAACAGATGGGTCAGCAAGTGAGCAGATGAGTGGTGGGGGCAGGAGGAGCCCATGAGGCTGAAGGAGGGGCCAGCTGGTCAGGGCTGAGCCGGGGGCACCGGGCAGCAGGAGGCTCTTGGTGCTGAGCAGAGTGTGTGTCGGGCAGAGCCAGAGGGTGTCCCTTTCGCCGAGGGGTCCTGTCCTGCCAACGACATGGTGCTGTGCCTGCTGCACAGCTGCCTGGGGCAGGAGCTGAGTGACCGGGAGATCCCACTGACCCCCGTTGACCAGGCTGCCTTCTTGAGTGAGGTGCTGCGGCGGACCTGCCACGTTCCAGGTGAGTTCCCCACATCCTCCTGACACCAGACCCTGGCCCAGCCCTTTTCCCCCACCCTCACAGGGTGATTTCTGTCTTTGAGTTTTGGCTTTCCCCTTCCTCCCCCTTTCTTCAACCCAGAGTCCCGCCTCTCTGCTGGCCCTGCCCTCTTTCACCCATCTCTACCCCCATTGTAGGTGCCGAGGGGCCACTGCTGGGGGTTCATGGGATCCCGAAGGAGCAAGCAGTCGGCAGCACCCAGGCCACAGGAGACTCCGCTTTTACTTCCCTGGTCAGCACCGATTCTTCTCCCTGAGCCCTTGTCACACTGACCTCCTTCCAGCACCACATCTTCAGGCCCCAACCTTCTACCGCCCTTGAGACTAAATGGCATCTGCCAATGACACAATGCCGTCATTTTCCATTGTCCTGGATCTTTCAAGCTATACCTAAGATGAGTCAGCTCTAGGGTGGAGGAGGGGAACAGGGGTTGGACATTCCCTTATAGATTGCTCTAATTTCTGTTTTTCTCTTACAGAGTGTAGGTCTTCCTGAAACTCTCAAGCCTCTCATCTCTGCCCAGCCCCCTCAGTGGCGCTGCTATGCAAGGCTTGTGAACCCCCAGCATGTGTTTCTGACTTTTCTCCCAGCTACCTTCTCAGGTGCCAGCTGCTGACCTCCTCACGAACCCCCTCAGATACAAACCCCTGAGCTCCCTCACTGGCCCACCAGGCAGCTCTGATTTATGTCTGATCCTCTTCAGATGTCCAGCGTCTGGCTGCCTGTGGCCTGGAGGGACCCCCTCAAGAGGAGACAAAGCCTAAGTTTGGGGATTGGAGTGGGGCTCCCAGTCTGAAAGATCTAGGAGGAACTGGGATCAAAGCTACAAAGTCCCACGTCCCTGTCCTCAGTGTGACCCTGGCTAGTGGTAAGGCTGCCGACTCAAGGTGGGCAGGAGTGGGAGTGGGAAACAGATAGAGCTGGAAGACCACGTGACACCTTTTCTTCACAGACAATGCCCAGAATCAAGGAGAGCTAAGTCCACCATTCCGTCGAGACTTACAGGCTTACGCTGGGCGTCAGGCTTCCCAGACAGAGAGTGCGGATGGGCCCCGGACCCGGTGTCCTGTCTACATCTACAGCTGTTCACTGGAAGCGCTGAGGGAACAAATGGTTGGCATGCAGCCCCCTCAGGCGCCCCGAGACCTCATCTTCCGGTGAGTGCCTTCAGTGTTGACCTAAGTCCTCGCCGGGCCATGGCTCCCAGCCAAGAAATAAGTACACACTAATAGGCGTGGGCAGGTAAGTTGCTGCCATATCCTGCTGGCTCCTTGCTTGATTTCCCTCAGCAAACCCTTGAACTTGCTAGGCCATGAATACACTTGATATGTGTCTATAGATGATCCATTGGAGTGTGGATGGCTAATGAGTGTGAGGTATCACTTAAGGGAGTTGGTCAAGTTCCATTTTCCCTTCGTTTCCTAGGACTCAGTTCCTCGACCACCCCTCCCCATCCTCAGCCTGGATGGAACCCCGGTACAAGGAGGCAGCTAACCACTGTGCCCTGCTGCAGGAGCATGCACAGCGGTGCTATGTCCGTGGTGAGCAGGAGGGCCGTGGGAGGGAGGAGTGGGGCCCTGCGGGAGATACAGGGATTACAGGGTGGGGACTGGAGAGGCCATTCCAGAGCTCAAGCCTCATGGCCCCTTCCACTTCCATCAGGGCTATTCCGCAGCTTGCAGCAAGCACAGAGTGTGACCTCCCAGGATTTGCTGACAGCGGTAGATGCCTGTGAGGAGCTACTACAAGAAATAGACATCACCCCATTTCTCCTTGCATTGTGTGGCCACACTTGGGGTTTGCCTCATGCACCCCCAAGTCCTGGTCCTCTCAGCCCTGGGCCCTTCAGCAGCAGCATGGAGGAGGGTGCTGAACCTCGGGAACGAGCTATCCTAGCTTCTGAATCCAGGTTAGGATTATACTTGAATGATGGATAAGGGGGTACACAGACCAAGTCCCTATAAACAAGGACCTTCCAGTCCAGGGGAATGACTGTGCAAGGTAGTATCTAAGCACCTGAGAAGCAGTAGTGCTTTGTCGCCGGCTCACGGACTCCCATGCAGCCTTCCTCACCAATTTGGCACAGGCAGCAGTCTCCCTCCCAGGCTCTCCCCATCTCCCCTGCTTTGGTGTTGAGTGATGAGCTGAGTCAGGGATAGGGAGTCCCCTGGTGCTAACCGTGAACGTAGAGACTTGTTCTGAGGACATCCACACAATAGTAGGAATCTCCCCAACCAATCTGTGAATTTCATGGGGGCCAAAACTGTATTTTGCTCACTGCTAAGTCCCCAGCTCACCTTAGGGGCTCAGCAGGTCCCTGTTGAAGGGAGGAAGGGGAGGAGAGAAGGAGAAAGGCAAGCAGGCAGACAGCTATGGGTCTAGCATCTGCAGTGTGTTAGCGTTGGGGAAACAGAAGAACTAGAAGGATGGATATGCTGATGACTCCTAGATTGGAACTCCGGTCCGGTTCTTTCTCTGGAGCTCTAGATACTCACTTTTTGTGCCCCCCAAATGAATGCATTTTCTTCCCACTAACCCTTGATTTTTCTTCATTCATGGTGAAAAATATCACCCTCAATCTAGTGATCCAAGTCAGAAAACTGGGAGTTATCGCTACTCTGTTTCATAGAAATCCCCATCCATCAAGAAATATGAAAGTTAAGGCTGTAATATGAAATATTACAGTCACTCACTCCTGTAATCCCAACACTTTGGGAGGCTGAGGCGGGAGGATCACTTGAGCCCAGGAGTTCAAGACCAGCCTGAGCAACCAGGGGAGACCTTGTTTCTACAAAAGAATTTAAAAATTAGCTGGGCGTGGTGGCATATGCCTGTGGTCCCAGCTACTCAGAAGGCAAGTGGTGATGGCGCCACTGCACTCCTACCTCAGCAACAGAGTAAGACTCTGTCCCAAAAAAAAGGAAAGAAAAAAGAAAAAGAAATATGGAGGTTAAAGCCAAAATGTGTAGGTTGGTTCTCTTTGCCTCTTTTACCACCCATGCCATTACGCTAAGTACTCTTCCTGTGGACAAAAAGGCTTCCTGTGCTGCTCCCCAGTTGAGAGGCAGGCTACTTCAGAGCTTGATGGTTCTTAACACTTCAACATCCTTACCCCAACCATTCAGCATAGAGACCGAGGACCTAAGCGAGCCTGAGTTTCAGAGCACCCGTGTCCCTGGCATTCCAGACCCTGGGCCAGAGATCTCTCTGACAGATGTCTGCCAGCTCAGAGGAGAGGCCCATGGTGCCCTTCATAGCGTCATCCAGGTGGGAAGCTTGGGTGAGGGTAGAAGAGGTGTTAGAGTCCTGCCTGTGCAGAGGGACAGGATTCTCTCCTGGGCGGGGGGTATGCATGTGTCCTGCTCTAGGGTAGGGAGTAGTATCCTGTTGAGGGGTGACTGACATTCTAACCTCCTTCTAAACCCCACAACAGGAGAAGTTCCTAGAGATCAGTCGTCTCCACTTCCGCACAGTGCCTTCCAATCCCCACTACTTCTTCTATTGCCCTCCATCCAGCAGGCGAGAAGTGAGTGGCTCTCTTCCTTACCTCTCTCGTGCCCTCAACCCAGAGGCCCACCCAGACCCTCTTGAGTCTTGGTTCCCTGAGGCCTGGATGTGGCTCTTGTCTTGCCTTAGATCAAGCTGTCTAAGGCAAGACAAGTGTAATCCCACTTGCCTAGGATGAGGCAAGTGGGATTCTTGCCTCATCATCTTGCTTCATTCTTTTGCCTAGGATGAGGGGCCTCGGGACACAGTAGACAGAAAAATCAGTGACCTGGAGTTTTCAGAGGCTGAGCTTATGGGAGAAGAAGGTATGTGGGCAAGTGAGTCAAGGTGGGGAAGGCTGGCTGCTTCACGCCGAGATTCAAGGGTTCCACTGCCAGCCTCTCTCATTGACCATGTGACATGCACTACTAGGAGACACATCTGCCTGCTGTGTGGTCACTGAGAGTGACCCAGAGCTAGAGGTAGAATACCGGGAGAGCCGTGAATCAGACCTGGGGCCTGCTGGGCTAGACTCTGCCTCGCTGTCAGACGTAGACACTGTGAATCCTGATGAAGACTCCTTCAGTATCTTGGGGGGCGACTCACCCACTGGGCCTGAGAGCTTCCTTCATGACCTGCCACCGCTCTTCCTGCACCTCACGTGCTCCGTGCGGCTACGTGGGCAGCACAGCTCAGTACCTGTGTGCAGCCTGCCTACCTGCCTGGGTGAGTTTGAGGCAGCCCGAGGGAAAGCCAAAGGTCCTGGAACAGCCTGCCTAAGTGGGAGTGGAGGGGAGCCTAGGGTTATGTCTTTTAACACATAGATCTTGGAATCTGTGCTTGTCTTAGAGCCCTCAGCAACTGCTAACTTTCCCCCTCTCCCAGGCCAGGTGCTTTCCAGTCTGGAGGGCCCCCCAGTTGGAGGCCGAGTTCCCTTGAGGGACCTCAGTGTGACTCTGGATGTCTTCATGCTGACTTTGCCCCTGGAAGTGGAGCTCCCCACGGCCTCGGACCCTCAGCACCACCGGTGTGGCAGCAAGTTTGGTGGGGGGTTTGGGACCTTTTTAGGGTAGGGGGACCACTAAGCGAATCTAGAGCACTTGGGGACTAAGGAGACCTTGAGGAGTCCAAGAATGAAGTAAGGAGGAGGCCCTGGTAGGATAGTAACTCCTGACCTTTGACTTGTTCCCACCCTGTTCAGGTCAACATCTGAAAGCAGTGCTTCATTTCCACGATCCCCAGGGCAGCCATCATCTTTAAGGTCAGATGATGGCCTCGGGCCCCCACTGCCACCCCCAGAAGAGGAGAGGTACTTCTTTATCTCCCTGTCAGAGTTCATTACTGCTTTTCAATTTCATTTTCTGGAAACCAATATCTAAACCTTTCTTCCAATTAGGCACCCAGGACTATCCAATTTGGCCACGCCCCACAGACTGGCTATTGAGACCACCATGAATGAGGTGAGCCCCCCACCCCCAACACTGTAACTGATTCCCTTTCCATCGTATGAGTGAGATAAGGTACCCCCTTTGTTCTGGGATAGAAGTGAGGCCTCTCTCAGTCTGTGAGGCAAATTATCTTCTAGTCCGGGAGTAAGGGGATGCCCAAGGAAGCAAGGGAGATGCCCTTTGTCACTTGCTGTCTAACTGTAGATCCGCTGGTTGTTGGAAGATGAGATGGTGGGGGCACTCCGAAGAGGGGGCATCCCACAGAGTCCTGCCCTGCACCGCGCAGCTGCCCATATCCATAGTTCTCCTGGACGCTCCACCTGCCTTCGCCAAACTCTGCCACTGAGTTTTGTATTTGGGCCAGAGCGTTCCCTCACACAATTCAAGGAGGTAAGTTGCCCTCCAAACACTGCAGGGTCACCTTGGGGCCCGTCCTTCCCTGGGCCCCAGGCACAGGACTGGAAGGCCCTCTGTTAGTTCGAACTCATAGAGTTATCCCTCCTGTCTCCCTGCTCACCACATCATCTGCCCTAACCCCTGTGCTTGGCAGCCCAACTCACTGGAAAGAAACCCAGCTCCCAACCTGGTCACTGCTCCTGTTGAACCTTAGGCAAGTCACTGAATCTTTTCTTACCTCAGCAGTGGGGATGCCAGCATCTGCTTTACCAGGTAGTTAGGAGCGTCTCATGAGGAAGTGTAGCTCACCATGTGTAGGGAGGACTGCCCTGCCTAAACTGTGATCTTGGCTCCTGCTCTCTAGGAGTTCCGCCGCCTCCATCTCCCTGGCCATGTTCTTCTTGAAGACCCTGACAGTGGCTTCTTCTTTGTGGCAGCTGGCCAACAGCCAGGTGGGTCCCATGGGGAGCCTTCTTCAGCGGCCTGGGCTTGGCACAGTCATGAGGACAGGGCTGAAGGCATCGAAGGGGAGGTGAGTCTCACCTGGGAATGGAGGGGGGTGGTGGGTGTGTGGGGCCTATACCTCAGTCCTGACTTCCTATTCCTCAGACCCTGACAGCCAGCCCCCAAGCACCTGGGTCCCCAGAGGATTCTGAGGGTGTCCCCCTCATCAGCCTGCCCCGCGTGCCACAGGGAGGTAAGAGAGGACTTGGGCAGCAGTCTGGAGGCCAGGACCAGATCCCTGACCATGCTTCCATTTTTGGAGGGAGGCCCTAGACAGGATTGAGAGAGGCTCCAGGCATTTTCCTTCTCTATCCAGGGAGTCAGCCTGGGCCCAGCCGGGGATTAAGTCTCATGTCCAGTCAGGGCAGTGTGGACTCAGACCACCTAGGTAAGCTGGGGGGACGGGGTGAAGGACTCTAAGCTGATGGGAGGTGGGCTTAGGGCTGTACTGGGAAAGGTCTGGACAGGAGACATCAGAAGGGACTAATCTGAAGTGCATCAAGCCAGATGCACCTGGAGGATCAGATGAGTCAGGCCCAGCTTCGGATGGGATTGACCTTCAATGCATCTGACACAGGTTATGATGGTGGCAGCAGTGGCTCAGACAGTGAGGGTCCCAATGACACCCTTGGTGAGAAGGCCCCCTTCACATTGCGGACTCCACCTGGGCCAGCACCTCCACAGCCTTCACTCTCAGGCCTCCCTGGGCCCTGCCTGCCTGACTTCTGGCTCATTGTCCGGGTCCTGCAGGACCGTGTGGAAGTGTATGCACATGCACGGTAAGTAGAAGCCAGGGCCTGCACCCTCATGCTCCCATTAACCTCTTCTCTCTGCTCCCACAGTACCTCTCTCCAGTGTTGTTAGAAGTAAGACTTGGGACTGAGAGCTTGGGTAGAGATCCAACTTGTATTCTTAGGTTGGTGGTTCCCGATCACTTCCCACATCTTACAGCTAAGCACATCACATTCAACTGTCTTATAGATGAGAGTCGAAAAGCTGATGGGGATTTTGGCTTCTCGCTGAGCATTAACAACATCTAAGGATCAGAGCAGCTTTAGAAGTTCGTGTATAAAAATAAAGCATAATAAGGCTGGGCGTGGTAGCTCATGCCCGTAATCCCAGCACTTTGGGAGGCCGAGGCAGGCGGATCACTTGAGGTTAGGAGTTCGATACCAGCCTGGCCAACATGGTGAAACCCCGTCTCCATTAAAAATACAAAAATTAGTTGGGCGTGGTGGCAGGCGCCTGTAGTCCCAGCTAATTGGGAGGCTGAGGCAGAAGAATCTTGAACCTGGGAGGTGGAGATTGCAGTGAATGAGATTGTGCCACTGCACTCCAGCTGGGGCAACAGAGCAAGACACTGTCTCAAAAAATAATAAGGCATAATAGCTAATATTTATCAAGTGCATACTATGTGGTAGGCACTGTTCTGGTGCTTACATGAATCCACTCATTTATCTACATAACCCTACGGCGTATTAATGTCCTTATCATATGGGTGAAGAAACTGAAGCACAGGCCAGTTAAATACTTGCCCAAGGCCACAGTAAGTGACAGAGCCAGGATTCCTGCATAGGCATCAGTTCACTACTGCTCTCATCTCGGGTGGGTGGCATATGCAGGGTAAGGTGGGGCTGAGAAGAAAGGAAGACCACCATTCTGAAGAAGACTTGAGAAGAAAGAAGAGGTGCACAGCATAAAGGAGCCTCAGTGTGGTACCCGTATGGGAGCTGGTGAAGCAAGCGTGGAGCCTCGGCATCCAGAACTGCTCTTGAGAATTCCGTCTCTTCCATTTCCCACCAGGTTTACCTCTGTCCAAGCCTGCTCCCTTTTCATGGTTTCTCTTGGCCCCACCTCCATGACTTTCTCTCCCCCTCGTGATACGTATAACTGCAGTTATGTCATATACATATCATGCCATTACATATAACTCCTCCCCACTGCAGTTCTGGTCAGATTATCCTTCCTTCCCAGGAGCCTGATTCGGGAGGATGGGGGGCCGGGCACTGAGTGTCGCCACCTGCAGCAGCTCCTGGTGAGGCGAGTTGGGGAGATCTGCAGGGAGGTCAACCAGGTAAGGGGCAGGACTCTCCAGACCCGGACACACAGAGCAGATGAGAACCAAATTTCTAAGAACTTGATTTTCAGAGGCTATTGGTCCATTTCAGAATCAATAATTATGGAAAGTTTTTGACTTCCCCAGTTAGTAGGATGCTGTTTCTCCCCCAGCTCCCTACAGCCTTGGGAGTGCTCCACAACCCACCCCCAGTAACAGTGGGTTACTCTCTCATACCATCCCAGTAACCATGAGATACTCCCTCTCATTGCACTGTGCTAGCATTAGTGATATACTAGTGACCCAGACAGAGGGACGCTGTAACTCTGTGGAGCTTGTGTAGAATGGGGGACAGTTGAACAACTGAATTACACAACTTACTTCAATTACAATTGTGAAGAATCCTAAAAGGAACAGTAGAAGCTGCTACGAAAGCATGTAACAGGGATCTGACCATCTGAAGTATCAGGGAAAGCTTCTTAGAGGAAGTGATTTTTAAGCTGAGACTCGACGGATGGTGAACAGATTCTGGCACCAAAGGGGCAAGTGTTCCTGACTGAGAATCACTCTCAGAGGCCTGAGCTTTGACCTCTCTGTGATGACTGATATTCTTGTTGACCTCCAATCCCCAGTGATAGTGGTCATTCTCTCTGGCATTTGATCACCCCTGACCACCACCACCCACTTAGGAGGAGGTATTTCAGTTCCCTGACCTCATGCTCCTTCTCCCAGCGACTGCTTCTTCAAGACCTTCATGACAGCCACGTGTGTAACTCTCTTCTGGTGGCCGAGAGTGAAGAAGATCTGTGGCGCAGTGAGACTCCCTTCCACTCCCGTCAGCGGGCACCACTGCCCAGTGATGGTGAGATCCCACCCAGGAGCCTCCCTCACAAGGCAGTGCTGCCGCCCTTTCTTTTACCGAATACTCTGGTGAAAGCTGAGGGCAGAGTCCTCATTACTTGGTCATCAGTGCCAAGTACTAGAGAGAGAGCAAGGAGGATAGGACAGGAAAGGATCACTGGCCTTGGCTGCTGCTGCGAGTTCATCAGTGATTTTCATGGAAGTAATTTCAGTAGAGAGATGGGAATAGAAAGCAGATGAAATGAAAAGTGAAAGAGGGTGATAGGTGGGGCAGAGAATAACTACTCTTACAAGTAGCTTGGCAGTGAAGAGACAGAGAAAATAGATACGGCAGTAACTAAAGGAAGATGGGGGCAAGGAAGGAGCTTTAAAATAAAGTAGAGACTTGAGCTTGTTTATATTCTATAGGGAAAGAGCCAGGGGAGGGGGAGAGGTTGAAGAATACAGAAGAGGAGAGATCACTGAAGGGGCACCAGGCCATGATCTGTCTTCCTAAGAGTCTGCTTCTGCCTGGCCCTGTCTTGTTAACCAGAATGACCGTCTTTCCCTGGCAGGGAAATAGTCAGGAATGAGGAGTTTGGGAGAGTGAGAACAAGCGGGCCAGTTCCCAAGTAAGAGAAATCCAGAGGGGAGGAGCCTGAAGGCCAGTAGAATTGCCTTCTGATTGGCTGTTCCTCCAGACAGGCAGCCACAGGACTGCTTTGGGATTTCTAGTCATGGTAAGGGAACATGATAATCCACTCAAGATGGTAACTGAAGTCTCGACACTTCTCCCTTCTCTTACTCCTGATGACCTCTCACCCAGACGGATAGAGGAAAAGCTGAACCATAACATTCCTTTGCAGTTCTCCTCTGGTTTAAAAGTAAAATCAGACCACTCCTTATTTTTAACATTCTCAGCAAGTCTGTAGACAAACGTTTCTGATATCTCCAGGAGAATGCATCTCTCAGCACATCCTGGGATCTCCTCCATATCGAAGCAGAGTCCCCATAGTTAGTGGATTCCCATGGTTTCAAAGGCATCTTCTGCAAATTGAAGATGAGCTAGGACAGGTGAACAATTTTACTTCAGAATGACTTCCGGCAGCCTAAGATGTAAGACCAGTCAGAACCCAGACACAGCCCTTCCTCATTTTAGTCTCTCCAGAATTTTTCCCTGAAACCCTTAGCAACCAGCATTCCATTCCAGAGCCTCTGCCTTTACACAGAAACTTCAGCCTCCTGGGTAGCCTGTGTGCTGTTCACACTTGACAGCAGCTTCTCTGAGAAAACTGCCACTTTGATTCACCAGAAGGCTCCCTGGAAACCTGAAAAGGGTCGAAGGAGGCATTGTACTGTGGCCATGGGCTCCTGTGTACTGCCACACTACCCTTTGGGTTTATTGGCGTTTCTGTCTTCCAAAGCCCAGGACAAAGTTTATCCCTCCTCTGCAGCTGGTGTGCATAAGCAGCCATACCCTTTTGGTTTTAATGAGATTACTGTTGCAACTCCCTGGAGGACATAGTGTTAGAGTGCTACTGACATATATTATGACAGGGTCAGAATCTCTTGGCATGATCTTGAGGATTTCCTCATGCTTTGCCTGCCTTGATACCTCTCATTAGCTCCTTCTCTAAGTCTCCTTGAGATAGTTCTGGAAGCCTTTGTGCTATATGACCTGTGTTCCTAAGGGCATGCATCTGCCTGGCCCTGTCGTGTTACCCAGAATGATCATCATTTCTCTGCAATAGTCAGGGATGAGTCTGGAGGAGTGAGGACAAGTAGGCCAGTTCCCAGGTGAGAAGTCTGTGGAGGGCAGAGGGTGGTGTGTCCCATTTCTAATCCCTGCTCCCCCTCACCCAGATTATGCTGCTGATGAGAGCTGTGCGCCCCGTGGGTACCTGGCAGCCACAATGCAGTTTGTCCCTGGCCATTTCTCCTGTGACGTTGTGTGGGGAACTGTGATCCGAGTCCATTCACGCCTCAAAATGGGGCCCAGCATGGGGGTCTCTCGGGGTATGTGATTGGCATGAGAGGGCAGGTGAGCATTGGAAGGATCTGGAAAAGGCAGTTTCCTGAGCCCATGTTATTCCCCCAGCCATCCAGGCCCTGCGCTCTGTGCTCAATGCCTTCTCTGTGGTGAACCGGAAAAACATGTTTGTTTACCAGGAGCGAGCAACAAAGGCTGTGTACTATCTTCGGTATGTGGCCCTTGGAAGGTGGGTAGGGCATGAATTAAGGATGGCCTGGGAGGAGGCATGTCCAAAGACATGCTGCTCTTTCCCAGGCTCCTAGAGACATCCTGCAGTGACCGGCCATGGAAAGGGGATGCGCTGCCCCCTTCCCTCGCTCTGTCCCGAAGCCAAGAGCCCATCTACTCTGAGGAAGCCTCGGCATGTATCACTCCCACTCTCTGATGCCCCTGTGTTCCTCTTGCACTTTGCTCTCTGGAACCGGGGCCCTGACCACAGTTTTCCCTGTAGGGTCCTCGTTCTCCCTTAGACATGGTCTCTAGCCGCAGTTCAGATGCTGCTCGTCCTGTGGGCCAAGTGGACAGACATATCCAGCTGCTGGTCCATGGTGTTGGGCAGGCAGGTAAGGTCTGAGGAGGGGGTAGGGGAGTCGCCACATGAGGTTCCAGAATCCTCTGGGACTTCTCTTAGAACCTTGCAAGCATTACACTAGAAGTTATGTAACAGTCTCAGCCCAAGACCTGACACATGTTAAGTGAGCCATAAATACTAGCTGGAGGCTCCAGACCCTCTGGGACTTCTCTTAGAACCTCCTATTACTCTGCCCTGGGTCCCTCCTCTAGTTCCTGCTGTGCTCGGGTCTTTCCTCAAGCAGGAGCTGCATGGGAAGGGACTGGCTTCTGCCATGTTCAGGGTTAGGACTGCAGTTGACTGAGGCACAGCTTGGGGAAGGGGAGCTGGGGTGGCTGGAGAACTGGTGGTGCCACCGACCTGATACCAGACTGGGTTCGGGGTGAAGAGGATGGTTATTTGGGATATATTTTGCCCCAGGTGTCCAGTAGGCAACTGGATTTTCCAGCTAATATTTATAGCTCAATTAACATGTGCTGGTCTTGGGCTGAGACTGTTAAATAACTTCTAGTGTAATTCTTGCAACAAACCTATGAGGGCGATGCTATTATAATTCTCATTTTATGGATGAAGGCACAGAGGTTTTGAGAGTAAAACTCAAGTGTCCATAGTGACATAACGAGTAGTTTGGCAGAATTGGAACCTAGTGCTGGCTACCTCCAGAGCCAGCACTCCTAACACTGCCTCTAGTATACAGGGGATTCTTTGAGTTTGGCATGATAGGGCTGCTATGGAGGTAGCTGGATCCTCTACCAGTGTCCCCACCTTCCCACCATGGCTGTGTCAAGGTCCTGAGATCACGGATGAGCTCGTGCGAGTTCTATGTCGGCGCCTGGATGAGGCCACGCTGGACGTCATCACAGTTATGCTTGTTCGGAACTGCAAGCTGACACCAGCTGATGTGGAGGTCAGCTCCCCTCTAGGCACCAGCATCCTTCCCAGACTCAGCCACAGGTTCCAGGACAGTCTAGGCTGGAACTTCTGCATTCAGCTCTGCCCTCTTCTTCCCACTCTGCAGTTCATCCAGCCCCCTGGAAGTCTCCCCTCAGAGGTGCTGCATCTGGCCCTACCCACCTCCTGCAGGCCCTGGCTTCCAGCCCTGGCATGGTACCTACGGCAGAACTTGCTCATCTTCCTGCACTCTCCCAAGTACACAGATAGCAACAGCCGGAACCACTTCCAAGTGAGATGGCACTCATCTCTCTCCACACTCATGTGCACCCCTGCCCCCTGCCCCACGCACTTACTCTTTCCTACCGATACCCCTATATGTACCTTTGCCCATGGACCTGGGTACACCCATGCCCCCCCGGGGACCATTATTACCCGCCTGTGTCTTCTCATGCTCCCATATCTACCTGCACCACATTCCCCACTGTGGGCACCCATCCCCGAGGGTTTTGTCCATTTGCTTGCTCTTAGTGCTCTGTGGCTGTTCTTTCCCCAGCATCCACTCCCACCACAGGGTGGCCTCCCTGACTTGGACATCTACTTGTATAACAAGCCTGGTGGACAGGGCACTGGGGGCAAAGGTACGGTGCAGGGCACGGGCCTGTGGCACCACCAGGTGAGGGAAAGCCTTTTGTCATCCTATTGCTAAGAGGACATTTCCCAGGCTTGCAGCTGAGTGGAGGGTCGTGGGAGGGGTGGTCTGCAAGTCCCAGAGCTGAGCCTTCCTATGGATTTCTACCCAGGGGTTGCCTGCATCACTCTAGCCTTTGTGGATGAAGGAGGGGCCCCCTTGTCACTGGCGTTGTGGCCCCCCTCCTCTCCGGGGCCCCCAGACCCACTGCGAGAGGAGGAATTTGAGCAACTGACCCAGGTCATCCGCTGCCCGGTTGTTGTGGACAGTTCTTCAGGTGGGACAGCTTGGTCAGAGGATGAGGTGTTCAGTTATTGCTGTGGGAGGTAAGGGTGGTGAGTAGAGTGGGATCTAGGGACACCCTCAAGTGTCCCTGTTCTCCTTCCAGCTCAGAATGGGGCCCCACGGCTTCGATTGGATGTGTGGGAAAAGGGGAACATTAGTATTGTGCAGCTGGAGGAGAAACTCCGAGGAGCAGCTCGCCAGGCCCTGGCCGATGCCATCATCGAGCTTCAGCTGCTGCCAGCTTCACTATGTACAGAGGACACACCCACAGGTATGCAAGTCAAGAGGTCCCTGGGGTCCAGAGAATGTCACAGATCCAAGCAGGACAGTGTGGCAGGTGAGCGTGCAAAGGTGGGGTTTAGGGGAAGCATGTCAGAGAACTACTACATCAGAACCACTTATTCACAGTTGTCCGTGAGCTTGTCTGGGCATCATCCAGGTGCTACACTGGCAGCAGTGAACGGATGCAGCTGCTCACCCACTTAGAGAGGGCTATTGCATCAGAGGCTCACTTCACACAAACACATGCAGCAGCACACTATCAGTTGTATATACTGTCATTCACTGACAGGTAGAATAGGTGGCAAGTCACTGTCATACCAGTCTTGAGGTTCAGTTTTCTAGAATGGGGATTGATGATCAGTGATGGGTGTCTGTAATGTCTGATGTCCACAGGAAGTCTCAGGAACGGATCGTTGGAAACTAAGAGCTCTGCAGGCCGAGCTAGCACCTTTCCCCCTGCCCCTGTCCCTGGGGAGCCTGTGACTCCACCCAGCAAAGCGGGCCGGCGTAGCTTCTGGGATATGCTGGTAATGGAAGAAGTGGTGAAGTGGGCATCTACCTTTCTGCCTGCCTCCTAGCTCCTCCCACACTCCCTCCTGCTTCCCAGTCCCCCATAGGCCTTGCCACAGTGTCCTTTCATATAAAACTGCTCTGTCCTGCCAGACACCATGGCGTGTACCTTTAGTCCCAGCTCCTCAGGAGGATGAAATGGGAGGATTTTGCTTCAGGCCAAGAGTTCAAGGCTGTAGTACGTTGTGATCATGCCTGTTAATGCACTCCAGCCTGGGCAACACACAAACACTCTGTCTCAAAAAAGCAAAACAAAAACTGCTCTGTCTTTTGGACTGGAGTTTGTAGAATGTGGCAGTTCTCACTGATGTAGAGGGAGCCTTAACTTACTATGTGCCTTCACTTCCATTTTTCTTGTCGGATCCTCACAACAGCTTGCAAGATAAGTAGAGCTTTTACAGTGAGGAAGGTGAGGCTCAGGAAAGTTAGGTAACCTGCCCAAGGCTCCTTAGCCAGCCCCTGGGGAAGCCAGGGTCTGAACCCAGACCTCTGAATCCTCCTAGCTCACTGCTGTTCCATAGTGCCCCCATCCCACACCTTTCCTCTTCCCAGTAGCCCTTCCTCATTCACTGCATTGCCCCCAGAGTAAAACAGAATGTGGGGATTTGGGTTCCCCCAAAACAACTGATGACATTGTCCTGGATCGGCCAGAAGACACTCGGGGCCGGAGGCGTCACAAAACCGAGAGTGTTCGGACTCCTGGTGGAGCTGAGCGGGCGCCAGGCTCAGATTCTGGAGCCCAGAGACAAAAGTATGTGTGTGGTGGTGGTGTGCCCTGGGAGGGTATGGGTGTGAAGTCACAGATGGGCCTTGGTCTGTATAAACATACAAGTGTCATGTATGGACATGAGGCTCTTACTCCCACTGTCTTCAGGCGCCGGACAACACAGCTAGAAGAGGGTGAGGTGGGGACCCTTCATCCTGTGTTTGCCCGTGTTGCTCAGCGCTGGATGGAGTTTATGGTTCAGATTGGTGAGACCCCAGCCTCCCCTCCCATCCCTCAACCCCAGCCTGGTCTCCATCCTGCAGCTCCACAGTGACTCCTCTGCCTCCTAGGTTGTGCCTCAGTGTCCAGAAGCTCTGCCCACATGGTGTCCCGGTTCCTCCTTCCATCCATCCTGTCTGAGTTCACCGCACTGGTCACCTCAATGGCTGGAGACACCAGTGTCCGCATCTTTGAGCAGCATTTGTGAGTGTAGATCCTATAGAATTGAAGGGAACTCCCCTAGACTTCCTAAAAGCTGGGCCTACAGGAAGCCAAACCTGAGGAAGCTGAGCTAGGAGAGGTGGAAACAAGGCCCAGGGAGGTGAAGGCTAGGCCAGGGAGTGGTGTCATGGATGGCCTTTCTGTCTGTCCTCCCTTTCAATAGGGGTTCAGAGCCAGAGATCTTCGGCCCTTGTTCCCCTGGGCAACTGGGCCCCTCTCCCCGCCCTGCAGCTGAGCGGCATCTGCTGCTTCTGGGAAGGAACTTCTTGCAGTGGAGGAGACCAACACAGCAGGGTGAGGGCATGGCCCGGGGGGGCGGGGGGCGGGTAGGCTAAGAGTAACTGGTGGGGTCTCCAACCTTGCAGAGGGGAGGGTGGGATCAAGGGGGATCTGTTCCCAGGCCCCTATTGTGCCCCTCCCCCACCCTGTAGCTGCCAAAGCCATGCAGCGCTTCGAGCCAGGAGGTGATGGGAGCTCAGGGCGAAATGCTCCCCGGCAGAGGCTCTTGCTACTAGAGGTTGTGGACAAGAAGGTAAATATGGGGCCAGGGACTGGGTGGGAAGAGGGGTTCCGTGATCTCACTGACCCTGACCCCCGACCTCCAGCTACAGCTGCTGACCTACAACTGGGCTCCAGACCTGGGGGCAGCATTGGGCCGAGCGCTGGTTCGCCTGGTGCAGTGGCAGAATGCACGAGCCCATCTCATCTTCTGCCTACTCAGCCAGAAGCTTGGCCTCTTCCATCATTATGGCCAGTTGGACTTCCCCGTGCGAGATGAAAAGGTGCCTGCTGCTCTGGTTCTTCCTATAGTTTTGGCTACTGAGGGGTCAGTTAAAGGAAAAACCAGCTCAGAAGCCAGAAAGATGGGACAGACTGAGGGCAGAGGTAGTGGGGAGGGAGAGTCTGAGAGAGGAAGCCCTGGGATGAGAGAGAGGGTCCGAGGGCAAAGGCTATGAACCCATTGCAATGCTCCATCTCTCAGGAGCCAAACCCATTCCTGCTGCCGACCATGGAAGTGGAGACCCTCATCCGGAGTGCAAGTCCCCCGCTGAGCCGTGAGCAGGGCCGACTGAGTGGGTCCTCTCGTGGTGGGGGTCCTCTTCCCCTGGACACATTCCCCTTTGACGAGGCCCTAAGGGATATCACGGCTGCCCGCCCCAGCTCCGTACTTGGTCCTGTGCCCAGACCTCCTGATCCTGTCACCTACCATGGACAACAGTTCCTAGAGATCAAGATGGCAGAGCGCAGAGGTGAGGGTACTGGGCCAGGCAGCAGGGACAGGAAATCTGTGGAGTCTGGGAGGAAGGGAGTGACAATGCCTGGGGCTACTACTAATGCCCTCAACCCTCAGAGCTGGAGCGCCAGATGAAGATGGAAAACCTGTTTGTAACCTGGCAGCAGCGTTCTACCCCAGCCACCATGCCCATCAGTGTGAGTGACCCCAGCTTGCATCTTCCTTGAGTATCTGTGATCCTGCCCCGTCACTGCTCCATGCTCACTGCCCTGTTTCCCCAGGCTGGAGAGCTGGAGACCCTGAAGCAGTCATCCCGCCTGGTGCATTACTGTGCAACAGCCATGCTCTTCGACCCAGCTGCCTGGCTGCATGGGCCCCCAGAGACCTCTGGACCCCCTGACGGGCAGGTAAGGCTGACTCCCAGACTTCTAGCAGACCTTTGCTTACCCCACAGTGACCCCCCTCCTCCATCCCCAGCAGGATGGTTGACAGTGGGGAGAGTCTTCCTTGATCTTTACTCTCATAGCGGCGCCATCGCCCTGAGTCAGGGTCTGGGAGCCGAGAGGCCCCCACAAGCTGTGAATCCTTGGATGTGTCGCCCCCGGGAGCCCGTGAGGAGCCTTGGCTGAAGGAGCTGAGCTTGGCTTTCCTGCAGCAATATGTGCAGTATCTGCAGAGCATAGGTTTTGTGCTGGTACCACTGCGGCCCCCCTCACCCGCCCGCAGGTGAGCCCGTCCCTGTTTTCCCTTCTGTCTTCTCCTCCTGCACTGCAAGTGAGGCCCCACAGGCCCTTCCTCTCTTTACAAGGTCCTATGTTGACAATTTGGGCTGGGCCTGTGCATGTTTATCCCACCAGGCTTGCACTCATGTGAGGGTCTCAGATACTTTCACACAGCCCTCATGCGTGTCCTGCAGACCTTGTATGCTTTATGGAACTCATGATGACACTCATACAAAACTGTGTCCATTTTCACAAAGCTCATGCCCACACACATCTTGTACACTTACACACTTGCATACATCCCCACATGTGAATTTTTTTGGAGATGGAATCTCACTGTGTCGCCTAGGCTGGAGTGCAGTGGCGCGATCTCGGCTCACTGCAACCTCCACCTCCTGGGTTCGAGCAATTCTTGTGCCTCAGTCTCCCAAGTAGCTGGGATTACAGGTGCACGCCACCCTGCTTGGCTAATTTTTTGTATTTTAGTAGAGATGGGGTATCACCATGTTGCCTAGACTGGTCTTGAACTCCTCAACTCAGGTAGTCCGCCCACCTCAGCCTCCCAAAGTGCTAGGATTATAGGTGTGAGCCATCACGCCCGGCCTGCACATGTGAATCTTGTACATGCTCCTAAGCCTCTGGATCTAGGACTTAATGATTCCTGTCCTTATCATCCCACTGACCTCTCCTGAGATTTGATGTAGTTCTCGGCCCAGGGAAGTCCTTTTCTCACCAAGGACCTCTGTGCTAGGCCTACTTGCATCACTGTCCTTGGCCTGTTCTTGGTCATGTTCACCCACTGGCCAGTACTGACAGGTCTGAGTCTTGGGAAGTAGGCAGCCCGTCTGTTGCCACCTCCATCTCCCCTGAGCTCAGGGACAACTCTGCAGCCACCTTTTCATCCACTGTCAAATCTCAGATTCCCGTGTTTGTGGCCCCTGCTCTATGTTCCTCTCCAGATTCTGTGTTCTCTGCCCTTTCCCAGTGGCTGTATGCGAAAAATGAGCTGTTCACCTTACACATAGCTACTTTCGTGTCTCCAGATTTGTGAGTTTATCAAGGCATGTTCTCCCTCCTCTCTGTTTTCAGTTAGAACCTTTTCAAGCCAGTAGTCCAGAAATGCCAGTTCCAACTCTCTCATGTTTCTGTGACCAGCTCCCCACTCCCCAGGTTTCCCTCTCTTCCAGGCATTAGGAAGAGAAGGCGTGCCTGCCCCTCCTGTGATCCCATCTCAGAGGCCAGGCTGGCCCCTCCTACCCTGGGGAGGAGCTGCCCAGCTTGCTATCTTGACAGCCAGTTCCCAGCTCTAGGAGCTTCTCTAAAGGACTTTAGTTTGCACACTTGCCATAAGTTATGCTCTTTCCCCCAAATCTGAATTCCTTTAGACACTGGGTTAAAAAAAAAAATGTTTCTACAGCAAAATTTAAAGCCAGGTCTTCCCTTCCCACCAATCTTTAACAATCACCAATCACTAAGTCTTGTCCCAGTTTCCTTGAGGTTTAAATGGGACATTTTTTCCACCAGAGGTTTTGACCCCCAGCAAGAATTCTGGCAGTTTATAGCCCCTTGGCGTGAGTGGGTCCCCCCAACCCCTTCTGTTCTGTCCCTTCTTCCCAGTCCCTCCCCTGCTTCCCTTCTCCCCTATCCTCTGCACTAAACTGTAACGAGCAGTAGGCCTCTGAAAGCCTGGAACTGCCATCCCCCCCAATCAAAAGACAGCAGCTTTGCCCTTTCAGAGGAAGGTACCTAACCAGGCATCAAGCATCTCCTTGAATTTTCCTAATCAAATTGTAGACAGGCATCACCTTCCCCCTTCTCTTTCCTGCCCAGCACACACCCTCTCAGTAGCAGAGGCTTAGTCTCCACCTCCCCACTGAGCACTGTTTTTGCCTCCCTTGAAGCAGCAGCTGCTATGGAGAGAGCCCAGCCTTGCAGTCTAGACCTGGACTCCAAGCCCAGCCTTGCCACTCACAGTGGCAGCTTTGTGGGTCTGTTTCCTCCCTTGCAAAATGATTCCATATAAAACAGATTCTGGGTCTGATCACCATGACTGCATGCCACTAGCCTGCCTCATCCTCTTATCCCTCCTCCTTTTCTATAGCACCAGCCGGCCACGGGCCATGGCTATCCTTGGAACAGAGGGTCGAGGCTCCTTCTCCTGCCCTAAAACCAAGACTGATGGGAGCCCCAAGGTAACTTGTCATATAATGGTAAAGTTACTGATGCTAAATTACTTTCCCACGGCCTGAGGTCATTGACCCTGAGTGATGTACCGAGGTCACTGATCCCAGACTGACACCATTAAAGTCAGGGTCCAAGGGACTTCCACCCTACTGATTCGAGGCTGGTGAGCCCCCAAACCTTGCCCCCTTTTTTGTTTCTTCAGAGCACTAGCTCTCCGGTAACCACCTACCACCTGCAGCGGGCACTGCCTGGGGGCATCATCCTCATGGAACTGGCATTCCAGGTAAGCAGGAGGAGCACTGAGTGGAGACAGCCAGACCCACCTGTCTCTCGCCTTCCTGATCTCATCTTCACCTTCCCTCCAGGGCTGTTACTTCTGTGTCAAACAGTTTGCCCTGGAATGTTCCCGAATCCCAATGGGGCAGGCTGTCAACTCACAGGTATGTGAATGAGCTGCGGGCACAGTCAGTGCACCCCAGTGTGCTGTGGGCAGCATGGCTCCATGTCCCATTTGCTGGGCAGTAGAGTAATGCAGTAGGCGGGCTGGCCCAGTGATTGATTCACTGCTATGGCCTGGCTAGGTCAGTGCTCATTCTGGTGCCATGACTGCACTCACTACAAGGCTGACCCCATCGGTCATCCAAAGCGTGTTCAGCTGTAGCCCTGAGGCAGCACAGTGCCTGGTCTGGCCTGTAGTCATCTAGAGTCTGTGGCAGACCCTGATGGAATCTGGGATAGAGCAAAATGGCCCAGTTTCTGAAAATGGCCCTAGTTTCATGGAGATAGTTACAATACAGTATGAAAAAGGGAGGCTAGAATGGGGAGGCCTTCCCACAGAAACCATTCTGGCAGAGGGCGTTCCACTAGGCCACAGCAGCAGGGGAAATCTTGTGCTTCTTCCCACGGAAGGAGGGAAATGTGTTTTGGGCAGCCAGTGCAGCCATACCTTAACCCTGTCTCCTGCTGCTGCCTCCCCAGCTGTCCATGCTGTTCACAGAGGAGTGTGACAAGGTGCGGGACCTGATGCACGTGCACTCGTTCAGCTATGACTTCCATCTGCGCCTCGTGCATCAGCACGTGCTAGGTGCCCATCTGGTGCTGCGGCACGGCTACCACCTCACCACCTTTCTGCGACACTTCCTGGCCCACCACCCTGACGGACCCCACTTTGGCCGCAATCACATTTACCAAGGTCAGTGCCCAAGGGCAAGCCAGTGAACCCAAAAAAGAACAGGCCACAGGTGCCTCCAGGTCAGGGCTGGTGGGACCACCTCCCTGGACAAGTGGTCCCATGTTGTTAATCATCTCATGTCACACATACCACGTCCCCATGTTTCTGTCCTGTGTCTGTTTCTTACCAGAGTTTGGACCCCATGTCACATGTCCCCTGCCCTCTGAGTCACTTCTGTCCCATCTCAGTGTTCCACAGGAATGCAGGAGCTCCTAAGGAAAGCAGACCCACTCTGCCTGCCAGTCAGAGCCTTAAAGACTCCCATCCCTGTGCCCCACCAGACCAGTGTGTCTGTCCTAGGCTTAGTGTCTGCTGTCTCCTGTTACTTATCCCTCAGGGACATTGGAGCTCCCCACACCACTCATTGCTGCCCACCAGCTATACAACTACGTGGCTGATCACGCCAGCTCTTACCACATGAAGCCATTGCGAATGGCCCGGCCAGGGGGCCCAGAACACAACGAGTATGCCCTGGTGTCGGCATGGCACAGGTAAGGCTGAGAGGGGCATCCAGCATGCACGCTGCAGGAGCTGGGGTTGGGACATACTTGCAGTAGGGAGACCAATGTTTTCTTGGGCAGGGGTGAGGTTTGTTTTATTAGAACCCCAGAGTTGACATCTCCCCAACCCGTCCTGCACAGTTCTGGCTCCTACCTGGACTCTGAGGGACTTCGACACCAGGATGACTTTGATGTGTCTCTGCTTGTCTGTCACTGTGCTGCACCCTTTGAGGAGCAAGGAGAGGCTGAGCGGCACGTTCTGCGGTCAGCAGATCCCCTACCTTGAACATGCCCATTTCCCAGCCTGCCCCACCCTGCCCTGTGTGTCTCTTGCTACAACCACCACTCTCCTGCCCTGCTCCCCACCCCAGGCTACAGTTCTTCGTGGTGCTCACCAGCCAGCGAGAGCTCTTCCCCAGGCTCACTGCTGACATGCGCCGCTTCCGGAAGCCACCCAGACTGCCCCCTGAGCCAGAGGCTCCTGGGAGTTCAGCTGGCAGCCCTGGGGAGGCCTCAGGGCTTATTCTAGCGCCTGGACCGGCTCCTCTGTTCCCACCACTGGCTGCAGAGGTGGGCATGGCACGAGCACGGCTGGCTCAGCTGGTGCGGCTGGCTGGAGGGCACTGCCGTCGGGACACCCTTTGGAAGCGCCTCTTCTTGCTGGAGCCACCGGGGCCTGATCGACTGCGGCTAGGGGGGCGCCTGGCCCTGGCAGAGCTGGAGGAACTCCTAGAAGCAGTCCATGCCAAATCCATTGGGGACATCGACCCCCAGCTGGTAAGGAACTGTGGGCTCCCGAAAGAGCTGGGATAGGTGCCAGGAATTCCACTGGCAGCCAGGGCAGAGGGCACAGGAATCTGAGGTGACTGGCACAGAAGACTCAGGCCTGTGGCTCCTCCCTCAGGACTGCTTCCTATCCATGACGGTCTCCTGGTACCAGAGCCTGATCAAAGTTCTCCTAAGCCGCTTCCCCCAGAGCTGTCGCCATTTCCAAAGCCCAGACTTGGGAACTCAGTACCTGGTAAGTCCCCTTGAGCTTCCTCTGAAAAGGGAAACACAGCAGAAATCCTCACCAAACAGATGTGCCCCTCAGCCTGACCAAACAAGCTCTGCTCTGGAGGGAGGCCTAGACAGAACGGGACTACACAGATACATGTAAAACCCTTCCAGTACCGGGCATCGAGCTACAGCATGTGATTCTCTGAGCAGCTCTGCCCTCAAAGACTCACCAAGAATACAAGCCTTGGCTTGAGATCCTGAGGGCCAGGCTCTGGAACTGACAACCCAAGGAGCTGTCAGAACTTTGTCAGTAGGCTGGAGCCCCAGAAAGGACCCCTTGGACTTTGAAGCCTTGTTACTTAAAGTGTGGTCCACAGACCAGCAGCCGCAGCACCTGGGAGCTTGCTGAAATGCAGGCTCTCCGGCCACATTTCAGACTGTTGACTCGGGATCTGCAGGTTGACAGTCTCCCCAGGTGATTTGTGTGCACACTGAGGCGTGAAAGCACTGCTGTAAAGGACAGGTAGAGAGAACTGTGGTGGTGGACACGAGCACAGGGCATTAAGGAGCCCACAGAGATGGGCCCAGCCAGAGCTGAGGTTCAAGAGAGGAGGCATTACAAGAGAAGACTTCAAGTGAGAAAGTAGGAGGTGGAGCCAGGTGAGGGGTCCTGCAGCACAGTGCTTGTGCAGAGGATTCATTTCAGGGTGCAGGAAGGGTCTCCCAGAGAAGCCAAGGTCAGTTAGGATGAGGCTGCAGTAGTGTCGGCGGTTGTGAATGGAGGCAGGTGCTCCTGCGGGTGGTGGGAAGGCTGGAGCAGGAGTGGGTTTTGGGGAAGGGTGACAAGCCCAGCTTGGGGCAAGCTGAGTCTGGGGTCCATAGGCCCTTCACTGTCTGCAAGGTCTGTGGGCATCAGGGATTCGAGCTCAGGAGAGTCCTAGGCAGCAGCTCTGTGAACAGGCGGTAACTGAAGCCTTGGGAGAGCAAATCATCCCGGGATGGATCACCAAGCAGAGCGTTAGGGAGCAGATGGACATAAGGGGACGACAAGACAATCCCAGGGGTGGTCAGAGAGGAGTCCCAGGACAGGAGGCAAGGAGGTTGTGCCAGGGGTACAGCACTCTCTGTTGATTGGCTTCAGTGTGCCAGGCTCTGTGTGGGGCCTCCAGGATCAACTGTTACCCCTCATTCTGATGCAGCTCAGACAGGCTGACCAGCAAGCCAGCGAGGATGAGGACTGAGGCTCAATTTGGAGACACGGTCCTATGTGACCTCAGGGTGCAGGCGGGGTGAGGTGTGGAGATGGAAGTAGGCCTCTCCTCATCCTCCCTTCACCTCAGGATGCCCTGTGGGAGGGTCTGTAGGGTCTGTGTCCCCTCCTCATCTTTCACTGCAGGTTGTGCTGAATCAGAAGTTCACTGACTGCTTTGTGCTAGTGTTTCTGGACTCCCACTTAGGAAAGACGGTAAGAACGAGTGGGGGGCTTTGTGTCAGCCTCATGGGAGGCCGTACCCCAAATGCTCCACCTCGGAGCCTGCTGAGGTTGGGGTGCCCACCCTTTCTGAGCCCTGCCTCCTATCCCCACCCATGCCCTCCTCTCACCAGTGCATCCCCACCGTGTTCCCCACAGTCTCTGACAGTGGTTTTCCGAGAGCCCTTCCCAGTACAGCCCCAGGACAGCGAGAGCCCCCCTGCCCAACTGGTCTCCACCTACCACCACCTGGAGTCTGTCATCAACACAGCCTGTTTCACCCTCTGGACCCGCCTCCTCTGAGGGAGTGGACTGGACCACTGAATGTCACTGTTCCTTGAATCATGGGCCTACCAGATTGCCTGCCAGAGGCAGGACTGACCAGCCCTTCTGGGCCCCAGGGCAAGCCAGACACTGAGTGACACCAAAGGCTTTGTAACTATGTCTTGAGGGTCTGCTGCCCCAGCCTGGCAGCAGGAACCGCCCTCCCCAAACACCCACAGCCACTGACCCATCCAGGACTCCAGAGAGTCAGGTCAACCCCGAGGACCCCTTGGGCCCTTCTGGGGTACTCCTTTCGGCCCCCCTGGTAGAGTCTCGGGAGTTCACACAGGGTGGCAAACACCCCCTAGAGCTCCTCTGCCTGAATCCTGCCCCCTAGCCTTTGACCACTGTCAGCCACCTGTGTCCCTTGAGCCTTCGGGTCTTCACTTCCCACTTGGACATCACTGCTGGACATTCCCATCGAGATGACACCTGGGTTCCAATCCCAGCTCTGCCTTTGAAGCACTTGTGGCCACCGTCAAGTCCCTTTGCTCTCGGACCCTGGGTTTCTCATCCTTTAATGAGGTGGGTTCAGAAGCTCTCCCATCTTCACAGCAACCCTGGCACTGGCTTCTCAATGGGAGGGAAGCAGCAGAGAAACTGAAGTGTTAGACACTATGTGTCCCACCACCCCATTACAGAGACATATGACAATGTTCAGCAGGTCATCTTTAATGCAGAGGAGGAGATGGGATGTCACTCGCTGTCTGGAGGCACGTGGGTGGTGTGCGGGCCCTCACTGGCCAGCCTCTGGGTGGCCCCGCCTATCCCAGTATGAACGTAGCCAACTCAAGCCCTCTACTGTGTCTCCTGCAGGGAGAGGGAGGCCTCGGCACCTCAGCCCACAAGGAGAAAACAGCCCCTGTCCGGGTCCCTCCAGAGCTCCCTTCCCCAGGGCCACGCCTCACCTCGAGGCTGATACTCACAGCCCACGAAGCCTTTGTAGCCTTCATCTTCCAGCAGTTGAAACAGATAGGGGAAATTCAGCTCTCCGGGGCTGCTGGGCTCCCCTCGGCCTGGGACCTGTGCCACCTGCACATGCCCTGGGGACAGATGTGGACAAATGTGGGGTCCAGGCTCCTGCCAGGGCCTGAAGGACAGATGTGGGGATTGAAAGGGTGGGAGGGCAAAGGAAGGTCCTCTCACCAACAATGGGCAGGAACTCCCGGATGTTTCCTGTCAGGTTCCCATCCATGATCTGCCAGTGGAATATGTCCTAGGGAAGAGGATACTACATTCCGAGACCCCGCAGGCCCCGCCCTCCTTCCGATCTGCGAAGTACCCCCTTCCACTTACCATTTGTAATTGGAGGTTGGGTCTTCCTACCTTCTGTAAGATGGCTGCCGCTGTAAGAGAAGCCAGGGAGGGGACCGTGAGCCTCAAGAGCACAGGAATCAAAAGGGACAGAAGGAGAGACAGGGCTGGGGTCGTACCCTGCTGGGGCGTGTCCAGGAAGTACTGGGGGTCAGTGATGCGGGTGTTGATGGGCTCCAGCAGTCCCACGAGGTCCTCCTAGCAGCATGTCGGGTGCTGTGAATAGAGCTCCTTCCCAAGTTTGTCCCCCATCAGTCAGTCACTGGTCAAGGCCCTCACCTGTTCCTCTGACCTAGGCTGGCAGCCTCACGTGCTGTCCCCACTGTGCACCCCCTTCTCCGCACACCCACAGAGACATGTAAGTACGTGTGTGTTTCCACCTTTCTCACCTGAGCCAAAACCCCAGCTGCATGCCTCAGGTTCTCCAGAAAAACGGCCTCCATCTCAGCCTTGACTGCTATTCGATCAGCTCCCTGGGGTACTCGGCCAGCCATCAGGTGGATCCTGTGGGGAAGATGGACTGGAGGCCTTGCCTCCCTTGGCTCTCTCTGCACCTCTTCCAGGATTCCCTGACTGTGCCAGCCCTCGTCCGTCTCCCCAGGTCTCCAGTCCATGGCACCTGGGTCACGATGCCCAGGTATCCCAGCACTTTCAGAGACACTTCAGTGATGGCTGAGGGGCAAGCCCTTTCCCAGACATCTCAGTGTCCACCCACCGCCTCCTGCCTCCAGTACTTTCCAAAACCTTTCCTTCCCTCGGTCCTTCTCCGCAACCTGTAACCTGCTAAATTCTCACCTTTAAAAATTGTCCTGACCTTTGCTTGCCCTTCTCAGGTATTCCATGCTGCTGTCTCTACTTCCTCTCCTCGCATCTACTTAGCCTTTTCCCATCTGTTTTCTGCCCCCACCATTGACCAGTAGTGATCCCCTCTTGCCAGTTCCTTCTGAGCCTGTTTGGCCTCTGCAGGATTTGACATTTGAATCAGCCCCACTTTGAGCCGTCCACCTCCTCCCATCATCCCCTGATCTTAGCCACATCCAGCTCCAAGCAGACATTCCAGGCCTCCCCATCCCAACAGGCTACATACATGTCCAGCCTCAGGAACGCTGCCAAATACACCAGGCCTCCTCTTGCCACAGCACCCTTGCAAGGAACACTCAACTTCCTGCCCATCAAGCAATGCCCACTCCTTGAAGACAGTCCAAGCATCACTACCTGTAAGCAGCTTTCTCTGATCCAGACAGGGTTAGGTGCCTACCCTGCTCCCACAGCTTCCTGGAATAGGCCTGTCCTCAAATGCATCACTGTATATATTTACTCTCCTATCTGCCTAGGCAGACTGAGCTCCCAGCATGGGATCCCAGCATGGGGTGAGCATGAAAGAGTGGCAAACAGAGTGGCATAAGACAGATAAAATACAAAAGGCAATTTACAAAGGACCAGGACCGCAGAGGCAGAGATAAACCAGTGGGCTCAGACTTCTGAGCGTCTCAGATCTGGCGTCCTCGACTCCCTGAACCTGCATCAGGGTCATGGGTCACAGGGGTGGGGGTGGGGTGGAGCGGGGTACCTGGGACAGCCCAGGGCTTTGGCATACCGCACGGCCTGCTCCAGTCCCTCTCGGAAGGCCGCCTGTCTCCCGGGGACGGCCCCCAGCCCCATTTCCCCCTTCTCTTGGTCTCCTGCAGAGAGAACGGGCCTCAGCCCCCGGCTCGGACACTCCCCTGCCCGCGCCCCGGCACCCCCCAGCCCTCCCAGCCCTCCCGGCCCGCGACGCACCCGGGGGCGTGTTGATCAGTACAAGCCGCAGCCCCGCTTCTCGCGCGGCGCGCGCCAGCGCCTCAGGCGTCTCCGCGTACGGCCAGGCCACCTCGACGGCCTCGAAGCCCGAGCTGCCCGCGGCCCGCACCCGCGCGGGGAGGCCGGAGAGCTCGGGGAATAGCCAGGACAGATTGGCGGAGAAGCGCAGCGGCGCCATGCCTGGGGAGGCCGGGCCGGGCGGAGTCCGCGGGATCCAAAGGCGGCGGGCGGCGGGCGGCGGGCGGCGGGCGGGGGCGGGGCTCTCCTTGCTGGCCCTGCGAACGAACGAGCACTGTTCGTGGTTAGAAAAGCGAAGTGCTGTAAAAACCCGGGCCTTCACGAAAAGCGCCTACGGTTAGCGAGAGAGGGATCACGGGGAGAGGCGAAGGGGCGGAGCGAGGGCGGCCGGAAAAGGAGCAGGACCCGCGCCTGGAGAAGGTAGGGAGGCCGAGCTCCAGGGCCTGAGAGCCGGACGCGAAGCAAGAGAGAGCTGGCTGCCCGAGGGCCCGGTTGCAATGATGGGACGCGCACTTTAATACTGAGTCTTTCCTCTGATTATAAAAATGCTATCTGTTCGTTAAGCAACATTTGAAAGCTGTATGACCAAATAAAGAAGCACTTTTATACCGCCAGTTATCACACCACTAGCCTGTTGGCTTTCCCGTCCAAATTTTAAAATATGCAATTTTTTTCTTTGGAAATTCTGATCATTCGGTATATGCTGTTTTATAGCTCTTTTTCATGGAATATTATTTTGTGAGCATTTCCTCGTGTTTTCCAATAGCCTTCAAAGTCAGTGCCTTCGCTGCTCATTGTCGCACACCTAAGCAGCAAGTCATTATTGTACTTTGTGGTTGGATATCGTGTGTGTGCACGCGCGCTGCAAGCGCACTTTCAGGCACTTCTTAGTCCCTATCTCTGACTCTTTTCCGAGTCTTTTTCTAGAGATGTCCATCACAGTGTTTGCCCGTTCACGCCGCTAGTCTTTTGCAAGGGAAACCGCCCCATTGGAGCAGCTATGGGTGAGCTGTCCCTTTTTAGCCTTAGCCTCAGCTGATTGGACCAGGGAGGTCATCTGATCCCAGGGCAGCCAATCCATAGACTGGCCAAAAACCTCTTACTTGCGTCGTTTGGAAAGGTAATTTAACCAATCAAGAGTTCAAACAAGGAAATGCTGAGAGTCAACAGGTGGTGTTGCCAGAAGGTGACTGGGCTGTAGAAACGAAATAAGACAGTCCTATGGTAAAGAAAAGCTAGAGCGGAAAGGAGGGGAACCAAGTCCTGTGAATAGAGGTAGCACCCTGAGAAACCCATGTCATCCCAAGGGTGCCCAAACCCATAGCTGCCCCCAGGTCTGTGCACTTAAGGCTGGGATGCTTAGACTTTCCTGGGTTTCTGTCTCTGTATAGCCTCTTAATGTTTCTTGAGATAATTTGAATGATTTTACTTTCATCTACAATAACCCAACTGATTGGGCAGGTTCTTATGGGTAGAATTACATGGTCAAAAATAGGAACATATTTAAGTTGTTGATATCTTAAATTTCCTTTGAAAAATATAAATTTATATCCCAACAATTCATGAGTAAACGTCATCTTGATCTATCGTCTGTGCTAACTTTGACAGAGAAGCTTAAAGTGCAACATTAGGAACACCCAGCTCCCACTGATTGTTCTGTCAACACTCAACTCCATCTCAAATGAGGCCAGCTCAGACACCAGGGATCCAGCCTGATCCCGTGGTGAACCCAAATTCTTGGCAGGTTCTGTTTCTTCAGCTCTGCCTCCAAGAACAGACTGCTGCCAGCTGACACTGATCACCTGATTTCATGCTCTTTTGCAGCTGGTTTTACACTAGGACCTTTGCCTTGTCTTGGAACGTGTTTCTCGTCCAATCAAGACCTCACTAAGCTTAACATTGTAATCAGTCCCAACTTTAGTGTGTTTGCAATCCAAAATTGACAACAAAGAGTAACATCTAGAGGAAGTAATTCCTTTATTACCACCTCACTGTTGATCTCCGAGTATGCAAATTCTATTTATGATGTTGACAGCTGCTGAGCTCTGCGTCAGAAACAAAATGTGTCCAACTCCCGATTGTCCACCCCTTTTTTCCTTGGACATGCCTTAGGGCAGTAAAGATTATACATAAACTAGACATAGGTGACTCACTTTCCCCTTAATTCCCTTACAACACCTTCCACCTTCACATAATATGCTCAAATAAATATATAAGGAGTGCAATGTCCATGAAAATTATTTGCTTTATTCACCTTTGACTATGTCTTATCCCACCTTGCAACACAGGCATGACACTAAGTTATCACAAGTTTTGATTCTTTGCATTTGCCTTTTTTTTTTGCTTTATTGTGCACACTTCACAGGTACGTATTTGACTTTTAACCAAATAATTTGCACAGGTGTGATTTTAAAGTAACAACAACTTGTAAATAGTTGCATGGATAATGGCAAAAACTTTAGTACAGAGTTCAGAGTCTCATTTGATCATTGGATAACATTTGGCAATGCAGTAAAACATATTACAACTCATGTGAAATGCAAATCAAAACCTCAATGAAATTCTATTTTATGCCTTCCACATTGGCAAAAATAAAAAACACATTATCAAATATTGGATAGGATTTGGAACAACTGCCAACAGGAGTGTAAATCACTATAACCTCCTTGGAAAACAATTTGGCATTGTCTCTTAAAGCTAATATGCCTATGATCTGACAGTTCCTTTCCCAGGTGTATCCCCTGAAGAAAGTTTTGCACAAGTGTACCAGGAAAGAAGTAAAGTGATGTTCACAGCAGAACTATTTATGTAGCAAAAAGATGGGACTAACCCAAATGTCCATCCATCCATACATAGATGAGTTGTGTAATAGTATAGTCATACCATGTTGTACAAGAGAAAGCTGGTGGCTCAAATGATAACACTGAGTTTGTTCCTGTGTTAGGACAATATATGAAGAGCTTAGTGAAGTTTGATTGGAACTGAAAAACATCAGTATGAAAGCATCAAGTGGATAAATCTCAGAAACATAATCTCTAGAGGAACAAGCAAATCACAGAGAAATACCTACAGTGTGATTCCATTGATATAAAGTCAAAGGCAGGGAAAACCAACAGTATCTTGTGTAGGAATATGGACATCTCTGATAAAACAATGAAGAACAAGTGAATAATTATCACAAAATTCAGCATAATGGTGACCACCTCTAGAGGAGGACAGAAGAGGGTAGCATTGGAGCCTTCTCTTACGTTGGATAGCACATTCATGTATGTTAATTTTACTACTCTTCTTTAGAGCTAACATATATTTTATAAATATCATTTTTTATCTGTCTTATATTTAATAAAAACACATTTTTAAAACCTGTATGCATTACTGCCATCTGTTAGCACATTTGATATTAACATCCTCATTGTGGTATCACTATAATCTCAAGATTTTTCTACAGGTTCAGCTTGTTTGTGTTGTTTGTCTGGTTTGAATTCTAATGATCACTTTTTAGACTCAACTTGTCACTGCTCAGCACAGTGGTCTTTTATTGTATTATCTGTCCAGAACCTGTGGCAGGTAGCGTGTAAAATGGTCCCCAATGGGTCAGAGGGGGTGGCTCACACCTGTAATCCCAGCACTTTGGGAGGCTGAGGCAGGAGGATAACTTGAGCCCAGGAGTTTCAGACCAGCCTTAGCAACCTGGTGAAACCCCATCTCGACAAAAATATAAAAATTGGCCAGGCGTTGTGGCATGTGCGTAGCCCCAGCTACTCCAGAGGCTGAGGTGGGAAGATCACTTGAGTCTGGGGGAGGTCAAGGCTGCAGTGAGCTGTGATTGCACCACTGCACTCCAGCCTGGGTGACAGAGCAAAACCCTGTCACAAGAAACAATAAATAAAATAAAATAAAATAAAATAATAAAATAACCGTTAGCAAGATTAACCAAGAAGAGCGAAAATCCAAATAACCTCACTAAGAAACGAAACAGGAAATATTACAACTGACACCACAGAAATACAAAAGATCATTCAAGGCAACTATGAACATCTTTATGCACATAAACTAGAAAACCTAGAAGAAGTGGATAAATTCCTGGAAAAATACAACCCTCCTAGCTTAAATCAGGAAGAATTAGATACCCTGAAGAGACCAATAACAAGCAGCAAGATTGAAATGGTAATTTAAAAATTATCAACAAAATAAAGTCCAGGACCAGACGGATTCACAGCAGAATTCTACCGGACATTCAAAGAATTGGTGCCAATCCTTTTGACACTATTCCACAAGACAGAGAAAGAAGGAACCCTCCCTAATTCATTCTATGAAGGCAGCATCACCCTAATACCAAAACCAGGAAAGGACACAACTAAAAAAGAATACAGACCAATATCCTTGATGAACATAGATGCAAAATCCTTAACAAAATACTAGCTAACCGAATCCAACAACATATCAAAAAAATAATCCACCACAATCAAGTGGGTTTCATTCCAGGGATGCAGGGATGGTTTAACACATGTAAGTCAATAAATGTGATACACCACCTAAACAAGAATTAAAAACAAAAATCACATGATCATCTCAATAGATGCAGAAAAAGCATTCAACAAAATCCAGCATCCCTTTATGATTAAAACCCTCAGCAAAATCGGCATACAAGGGACATACTTTCATGTAATAAAGGCCATCAATGACAAACCCACAGCCAACATAATACTGAATGGGGAAAAGTTGAAAGCATTCCCTCTGAGAACGGAAACGAGACAAGGCTGCCCACTCTCACCACTCCTCTTCAACATGGTACTGGAAGTCCGAGCCAGAGCAGTCAGACAAGAGAAAGAAATAAAGGGCATCCACATCGGTAAAGAGGAAGTCAGACTGTCCCTGTTTGCTAACAATATGATTGTTTATCTTGAAAACCCTAAGGACTCCTCCAGAAAGCTCCTAGAACTGATTATTCAGCAAAGTTTCTGGATACAAGATTCATGTACACAAATCAGTAGCTCTTCTATACACCAACAGTGACCAAACAGAGAATCAAATCAAGAATTCAACCCCTTTTTACAATAGCTACAAAAAAAAAATAAAATACTTAGGAATATACCTAACAAAGGAGTTGACCTCTACAAGGAAAACTACAAAACACTGCTGAAAGAAATTATAGACAACACAAACAAATGGAAACACATTTCATGCTCATGGATGGGTAGAATCAATATTGTGAAAATGATCATACTGCTGGCTGGGTGCAGTGGCTCACGCCTGTAATCCCAACACTTTGGGAGGCCGAGGAGGGCAGATCACTTGAGGTCAGGAGTTCCAGACCAGCCTGGCCAACATGGTGAAACCCTGTATCTACTCAAAATACAAAAATTAGCTGAGCGTGGTGGTGCATGCCTGTAGCCCCAGCTACTAGGGAGGCTGAGGCAGGAGCATAGCTTGAACCTGGGAGGTGGAGGTTGCAGTGAGCCGAGATCATGCCACTGCACTCCAGCCTGGACAGCAGAGCAAGACAAATACTCACATCCAACTGATCTTCAACAAAGCAAATAAAAACATAAAGTGGAGAAAGGACACCCTTTTCACAAATGGTGCTGGGATAATTGGCTAGCCACATGTAGGAGAATGAAACTGGATCCTCATCTCTCACCTTATTACAAAAATTAACTCAAGATAGATTAAGGACTTAAACCTAAGACCTGAAACTATAAAAACTCTAGAAGATAACATTGGAAAAACCCTTCTAGACGTTGGCTTAGGCAAGGATTTCATGACCAAGAACCCAAAAGCCAATGCAATAAAAACAAAGATAAATAGCTGGGATCTAATTAAACTAAAGAGCTTTTGCATGGCAAAAGGAACAGTCAGCAGAGTAAACTGACAACCCACAGAGTAGGAGAAAATCTTTACAATATATACATCTGACAAAGGACTAATATCCAGAATCTACAACGAACTCAAACAAATCAGTAAGAAAAAAAAATCCCATCAAAAAGTAGGCTAAGGACATTAATAGACAATTCTCAAAAGAAGATAGACAAATGGCCAACAAACATATGAAAAAATGCTCAACATCACCAATGATCAGGGAAATGCAAATCAAAACCGCAATGTGGTACTACCTTACTCCTGAAAGAATGGCCATAATCAAAAAATCAAAAAACAGTAGATGTTGGCGTGGATGCGGTGAACAAGGAACACTTCTACACTGCTGGTGGGAATGTAAACTAGTACAACCACAATGGAAAACAGCGTGGAGATTCCTTAAAGAACTAAAAGTAGAACTACCATTTGATCTAGGAGTCCCACTACTGGGTATCTACCCAGAGGAAATCATTATTTGAAAAAGATACTTGCACATGCATGTTTATAACAGCACAATTCACCACTGCAAAATCGTGGAACCAACCCAAATGCCCATCAATCAACAAGTGGATAAAGAAACTGTGAGATATATATATCTCTAGAGGAAGAAGCAAATCACAGAGAAATACCTACAGTGTGATTCTATTGATATAAAGTCAAAGGCAGGGAAAACCAACAGTATCTTGTGTAGGAATACGGACATCTCTGATAAAACAATGAAGAATAAGTGAATAATTATTACAAAATTCAGCATAATGGTGAATTTTTTATATATATAAATTTATATGTATACAATTTTTATATATAAATGTATATATATAAATTTATATATATAATTGTATATATATATAATGGTGAATTTTTTATATATATTATATATATATAGTGGAATATTACTGATCCATAAAAAGGAATCAAGTAACAATATTTGCAGTGACCTGGATGAGACTGGAGACTATTATTCTAAGTGGAATAACTCAGGAATGGAAAACCAAACATTGTATGTTCTCACTGATGTGTGGGAGCTAAGCTATGAGGATGCAAAGGCATAAGAATGATACAATGGACTTTGGGGACTTGTGGGGAAGAGTGGGAGGGGGTGAGGCATAAAGGACTACAAATAGGGTGCAGCATATACTACTCGTAAATCACCACTAAATAACTTATGTAACCAAATACCACCTGTACCCCAATAACTTATGGAAAATAAAATAAAAAATTTAAATTAGCCGGGTGCAGTGGCTCACGCCTGTAATCCCAACACTCTGGGAAGCCAAGGCGGGCGGATCTCTTGAGGCCGGGAGTTTGAGATCTGCCTGGCCAACGTGGTGAAACCCCGTCTCTACTAAACATACAAAAATTAGCTGGGCGTGATGGCATGTGCCTGTAATATCAGCTACTCAGGAGACTGAGGCAGGACAATTGCTTGAACCTGGGAGGTGGAGGTTGCAGTGAGCAGAGATCGCACCACTGTACTCCAGCCTGGGACAGAGTGAGACTCCATCTCAAAAAAACAATAAAACAAACAAAAAGTGGTTCCCTATATCTCTGTCTCCTGGTATTCATGCCCCCGTGTACCTCCGTTCCCTTGTTTGTGAGCTGGACCTAGCAACTCACTTCAAACAAACAGAATATTGCAGAAGTGGTGTGATGTCATCTCAGAGATTACATTACAAAAAGCCTGTGGCTTCTATCTTGGCTCCTTTCACTCTTTCACTCGCTCTGAGGAAAACCCGCTGCCATGTTGTGAGCTGCCCTGTGGAAACACCTGTGTGTCAAGGAACTTATGTTCTGGCTGTTATGGACTGAGTGTTTGTGTTCCCCCAAAATTTGTATGTTGAAGCCCTAACCACTACTGTGATGGCATTTAGGAATGAGGCCTTTGGGAGGTGATTAGGTCTAGATAAGGTCATGGGGTGGGATCCCATGATGGGATAAGTGTCTTCGTAAGAAAAGGAAGAGAGACCAGAGCTTGCTCCCCACCCCCTGCTCTCTCTCTCTTTCTCTTTCTCTCTCTCTCTCTCTCTCTCTCTCTCTGGACACATGGAGAAGGCAGCATCTGCAAGCCAGTAAGAAAGCCATCACCAGGAACCAAATCTGCTGGCACCTTGATGTTGGACTTCCCAGCCTCCAGAGCTGTGTGAAATCCATGACTATTGTTGAAGCCACCCAGTCTATGGTATTTTGTTTTCACAGCCCAAGCTAATACACTGGCCAACAGCTGGTAAGAACCTGAGGCCTGCCAACAGGTACATGAGTGAGCTCTGAAGCAGATACTCCCTTGATTGAGCCTTAAAATGCCTATCTCCTGGCCCATGCTTTGATTACAGCCTTGTAAGAGATACCCAGCTAAACTACACCTGGTCTCCTGACCCACAGAAACTCTTTGGTAGGAAATGTTTGCTGTTTTAAGCCACTGAGTTTTGGGGTAATTTATTAGTCACAATTGCTTATTAATAGAGGATCTCTTTCTGGGACCAATTCCCTTGTTTGGGGGAACTATACCACTTTCACCACTTCTTCACCTTAAGGTGTGAATGGAGCTATCATCTTCTTATATGATTCTTTCTTCTGAGCCATAGTGATTGGTCAATGAGCAGGCACCTGACCCAAGCTGGCCCAGGCATAATACCTGTTTCAGTTGTTGCAGGTTGCCCATTCAATATATGTTTCCTCTTTTCTCCATCCTAATAGAACCATACACATGGGGACAGTCAGCCAGAGAGAATGAAGCTAATGTACAAAGAGAAGTGGCAAACAAAAACCAAGAGATGCATTGTGTTTACATTGTTTAGCACCTGGAGCTTCTATAAGGGAATCAACCAGGTTGGGCTTCTTTTTTTTTTTTTTTTTTTTTTTTTGAGATGGAGTCTCACTCTGTCGCCCAGGCTGGAGTGCAGTGGTGCAATCTCAGCTCACTGCAAGCTCCACCTCCCGGGTTCACGCCATTCTCCTGCCTCAGCCTCCAGAGTAGCTGGGACTACAGGCGCCCGCCACCACGCCCGGCTAATTTTTCGTATTTTTAGTAGAGACGGGATTTCACCGTGTTAGCCAGGATGGTCTCAATCTCCTGACCTCGTAATCCGCCTGCCTCGGCCTCCCAAAGTGCTAGGATCACAGGCGTGAGCCACCACGCCCGGCCAGGTTGGCCTTCTTACTTCGTCTTAACCCGTTCCAAAATCAAGATAACCCAGAACTAACTTGCTTTTCCCATCCAAAGAGCTAGCATTGTGCACATTGCAGGAAATACTTGGATCTCTCAGTAAAAAGAAATTTAAAGACCCAAACCCTGGGGCTTTGGGGCTATGTATTTATATCATTTCATGAATTTATATAATTTAATATAACTTATAGTGGAGGCTGGGTGACCCCACAGCGCATTAGGGACTTCAGTGTCTAAGAGGAATCTTTGTCTTTCAAACATTATATTAATGTTTTTTATTTCATCCAGTCTTCTTTAAACTCTTTCCTATCTTGCTCTAAACAAGAGCATCCTCATTTCTATTTAACTTTCTTGTTTGAGCTACTAATCTTTCCACTACTTTCCTACAGTCTGCTCAAATCAGATTCCATATATCATGTTATATATTTTCACACCCAACCATGTGTTCAGTTATAGCTGTCTAGATTTAGGAATATCAACATTCAAGTGTCACTCTATTATTATTATTTTTTGAGCCATTGAGCCTGCATTTCTAAAGCTTCAGAATTTTTCTTTCCTACTTTACTCAATTTTACAAGTAATAGTCCATATCACATGGATTCATGACAGCTTGTAACAGTGTCAAAAAGGAAACTAAATCTTGGGTAAAATTTTTCTTTCATAGTTTTCTGTTGTATCCAAGCATTCATACAGGAATATCCATGGTACATCTACGTTAGAACTCTATAACTAAAATTTCGGTAGATTTAAACAGAATCATCTCACACACGGTACATTGAATAACAATAGCATTATACAAAACAGCATTGAATCACTTTACAAAATTTGTGCTTGCATGAGCTATCATCTATATTCTTGGAAGAATATTATAATATTTGCTGTTCCATATTATACATTTTTGTCTTTAAAAGGAAGTTCCTATCACTGGCCCTGTATCTTTAGTTTATGTTCTATTACTGGGTGGTTGGATCTCATCCAGAAACCTTTCTGGGGCCCCTCCCTTACATCTGCATGCTGTTGGTAACACACAAAGGCCCTCGGCAGTCTCAATTTATGGAATGTTAACTAACGGCACACTCAACCACATGCAAACTTAGTTAAATACAACCAGCATTTGTCTAGCTCAAAGGGTACAGGTGTAAACAGTTTTTTACATTAAATTTGTAATTTGGAAAAAATCTCAGTAACCCTGACTACACAATCCTATCCTTTCCTCATTTAATGTTTACACTCATGAATTCTACCCATGGTGTTATGTATGTATTTTTTACAACTTGTTTTTTTCCCCTTAGCAATATATATAGGAAGTCTTCCCTTAAAAAATAAAATCAGGCCAGGCACAGTGGCTCATGCCTGTAATCCCAGCACTTTGGGAGGCCAAGGCGGGTGGATTATTTGAGATCAGGAGTTCGAGACCAGCCTGGCCAACATGGTGAAACCACGCCTCTACCAAAAATACAAAAATTAGCCGGGTGTGGTGGTGAGCTCCTGAAGTCCCAGCTACTTGGGAGGCTGAGGCAGGAGAATCACTTGAACCCAGGAGCCAGAGGTTGCAGTGAGCCAAGATCATGCCACTGTACTCCAGCCTGGATGACAGAGCAAGACTCCATCTCAAAAATAAAAAAATAGAAATAAAAAATCAATTTACCTTATTGTGCTCTCTCGCTTTAGCCAGTCTTTTAACTGTGTTTATATTAAAAATATGTTTTTATTGTTTCCCTACTGATAGATAACAATATTGTTTCCAAATCCTTACTGTAACAAGCAATACACATCCCTGTATATGCTTTCTTGTGGCATACAAATATGCGTATTTCTCCAGCTTAGGTCTCCATAAGTGGGCTTTCTGGGTCAAAGGATATGCACATTTAAGGTTCAAATTCACTGCCAAATTGTCCTTCAGCTTTATCAACTTATATGCCTACTAACAACCCCTAAGAGTGTCTGTTTCCCTACGTCTTCATCAACACTGGATAACATCAGTCTTTAAAATGTTTACCAACCTGAAGGGGAAAAAAACATTTGTAAGAATCAAGTCCTCAACTATTCCTGAGGTTGAACATCTCTCCAGATATTTATTGGCCATTAGTATCTGGATAGATGTTCAACCTCAGGAGTCATAATAATAAAAATTCTGTGAGTTGCTTATTTGAAGTCTTTGTCCCCCTTCTTTTTTTTTTTTTTTTTGTAGAGATAAGATTTCACTCTGTCGCCCAGGCCGGAGTGCAGTGGCACAATTGTAACCTTGAACTCCCGGACTCAAGCAATCCTCCCTACTCAGCTTCCAAAGTAGCTGAGATTACAGGAGCACACCAGCTAATTTTTATATTTTTTTGTAGAGATGGGGTCTTGCTATATTGCCCAGGCTAGTCTCAAACCACTGGCCTCAAGTGATCCTCCCACCTCAACCTCTCGAAGTGCTGTGATTACAGACGTGAGCCACTGTGCTTGGCTATCAGTTGGATTCTCAGTGTTTAATTAATCAGTTTAGAGGCGTTCTTCATAAAAATTCTGGATATTAAGCCTTTGGTTGTTTTTGCTTATCTTTTGATTTTATTTAAAGTGTCATTCACTATTCAAAATATTGGCACTCTCGGGACTGTTCCTTTGTGGAAGGAGTCTTCGAGAATAAAGCTCCTGGCCTCTTGCCCCACCTTCCCAGTCTTACCCTGGGGATGGGGAGTGACTCAACTGGTGGGTAACTTTGGCAGAAGAAGAAGCCGAAACGCTCAGCTCAGCTGCATCCTCCCTCCCCTCTGTGAAAAAGCATGCACCCTGCTCTGCCTCCATGCCTGCCCGCAAGTTTTACAGGAGCCGGCCCTTGCGGTTGACCTCAGGAGTGAAATATTAGCAAACCTGCCTGCCTAGCAGACCTAAGCCATATTGTCCAGTATCAGTTTTGATGGTAATAAAAGTAATATTTGTATTTCCATCTGCCACATTCCTGTGTCTATCTCTTAATAGGTTCTTGAATCAGTCAGAGTCCAAACAAAAAACAGATGGCACGCTCAAATTAGGATAATTCAGGAGATTTAATAACAGGACTATTTATGAAGGTGTGGGCAGAACCTAGAGGAGATACAGGGGATACTGCAGCAATCTAGGGCCTACAAGGGTGATGGGGGGCGCAGGAGTTACTGGAATCCAGGAGGAGAGAGTCATAGCTGCCCTCAGAGGAGCAGAAGCCCCTGGCTGTGGAACACAGGTGGCCAAGGCAAGCCTACAAGGAGGAAGCCCGATAAATAAGTGACCTGACCTTACTCTCTTTCCTCCCTCTAATCTTCTGCTAGGCCTCCCTGCTTGATAAAGCAAACAGAGCCAAAGGGCAAGGGAAGCCATTGATGTAACCAACACAGGTCCATCTACTTGGGCAGAGAGAGAGGAGGAAAGAGATCTGGGGGCATAAATAGAATATATCTGGCACAGTTCTCTTTCTTCCCTCAGTATACACTTTCATCTTTGATACGGGTGAAAAATTCATGTCCTCATCAAAGGGAATGCACAAAGTCCCATTGGCTACTGTTTTATCAAGAGGCAATCTCAATCTGGCATAATTCCCCCTGAAACCTAGAGCATGACTGCCACTGGTGTTCTTCAAATAAGGAATTGGGTAAAAGTGAGGCGCGGTGTGGCAGGCAGAATTCAGAGATAGCATCCCCAAATTCCTGCACCTTCCAGTGCCACACACCTTCTCCCAGTTATTCAATCAAACACAAATCAAGGGGCTGCTGTGATGGGATTTTGCAGAGGCAATTGAGTTCTCAAATCAGTTAGAAAAGAGAGGTTATCCTGGGTAAATCTGACCTAATTGGGTTAGCCTTTAAAAGGAACTGGGCTCTTCCTGGTGGAAGAGATTTGAAGTGTGATACATGAAAAATTCTCCATTGGTGGCCTTGAAGATGGAGAGGGCTTTGTGGCAAGGAGTGTAGGTGGTTTCAGTGAGCTAAGAGCAGCCCCTGGCTGACAGCCAGCAAGGAAATGGAGCCTCAGTTCTCTAGCCACAGGAACTGAATTCTGCCCCAATCGTGTGAGCTTGGAAAAGGACCCTGAGCTCCAGATGAGAAGGTAGCCCATGCCGCACAAGGATTTTAGTCCTGTGAGACCCTGAGCAGAGAATCCAGCCATGTACACCAGGCCTAGATTTCTGATGTACAAAACCGTGAACTAATAAATGGGTATGGCTTTAAACAGCTTAACTTGTGATAATTTGTTATATAACCCTAGAAACTAATACAGGAGGCCAGGAGCATGCCTGTAATCCCGCAGCACTTTGGGAGGCCGACACAGAAGGAGAGCTTGAACCCAGGAGTTCAAGACCACCCTGAGCAACATAGTGAGACCCCATCTCTACAAAAAGAAAAAACATTAGCTGGGTGTGATGGGGCACACCTGTAGTCCCAGCTACTTGGGAGGCTGAGGTGGGAAGATCACTTGAGCCTGAGAGGTTGAGGCTGCAGTGAGCCAAGGCTGCACCACTGCATTCCAGCCTGGGTGATAGTGAGACCCTTTCTAAAAAGAAAAAAAGAAGAAGAAGCTAATACAGGCAGCAAACAGTAAGGTAACATAAAACCAGTTTTTATAGTCCCCATTTCCATAGCTGGGAATGGGGCCTAAACTGCTAATCACCTCTGCCTTCTTCCATCACTTGATCCAGGTTCCCTTTTTCCTCATCCAGCACCTCAGATGGATGGGTGTCTTTACCTAGTGAAATGACCCTAACATTCTTTCTTGTAGGATTTGAATCTTTGATGGTCTTGACGTTATTGGGTTGTCACAGTTTTCCACTGACCAGGACTTTAGAGCGAGAGAGGACTAAGAGGTGCCCTAAACATATACCAGCAACACAATTATCCCCTGAGAATCAGGACCAATTGCCCCAGTGAAGAAAGAAGTCTTCTTATTTGTCTGTTCACTGGAACAATGGTCATTTTTCCTGGTAGAAGAATTACCACTTTGAACACTAGGACCTTCAGATCCATGGAGCCTAAGATTGCAAGGATACTCTTTAAGCCTTTAAGTGGATTATTAGGTATGATAGTGAGAGGGACCACTCCCACCACTATCCCTTTGTTCTTACACCTATGCAGCCTGGCTATGGGCACCATATGTTGACTTCTGATTGAAAGCATACACTGTACCCTATGAGAGAGCACCCCCACATTGGAGGGTGTTGCCTTCCAGAGGGCACTGTAATGAGCCTTTAGTAATCTGTTTCACCATTCTCTCAAGCTACTTGCTTCCAAGTTGTTGCAGGATCCTTGGGGTGTTGCCTTTCTGGCTGGAAACCTCTGTGGCGAGTAGTGTCTTTGCCCAAGTTTTGCTTGGGCCCACTGGGCTCATTCCTCCCACTCAACCTGGCAGGCTGTACTCGGCTCATGCCACTGACCTGGATGCCATGCCTGCCAAGGGCAAGCCAGGTGTGGAGCAGTAAGGGGTATGTGAGTGAGCAAGCATGGGGTCTGGCCACTGCTTACAGGCAAGCGTGCTGGCTACTGCAGTGGGGTGGGCAGCTCCAGGTGTCAGCACAGGTGCTGGCTCTCTGCAAGGCTGCAGCTAGACCAGGTGTACTGCAAGCAGCTTCTATGGCTGGCACCAGGGAACATGGTGGCACCCGGAAGCTTGGAGACTTCAGGAACTTCAGGGCCTCAAAGAGGGAGTCACAGCCCTGGCTCGGGGAGCTCCCAGGTCTGGGCTCCCCAAAGGGCCACAGCTCTTCTTTCTTCTTCTCCTGCAATGTGGTGAGCAAGGGGTGTGTTTCAGCCCTGTTTGTGTTACAGCTCTTTCAGCCCCACCATTCAGCAGGTCCCAAGTTCTTGTCCTGCGTCCAGGAAGAATGAGGTACATGGACAAGTGCAGGATGAGCAAGGCAAAGAGGAGCTGTGTGGAGTGACACAATAGCTCAGAGGAGGCCCTGGAGTGGGAAGCTCCTCTCTGCAGCTGGTCATTGGGACATCTGCTCAGCTCTGGCTGAGCCTGGGGCTTTAATGGGCCTCAGAAGGACAAAGTGTGTACTGATTGGTCCATGGGTGGCCATGGGTGGGCCCAGAAAAGGCACCACAAGTTCAGACTGGCAGTCCCACCCCTAGCTTTCAGGCCCTCCCTGGCCTGAAGGTCGGGCCTCACCACAGACCCGTTCCCTACTGTGCAGGATCCCTTCTGTGCGGGAGCTTGTCTGCCTCCTGCTGCTGTTGATGGTGCCCAGGCTGTTTGTGCCAAGGAACACCTGCAGGCCTGTGCCAAGATTCCCTCAACTTCCCCTTGGCTTCCCTCCTATGCTTATTAGTGCCCAAAGTCTGGAGGGGGCCAAGGTGGCAGGGGGCTGGCGTGTTGGCACTGCCCCAAGTGTTCTCACACCCAGCCAGGCTGTGACAGCACCCAGGCTTGGCCCCAACCTTGCTCTGAGATTGGAGCAGACAAGGGAGTGGGAAGAGGCCAGGCAGTGGGAGCAGACACCTCTGAGCCTGCAGGAGGAAGGGGGACTCTCCCAGGCCCCTGAGAGTGCCCAGTTGTCTGGGTCCACAGCTATAGCTTGGGCGGTTGCAGCTACACCCAGATAGGTGGGATTCCTGCCTGCTCCTGGACCCCCCAAGAGCACAGAGATGCCTGGGTCCACAGCCATGACTTGGGTGGTTGTAGCTGTACCTGAAAGGGTGGGGCTTCTGCCTGCTCTGTGGAGTGAAAGGCCCAAGTCCGCAGCCACGACTTGGGCAGCTGCAGCTGCACCACCCAGGGAGCTCCTTCCCCACCAATGCAGAAGGGGCAGGGCTCCCACTTGTCCCCAGCTCCTGCTGGCTCTGTGGAGTGTGCAGCCGTGGCCGCACCTCCCTGCTACAGCTGGCATGTGGCAGCAGCCACTCCAGACGAGCTGCCACTGCCATCAAATTGATAAGCCACATCATAACACCAGAGAATTTTATGGGCAGGAGCCCACTGCCATACTTCCTATGCTATAAAATGGGCCCCCTTATCAGAGATGATGTTGTATTTGATACTGTGGTGAAGAATAAGGCATTCCGTAAGTCTACAAGTGATGCTGGAAGAAGCACTTCAGGCAGAGAAGACAAATGTGTACCCAGAAGACATGTTTACGGCATGAAAGCAAAATTCTATTCCTTTCAAGATGGAGGAGTCCAAGGTAGGCTTCCCCCAAACAAAGTGTGTCTCCATCATTGTGTTGTGAAATTCAAGGGCAAGCAACTTGTCTCTCACTTTAGAGAAGGATTACCCACGCCAATGACCCTCTAGAAACTTCACTTACATAATATGCCTCTTGGCCTTAGGCACACATATGTCTTACAAAGGCATCTAGAGTGTTGATGCTTCCTACTCACCAGGTCCAGTTAACATAATTCCATCAATGTCATGGACCAGAATGACATCCTGTAGGGTATCAAGATGATCAAGTTCCCATCACACTATATTATGACAGAGAAAAGGAAACTTGATATTGTCCTGGTGTAAGATAGTAGAGGTATACTATTTGCCCTGCTATGTAAATGCAAACTGCTTCGGATTTTCCTGGGGGAAAAAATGTTTTCTAGGTCAGAAGCTGAATGCCAGATATCATGGGCTGTGTTGAATTGCCACAGTAAGTATTTCACATTTAGTGCTGTAGCTGTGACTGACATCACTATGTGAATAAATGTACAAAGATCTCTTTCTCCATGCCCCATCTGGCTTTTGCACTAGCCAGATAAGTAAGTTAAATGGGGATGTACTGGGAATTGCCACCTATGCATATCTCAAGTTGCTGGTGGTAGCATTAATCACTGTAGTTTCCCCCAGGTTGAAGTATTTTTTACTTTCTTGGTATGGTGGGCGTGGAAGTGAGTGCTGGAGGGATCTCCATCAACAAGAGCTTCCACTTTGCCCTCCTTTTCACTACAAAAGTCTTAATTTCATGGGTCAAAGGACCAATATAATCATTCTGCCAGTTATTACATATCTCTCTTTTCTCTACACATTCTAGGAGTCAGGGAAAAACACAGGATGAATACCTGATCCTGTGGACACTGTGTTAGACAGACTAGGATGTATGGGCTAGGATTCCATACATCACCTGATTTTCATAAGTTCCAAATTTCACTGGTGGATGATGGTGGCACTTCAGGGTTCTGGGGATCAGAGTGAGTTCAGGGTCAATATTTATTAACCTTGGGAGTATCTAGTATATTTCCTTCTCCCTAGTGTATAGCTGCCCTGGTAAATGGCTGCAGGCCATTCTGAGGAAGGCTTTGGAGAAGACACACAATATACATCCGTGACCACATTGCAGGGTCCCTCCTCAGTTGTGGGTATCCGAGTTTATGAACTGACTTAGGTCTAGGAATTGGGTAAAAGGCCACGAATCTTCCTCCAGTTTCTACCCAGAAACCTAGAATTTTTCACCTGTATTTGTCAGGCAGCACCTTCACAGGCTGCCCAAGTATTTCATTTCTAGAGAACTGCGCCACAATTCACTACAGATTACAGCACTCTGATGGCCACTCTGTCTCTGTGGCTTGCGGGGCGCTACCTCCTGTCTGACCAGCAAGCATGGCCACCTTGCCTCATCTACTGTGGGGTCCCATTATTCTCTTTAAGATCAAGAAACCCAATTCCTTTGCATTGTCCCCAACTGTCATCTCCAGCCTATAGATGACAGTCACCACAGAGCTCTTCAAGGACTTCCAAATACCTTAGTGAGGGAAGTGTCCTTCAGACCTTCTCAGGGGCCGTGGTGAGGGAGAAGTGAGCAGGTTTGCACAGCACATTGGTGCTCACAGTGCGGTGATTCTCATCCATGCCAAAGTTCGAGAGCCACCGCTGTGGAACACGGCCTCTCCGACTTTAATGAGCACGCACGGCACCTGAGGATCTTTTTAAATGCAGAGTCTGGTTTGATAAGTCTAGGGTGGGGTCGAAGGTTCTGCATTTTCTGATGCAGGTGATGCCAGTGCCTCTGATCTGGGACAACAGCTCTGAGTAGTAATGCTGTAGAGGAAGGTGTCTGAAGACTCAGGAACATGAGGATCTAATGGATCTATTAAGTCAGGGAGTGGGGGGGTCTCAAATTTTAGTGCAAATCAGAATCACCTGGAAGCCTTATTAAAACACAGATTTCTGGGTCTCACCCCTACAGTTTCTGATTCTATAGATCTGAGGTTAGGCCCAAGAATTTGCGTTTCTAACAAGTTCTCAGATGATGCTGATGCTGTTGGTCCAGGGACCACACCTAGAGAAGTGGCTGTCTACCATCCTCCCAATCCACTCCCTGACCTTTCCCTTGACTACCCTGACTGTCCACCTAGGCGGGGTTTTGCACGTCTTTAAGAGTACAGCTAGCTTTTTCTGGAGCAGGCCTTCTACTTTGTTATGGGCCTGAAGGTAATAAGAGGTAAGGGAGGGGACCTGAGGAGAGTTAGCATTAGCATATGGGGCAACTGCCCTGGGAACAATGATTGTAAGGCTTTTATGCAGAGGAGAGATAGCTCCTTCAGCCAGAATAAAAGGTTTAGAGGAGAACAGAGGTTCAAAAGTCTCAGCCCAATCAGGCCTGCCTTTCAGGCATCCTGTATCCCCTTCCTGTATCTGAGAGTCCTCCCCGAGAACCTTGCCTTGGCATAAAAGACTTGGCCGCGTTATGCATTTAATTGCTGCTGCAAATCTACAACTTTAACAGTCAGACCATAGACTTAGTTCTTAGCCATATTTACCCTTCAATTACCGGAAATAAGGAACCCCTCAGGGCCACCATGGAGGCATTCTGGTTTTCCATGCGTCTTTTTAATTGTATTTCCATAGCCTTGATTTTCTCTTTTTCCCTATATAAATTTCTTAGGATAGTAAAAAGAATCCAGTTGTTTCTACTATTTTTTAATCACTGTTGTTGCCATAGCAATTAAGTGCCGGCGCTACTTGATCTCTTAATGCCTTGCCCATCACCTGCATTCCCTCCCATGCTCCCACCATTGATAATGTGGGTAATGATGATGTCACCACATGCCATGGATTACTCACTTCCTCATTCTTCCCCAGCAAGGTTATCGCTGTGTTCCTCAAATACATGAGCAACGGAATTCCAGAATCCCATTTTGAGGAACTATTTTCTGATTTCACAATGGCTATGTCAGTCTGAGTTCAAATAGGAAACAGATGGCACACTGAAATTAGTATAATTCAAGGAGGCTTTTATGAAGGGGCCATTTATGAAGGTTTGGACAGGGTATCAGGGACTCACAAAGGATAATGTAATCATCCAGAACTAATAACAGCAGAATTACTGACATCCCTAGGCCTGAAGGGATGAAGACAGGGAATGGTTTCTGGAATCCAGAAGGAAATTCCTGCAGAGTGAGCCATGTGGAGAGCAGTAGTGACTTGTGGTCAAAGGACACAGCCAGCTCAGGACGTGTAAGGGAGCTCTGTGGCTGGGTATCTGCATTGGCTGAACCCAACACAAAGCCAGAAGGCAAGGACTCCACTGGCATAGACCATGAGGGGGCTCTCCTAGGAAAGCGAAGGGGGAGGAAGCGTGGAGAGTGGATTTGGCCTGGTGAATGTTCCCCTAAACTTTTTCCGATACTGTTACTGTTTATTTTTCTTCACATTTAAATCTATCGTCTTGCTCTTTGTTTTCTATTTGTCTCATCTGGTTTTTGTTCCTTTATTTCTCTGTCCTTGCCTTCTTCAGGACTAATTACTTTTATTATTCTATTTTTTTCCTCTATTACCTTGTTAGTTTTATTAATACATTCTTTTTTTATTCTTCTAGTGGTTACTATAGAGATTAAAATATCTCCTTACATCACTATGAACTCATGTTTAGTTTAATATAGACACAGATAATTACATCCAGAAATATGTTTATATATCACACATACATATATACATAGGCACATACATCATACATACTTGTATATGACATGCACGTATATATATACATGTGTGTGTACACAGGCTAGTGTACACACATATCTTCCCTTACTCTGTCAGCTGAGAAGGCCTAGGAGCAAAGAACACCCCTAGCATCCAGTTCTAATGCCATTCTCATAACAGAAACCGGGGCTCCTCAGAGAAATGGATGGCTCAAATTGAAACAGAAAATATACAGGAGGACCCTGAATCATATTGTAGTACCGGAAAGTAAAGGAGTGTTAAAAAATGTTGAGAGTATGCCAAAAGGACACAGGAGTCAAATCAAAGAGCTCCCAATGGTCAACGCTGAAAATTTTTAAGCAAAAAAAAAAAAAAATAAGTAAAATAGTACTGGATTATAACTCAAAGTATAAAATAAATATCCAAGACTCCAGACTGATATAAATGAATGACTAAATATGTAAATAAATGGGAGAGGAGAAATCTCCCTTGCACCACGATTCCAAATAATTTATGTAGATACTCTGCCCTTGAAAAGGAGGGAAAGAATAATACCCCACTCCTTAATTATGGGGTGTACATAGTGACTTCCTTCCAAAGAGTACACTATTGAAAGGTGAAATAAAATAATTTTACAGTGGAGAAACCTGACAAACACTACCTCTGCCAGGGGATCAAGGTCAACATCAATGGCGATAGGTCATGTGGATAGTGTGTTCTTCTTGATAGGATGTGATGCAAATGACACTTTACCACTTGTTCTTCCTTCCTCCCCCTAAAAACAGGTCACCCCAATCTAATTATGAGAAAAACATCAGACAAATCTCAGCTGAGGGACATTCTATGAAATACCCAACCAGTTCTGCTCAGAACTGTGAAAAACAAGGACACATGAATGTATATGTGTATGTCATATACATATCCATTTGAGAAACTGTCACAGCCACAAGGAGCCTAAGCAGGCATAACAAGTAAATGTAATGTGGGATCCTAGATCAAATCCTGGACAAAAAAGGACAGTAGGTAAAAATTACAGAAATGTAAATACAGTGTGAATTTTAGCTAATGTATCAATATTGATTCATTACTTGTGACAAATATGTCATAATGTAAGATGTTAATAACGGGAAAGGGAATGTGGGGCACAGGAAAGCCCTCTGTACTATCTTCTCAATGTTTCTGTAAATCTAAAACTATCTAAAATAAGAAGTATATTTTAAAAATAGAACTCCTTGGCTCACTAGAGTTTGCCTTAAATTAGTACTTTTATTACTTCTCAAACAATGAAAGAAACTCACAACAGTTTAATTCCATTTATCCTTCTCTTCCTCCCTTTTGTGTAATTTTTGTCATCTATGTTATTTCTTTTTTTTGTTGTTTTTTTTTTAGATGGAATCTTGCTCCATTGCCTAGGCTGGAGTGCAGTGGCGTGATCTCGGCTCACTGCAACCTCCACCTCCCAGGTTCAAGGGATTCTTGTGCCTCAGCCTCCTGAGGGGCTGGGATTACAGGTTCATGCCACCACTCCCGGCTAATTTTTGTATTTTTAGTAGAGACAGGGTTTCACCATCTTGGCCAGGCTGGTCTCGAACTCCTGACCTCAAGTGATCCACCCACTTCGGCCTCCCAAAGTGCTGGGATTACAGGCGTGAGCCACTGCGTCCAGCCTGTTATTTCTACATGTGTTTTAAACTCCACAAGACATTATTGTTGTTATTTTAAACAATCAATATTCATTTAAACATACACTATATGTATGATATATGACAAATATATGAGGGGATATAGACAAATGGATATATATCACATATGTATATGTATATGAAAGATATAAAATACTCTTGGCCACGCACCGTGGCTCACGCCTGTAATCCCAGCACTTTGGGAGACCAAGGTGGATGGATTGCTTCAGCCCAGGAGTTCAAGACCAGCCTAGGCAGCATGGTGAGACTCTCTCTACAAAAAACACTAAAATTAGTCGGGCATGGTGGTACATGCCTGTAGTCCCAGCTACTCTGCAGGCTGAGGTGGGAGAATTGCTTGGGCCCGGGAGGTTGAGGCTGCAGTGAGCTGTGATCACGCCACTGCACTCTAGCCTGGGCAACAGAGAAAGACCCTGTCTAAAAAATAAAAAATAAAAAAAATTACTCTCCACCCTTCCTCCCCTTTCGCTTTCCTAGGAGAGCCCCCGCATGGTCTATGCCAGTGGAGTCCTTGTCTCCTGGCTTCGTGTTGGGTTCAGCCAATGCAGATCCCCAGCCACAGAGCTCCCTTACAGGTCCTGGGCTGGCTGTGTCCTTTGACCACAAGCCACCACTGCTCTCCACGTGGCCCACTCTACAGGAATTTCCTTCTGGATTCCAGAAACCATTCCCTGTCTTCATCTGGGGATGTCAGTAATTCTGCTGTTATTAGTTCTGGATGATTACATTATCCTTTGTGAGTCCCTGATACCCTGTCCAAACCTTCATAAATGGCCCCTTCATAAAAGCCCCCTTGAATTATACTAATTTCAGTGTGCCATCTGTTTCCTATTTGAACTCAGACTGACATAGCCATTGTGAAATCAGAAAATAGTTCCTCAAAATGGGATTCTGGAATTCCGTTGCTCATGTATTTGAGGAACACAGCGATAACCTTGCTGGGGAAGAATGAGGAAGTGAGTAATCCATGGCATGTGGTGACATCATCATTACCCACATTATCAGTGATGGGAGCATGCGAGGAATTGCAGGTGAAGGGCAAGCCCTTCTTTTGGACTTAATTACGGTTTTTCTCTCATTGCATTTTTCCTCTACAAGTTTTGAAAGCATGCATTCAAATTGTGTGCTTTTCGTGGTTACTGTAAACCAGTTTAGCATTCGTATTTTATCTAAAAATGTCTAAAGTCAATATCTGTATCATTGTCCCAATCAAGCCAAGGATTTGGGGATAGATGAACTCCAGTTGCCCTGCTTCAGACATACGTGCTACTGTCATCCTGTGTGTTAGATCTACGTTGTTGCCTTTAACCTCACAAATTTGACATCAACAAAATTTTGTAGTTTTATTTTTAGATTTATTCACATGCTTTTCATGTCTGTTCACAATTTTTTCTTGCATTTAAGGTGCTGCTTTTGAAATTTGCGATGCTACCTTATGCCTGGTATACACCAGTGGTGACGAGTAAACTGGCTCAGGGGCAGGGAAGGGCCCTGAATTGTAGTCAATTTCTGGTGTGGAAATGTACTCCCACCATGGCTTATTCCAAGCCATCAGTGTAACATCACTGAATGAGCAGGTGCGAAGAGATGTTCAAATTTTGTGGGCTCCAGCACACCACTGAATTGTTTCTTTTTCTTTTCTTTTCTCTCTTTCTGTTTTTTTTTTTCACAGCTTTATTGAAGTATAACTGATGTGCAATTAACTATATGTATTTAAATTAGATAAGTTCTCACATCATCATCACCAAAATCAAGATAATGAACATACCCATCACCTACAAAAGTTTCCTCATTTTCCTCCCACCCCTGTCTGACCCCACCCGTCCCCAGATAATCACTGATGTTTTTCCATCACTAAAGATTAATTTGCATATTCTAGCATTTCATATGAATAGAATGATACAGAATGTCCTCTTTTTGGTCTGGCTTCTTTTAGCATAATTATTTTGAAGTGCATCCTTTTGTATGTATCAGTATTCATTTCTTTTTATTGCCAGATAATATTTACATCATATGTATATTCACAATTTATTTATCCAGTCACCTGTTTATAGACTTTGGGTTGTTTCTAGTTTTTTGCAATTACAAATAAAGCTTCTATAAACACTAGCATGTCTCTGTGTAGACATATATTTGCTTCTGTCTTAGGTAAGTACCAAGGAATGTAATGGCTGGGCTATGTGGTAGATGTAGTTTTAACTTTTTAAGAAAATGCCAAACTGTTCTCCAAAGTGATTGTACCACTTTATATTTTCCATCAGTGGTGTGTGAGAGTTTCAGTTGCTCCACTTTCTCACCAGCACTTGATAAGGTCAGTCTTTTTAAATTTTAGCCATTCCAGTGGGTATGTAGTGGTATCACTGTGGCACTAATTTGTATTTCCCTAATGATGAGTATGTCATGTGATTACCCTTTAGCAGTTTCTTTAGTCAACTGAAAGTAAATACAGTGTATATTCTGGTTTTGTTCCCCTGAAAAATGCCTATATTTTGTCCTCCCTTTTGTTTTTATTTCTGGTTTTTAGAGACAGGGTCTCCTTATGTCACTCAGGCTGGAGTGCAGTGACACAATTATGGCTCACTGCAGCCTTGACTTCCTGGGCTCAAGTGATCCTCTCACCTCAGCCTCCTGAGTAGCTGGATTACAGGAGCATGCTACCACACCTGGAACATTTTTGTGTGTTTTGTAGAGACAGGGTTTCACCATAACCAGCCCAGGCTGATCTGGAATTCCTGGCCTCAAGGGATCCTCCCACCTTCGCCTCCCAAAGTGTTGGGATTACAGGTATGAGCCACCACACCCAGCCTGCTCTCACTTTTGAACAAGATTTTGCTGAACATACAATTGAACAATTACTTTTTTCCAGTATTTTGCAGATAATATTCTCCCATCTTTTTTGTTTCTTTAAAAATGATATCTGTATTTAAAAAGTCTTAAAATAAAGAGACAATGATTAAATGCATAGAATCAAAAATTAGAGTCCTCATGGTTCATCACAACAGTTAAATTTTGCCCTTTGTTTCTGGAGGAATGCCCTATAACAGATAATTTGAAAAATTTAAAAATAACATAAAAGGGGCTGGACACAGTGGTTCATCTTATAATCCCAGCACTTTGGGAGGTCAAGCCAGGTGAATCCTTGAGTTCCACAATTCAAGACCAGCCTAGGCAACTCTACAAAACACACACACACACACACACAAATTAGCTGGGTGTGGTGGTGTGCACCTGTAGTTGGGAGGCTGAGGCAGGAGGATCACTCAAGCCCAGGAGGTTGAGGCTGCAGTGAGCTGAGATTGCACCACTGCACTCCAGCCTGAGCAATGCGGTGAGACCCTGTCTTAAAATTATATATATATGCATATATATACATATAATAAAAAGGGAGCTAAATACCTGAAATTCTGAACAAAGTAAAGCAAAAAAAGAAATAAATTTATTGCAAGAGATGGAATTTACAGTTTAAAGGCTTAAAATAACAAAGAAATTCACTAAACAACAGGCCCTTCAGAAAGATTACTGAAAAGAAAAAGTAGTTTGGGGAATAGCAGATTCTGAGATATGGTGGAAAGTTCACAGTTTGGCACTGGCTGGACAGCTTTGTTTTCTTTTTTTCTGATTTTTTTTTTTTTTTTTTTTCTGAGATGAAGTCTTGCTCTGTCACCCAGTCTGGAGTGCAATGGCATGATCTTGGCCCACTGCAACCTCTGCCTCCCGGGTTCAAGTGATTCTCCTGTTGCAGCCTCCCGAGTAGCTGAGATTACAGGTGCCTGACATGATGCCTGGCTAATTTTTGTATTTTTAGTAGAGATGGGGTTTCGCCATGTTGGCCAGGCTAGTCTCGAACTCCTGACCTCAGGTGATCTGCCCTTCTTGGGCTCCCAAAGTGTTGGGATTACAGGCATGAGTCAGCACGCCCAGCCAATTCTCCCATCTTTTAACTTCTACTGAGACTATTGAAAAGTCGGCTTTTAGTCTAATTATTTTCCTCATATAATAATCTGTCTTTTCTCTCTTCTCTTCATCTTTGATGTTCTACAGTTTCACTAAGATGTGTGCTGATGTATATTTCTTCTTATTTACACTGTCTGGGAATAGTGTGTCCTTATGAATCTGATATTGATAATTAGCATCTTTTATCTAGTATTGAAATTCTCAGCCACAGTCTCTGAATATTGCAGCTCCTGTTCCTTCTAGAATTCCTGTTAGGTTTATGTGAGATCTTCTCATTCACTCCTCCATGTCTCTTAACCTTTCATATTTTCACTATCTTCATCTCCTCTTAATGCATTCTGGGCAATTTCCCAGATTTATCTTCTTTCCACCTGTGTATAAACTACCCTTTTGACCTCTATTTTTTTCCCATTTTATCTTCAGTTTCCAGAAGTTCTGTCTGGTTTCTTTTCAAATCTCGTTAATCCCTCTCAATGGTCTGTTGTTCCATTGCCAAATCATCTAATAATTCTGGTAGCTATCGTAGGTATACGTCTGCTTCTGTTGTGTATTGTTTCTGTTGATTCACACATAGTGGCTTATTATCTCTTATGTTTGAGGACTTTTTTTTTTTTTAATGTGTTTGAACTCACATTCTTTGGAAATTTATCTGTGAGAATTGAGCCCTGGATGAAAGTGTGTTCCTCCATGGAAGATTTATGTCTGTTTCTTTTTCTTTTTCTTTCTTTCTTTCTTTCTTTTTTTTTTTTTTTTTTTTTTTTTTTTTTTGTTGTTGTTGTTGTTGAGGTGGAGTCTTCCTCTGTCACCCAGGCTGGAGTGCAGTGGGGTGATCTCGGCTCACTGCAACCTCTGCCTCCCAGGTTCAAGCGATTCTTCCACCTCAGCCTCCTGAGTAGCTGGGGTTACAGGTGCCTGCCCCCACACTCAGCTAATTTATGTATTTTTAGTAGTGATGGTGTTTTACCATGTTGGCCAGGCCATTTTTGCTTCTAACCTCAAGTGATCCTCCCATCCCGGCCTCCCAAAGTGCTGGGATTACAGGTGTGAGCCACTATGCCCAGCCAATTTATGTTTGTTTCTATGGGGCAGTTTGGGGCACTACAATCCTAGAATCACTTTAAATCTTAGGCTTAAAGATTTTCATTTTGAAGCACACAGTTATGAGGCATTGCTCCCAAGTGAGGACAGTCCCATGGTTAGGAAATAGGTAATCTTCATTGTCCTTTTCTGTTGGTGGGACTTTTCTAGTTTGCTCAATTCTCTAGTTTATCCTCAGGGAACCCCAACTTTATGTGGGGAGTTCCAATCCAACCTCCCTGCCCCTTAAGCCTCACACTTCAACTCCTGTCCTCTGCACTTTGCTAATTCTCCAGGGATTGGCAGATGTCACCTGGCAAACACCAGCTCTGGCTAGAATTTTTCTGGAGTGGTGTTTTCTCCTTATTTCTGATCATTCTTCTTCCTTTTCTGACAACATTGCCATGCCTTTAAAAAGAAAGATGCTTCTTGTATTTCATCCAGCATGTTAAGTGCTCTATACTGGGAGGGTTTCTCCAGACAGCAGTTGCTTGAAATAAACTATTTATGTTTTTTTACCCATCTGGAACTTATTTTTGTGTTGTACAAAGCAGAGGTCTAAGAGTCCTGCTACCATTTTCACTGTTCCTTCTTTTTGCTCAGAAGTGATATCTTTGAATCAACTTTTAAAACAATATTTCCCCACTATTTTCTGTTGCTCATTGCCAGCTGGATATCTAAAAAAGTCATAGAAACCCGCTTTTAAGTGAAATATCCCGAAAACAAAATTATCATACTATTGACTGGCGTAGTGGCTCTGAATTTTTTACTCCTGTGCATTGCTTTAAGAATTGGCCCAGCACGGTGGCTCATGCCTGTAATCCCAGCACTTTGGGAGGCCGAGGTAGGAGGATTGCTTTGAGACCAGCCTGGCAACATGACGAAAACTCGTCTCTACAAAAAATTAGCCACACATGGTGGCATGCACCTGTAGTCCCAGCTACTCAGGAAACTGAGGTGGAAGGATCCCTGAACCCAGGAGGTCGAGACTACAGTGGGCTGTGATGGCGCCACTGCACTCCGGCCTGGGCAACAGAGTGAAAACCTAAAAGAATAAATAAATAAATAAATAAATATCTCAAAATCTATATAACAAAAATTTTTTGCCCTAACAATCCAATTTTATCATTTGATCAGAGGGAAAAGGGTTCTAGATCCTCTCCTGACCTAGAGATGAAGCAAACACAGGTCAACAGCATTTTGCATTAAAAATTCATAACTGAAAGAAGAAAGAATTCATAACTTTGTTTTCTCAAAAATTATACTGGAACAGAGTTTAATATCAGTTTGAAGACCAAGTCAACTTCATATCAGCCAAATTCATACCAAAGGAAAGAAAATTGTACATGTTGCAAAATAATTTACCATGTGTTTTTCATAAATGTTAATATAAATGGAGTGAATTATACACTGCTCAGCCCCATTCACACATAGACAGACAGACGTTTAAAGGAAAACATCTGTTGCAGTTTTCACAACATAGATTTATAGCTTCAGTCATGTTAAATTGTTACTTGGAAAGCACAATCCCAAGGAAACAATAATTTCTGAAGGCCTATACATGCTGGGTTTTATTTGATTAGCTCTCCATCAAGCTAAAAATAACAAAGAAGACTTCTCGAACCAAGCTAATTTTTTGAAATTTCAATTCCACTTAGAAGGAAAGATATGGGAGAAAAGCTAAGCATATTCTTTAAAGATCCTTTTTTATTTTAATCAATGGATGCAACTTTTTTTTTTTTTTTTTTTTTTGAGACAAGAGTTTTACTCTGTCACCCAGGCTGGAGCAATGGCGTGATCTCTACTTACTTCAACCTCCACCTCCCAGATTCAAGCAATTCTCCTGCCTCAGCCTCCTGAGTAGCTGGGATTACAGGTGTTTGCCACCACGCCCAACTAATTTTTGTATTTTTAGTAGCGACAGGGTCTCACCATGTTGGTCAGGCTGGTCTCAAACTCCTGACCTCAAATGATCCACCCACCTTGGCCTTCCAAAGTGCTGAGATTACAGGTGTGAGCCACCGCACCCAGCCAAAAAGAAAAAAGTTGTTTTATATTTAAATATACACAAACCCTTTTCAGCACTCTTTATTTCCCTGTAGATCCAGTTTTCTATCTGGTAATTCTTTCTTTCCAGCTGAAGAACTTCCTTTAGCACTTCATGTAGTGCAATCTGTGGGCAAAGAGTTCTCTCAGCTTTTGCTTATCTGAAAATGTTTTTATTTCACTTTCATTTTTAAAATACATCTTCAGCCAGGCATAGTGGCTCATGCCTGTAATCCCAGCACTTTGGGAGTCCAAGGAGGGAGGATTGATTGAACCCAGGAGTTTGGGACCAGCCTAGACAACATAGTGAGACCTCATCTCTACAAAAAATAAACAAGATAACCTGGGTGTGATGGCAGGCACTTGTAGTCCCAGCCACTTGGGAGGCTGAAGTGGGAGGATCACTTGAGCCTGGGAAGTTGAGGCTGTAAGTGAGCCATGATCATGTCACTGCACTCCAGCCTTGGCCACAGAGTGAGACCCTATGTCTAAATAAAGATTTAAAAATCAGCCAGCCGAGCATGGTGGCTCACGCCTGTAATCCCAGCACTTTGGGAGGCCAAGGCAGGCGGATCACGAGGTCAGGAGATCGAGACCATCCTGGCTAACATGGTGAAACCCCATCTCTACTAAAAATAAAAAAAATTAGCCAGGCGTGGTGGCGGGTGCCTGTAGTCCCAGCTACTCGGGTGGCTGAGGCAGGAGAATGGTGTGAACCCGGGAGGCGGAGCTTGCAGTGAGCCGAGATCTCGCCACTGCACTCCAGCCTGGGTGACAGAGTGAGACTCCGTCTCAAAAAAATAAAATAAAATAGAATATAAATATAAATAAATAAAATATATTTTCACTCAATATAGAATTCTAGGTTGATCTTTTTCTTTCAGTGCTTTAAAGATGCCATTCAATTGTCTTTTGAACTATATTGTTTCTCATGAGAACTTGGCTGACATTCTTATCATCGTGTCTCTATGTATAATGTGTCCATTTTCTCTGGTTGCTTTTAAGACTTTTTTCCTTTATTTCTGGTTTTCAACAGTTTGACCCTGATGTGCATCGGTGTTATTATTTTTGTATTTATCCAGCTTAGGAATTTCTGAGCTTTTTGGATCTTGAGTTGTTATATACTTTTATCAAATTTAGAACATTTTCAGGCAAATTTTTTTTAATTAAAAAATTGTGGCCAGGCACGGTGGTTCATGCCTGTAATCCCAGCACTTTGCGAGGCCGAGGCAGGTGGATCACGAGGTCAGGAGTTCAAGACCAGCCTGGCCAAGGTGGTGAAACCCTGTCTCTACTAAAAATACAAAAAGTTAGCCAGGCGTGGGGGTGGGCACCTGTAATCCCAGCTACTTGGGAGGCTGAGGCAGAGAACTGGTTGAACCCAGGAGGCAGAGGTTGCAGTGAATGAGACTCCATCTCAAAAAAAAATTTTTTTTTATTTGTATAGATAGGGACTCACTGTGTTGCCCAGGGTGGTCTGGAACTCCTGGGCTCAAGCAATCCTCCCTTTCCAGCCTCCCAAAGTGTTTGGATTACAGGCGTCAGCCACCATGTCCAGCCCAAAACTTCTTTTTCTTTTTTTCTTTTCTTGAGAGCGTCTTGCTCTGTCACCCAGGCTGGAGTGCAGTACCACAATCTCAGCTCACTGCAACTCTGCCTCCTGGGTTCAAGCAATTCTCCTGCCTCAACCTCCTGAGTAGCTGGGATTACAGGCACCCACCATCAAACCCAGCTAATATTTGTATTTTCAGTAGAGATGGGATTTCACCATGTTGCCCAGGCTAGTCTCAAACTCCTGACCTCACGTGATCTGTCTGCCTGGGCCTCCCAAAGTGCTGGGATTACAGGCATGAGCTGCCACACCTGACCTCCAACACTTCTTTAAATGGAATCCAAACATGTTTTCTGCTCCACTCTGTTTCTCTTCTCCTTATGGGACTTCAGTTACATGGGTGTTACCTTTTGATGCAATCTCACATTGCATCAAATCTCTCATCGCTCATTGATGAGCCCTTCTCTCATCTCTCTTTTCCTTTTTCTATCTCTATGCTTTGGTCTGGATTATTTATATTGATCTATCTTCAAGTTCCCTAATCTTTTACTTGATTGTGTCTAATCTGCCTATTTTTAATTGAGATGTAATTCACATACCATAATATTCAACTTTTTAAGTGTACAATTAGTGGTTTTTAGTATATTCACAAAGTTGTGCAACTACCATCACTATTTAATTTCGGAACATTTCATCACCTTAAAAGGAAACTCTATCACCATTAGCAGTCACTTTTTATTCCCCCTTTCCACCATCCCTGGGCAACTAATCTACTCTCGGTCTCTATGGATTTGCCTATTTTGGGCATTTCATTTAAATGAAATCATAAAATATTTGACATTTCATGTCTGGCTTCTTTCACATATCATAATTCTTCAAAGTTCATCATATTGTAGTATGAATCAGCACTTCATTCCATTTATGCATAAATAATATTCTATTGTATGGATGTATCACAATTTGCTTATCCATTATTTAGTTGATGGACATTTGCGTTGTTTCCACCTTTAAGCTACTATGAATAATGCTGCTGTTGACACTAATGTATAAGTTTTATGTGGACATATGTTTTTATTTCTCTTGGAAATATACCTAGAATAGAATTACTAGATCATAGCTCTGTGTTTATCTTTTTTCTTTCCTTTTTTTTTGAGACAAGGTCTCACTCTGTCACCCAGGCTGGAATGCAGTAGTGTGATCATAGCTTACAGCAGCCTGAACTCCTAGGATCAAGTGGTCCTCCCACCTCAGCCTCACAAGTAGCTGGGACTATAGGCATGTGCCACCATGCCTGGCTTATTTATTTATTTATTTATTTATAGAGATGGAGTCTCACTATGTTTCCCAGGCTGGTCTGGAACTCCTGGGCTCAAATGATCCTCCTTCCTTGGCCTCCCAAAATGCTGAAATTATAGACATGAGCCACCTGTATTCAGCATTCAGCCTCTATATTTAACTTTTAAATGAATGGCCAAATTGTTTTCCACAGCAGCTACACCATTTTACATTTCTACCAGCATTATATGAAGCAGAAATTTCTCCACAGCTGTGCCAATGCTTGTTATTGCCCTTTTAAAATTATTATTATAGCCATTCAAGCAGGTGTGAAGTGATATCTCTTTGAGGCCTTGATTTGAATTTCCCTGATGACTAATGACATCAAGCATATTTTCGTGTGCTTATTGGCCATTTGCAAACCTACTTTGGAGAAATACTTATTCAGATCCTTTGCCTTTTTTTTTTTTTTTCCAATGGGTTTTTGCTCTGTTGCCCAGGCTGGAGTGCAATGACTTGATCATGGCTCACTGTAGCCTCAACCTCCCAGGCTCAACCAATCTTCACACCTCAGTCTCCCAAGTAGCTGGAACCACAGGCACAGGCCACCACACCCAGCTACCTGTTTTTTTTTTTTTTTTTTTTGTAGAGATGGGATCCCACTATGTGGTCCAGGCTGGTCTTTAATTTCTGGCCTCAAGCAATGCCCCAGTGTTGGCTTTCCAAAGAGCCAGGATTACAGACATGAGATGCCACACCCAGCCCCCATTTTAAAATTGGGTTATTTGTCTTTTTTTAATTATTGAATTGTAGGAGTTCTTTCTATTCTAGATACAAGTTACTTGTCAGATATATAAATTACAAATATTTTCTCTCATTCTGTGGGTTGTCTTTTCATTTTCCTGTGAGTGTCCTTTGATGCACAAAGGTTTTTAAATTTGAAGTCTAATTTATCTATTTTTTTCTTTAATTGCTTGTGCTTTAGGTGTCGTACCTAAGAAACTATTACCTAATCCAAAGTCATGAAGATTTAGCCCTATATTTTCTTCCAAGGGCTTTATAGTTTTAGCTCTTAAGATCTTTGATCTGGCTGTGGGGGCACTGTGGCTCATGCCTATAATCCCAGCAATTTGGGAGGCCAAGGTGGGAGGATCGCATGAGCCCAGGAGTTCAAGAACAGTCTGGGCAACATAGTGAGAACTTATCCCAAAAAAAAAAAAAAATCTTTGATCCATTCTGAGTTAGTTTTTTGTACACGGTGTGAGTTAGGGGTCCAAATTCATTCCCTTGCATGTGGATATCCAGTGTCCTACTATTATTTGTTGAAAAGATTGTTATTTTGTTCTTTTCTTCATTGCATGGTCTTGGCATCCTTGTTGAAAATCAATTAACCATAGAGTCTTACTTTTATTCCATTGACCTATATGGCTGTCCTTTTGCCAGTACTACACTGTCTTAATTACTGTAGTTTTACAGTAAGTTTTGAAAATCAGAAAGTGGGAGTCCTCCAACTTTGTTCCTTTTCAGGATTATATTGGCCCTTCTGGATCCTTTGCATTTTCATATGACTTTTAGGATCATCTTGTCAATTTCTGCAAAAGAGGTATTTGAAATTTTGATATAAATTGCATTAAATCTGTATATCAATTTGGAGAATATTGCCATCTCAACAATATTAAGTCTTCCAACTTAAGAAAACAGAAGTTTTTCTATTTATTTAAATCTCCCTTAATTTCTTTCAACAATGTTTTGTAGTCTTCAGTATAGAAGTTGTATTAGGCTATTCTCACGATACTATAAAGAAATACCAGAGACTGGGTAACTTATAAGGGAAATAGGTTTAATTGACTCACAGTTCCACATGGCTGGGGAGGCCTCAGGAAACTTACAATCATGGCAGAAGGGGAAGCAAACACGTTCTTCTTCACAAGGTGGCAGGAGAGAGAAGTGCCAAGCAAAGGTGAAAAAGTCCCTTATAAAACCATCAGATCTCATGAGAACTCACTCACTATCATGAGAACAGCATGGGGGTAACCACCCCCATGATTCAACTACCTCCTGCCAGGTCCTTCCCATGACACATGCGGATTATGCGAACTACAATTCAAGATGAGGTTTGGGTGGGGACACAGAAGCAGGCCATATTAGAAGTCTTGTACATCTTTTGTTAAATTTATACCTAAGTATTTTATTCATGTTGATGCTATTATGAATAGAATTGTTTTCTTAATTTTATTTTCAGAATTCATTGCTAGTGTATATTTTATGAAATACAATTGATTTTTGGTTGGGTGCAGTGGCCCATGCCTGTAATCCCAGCACTTTGGGAGGCTGAGGTGGGCAGATCACTTGAGGTCAGAAGTTTAAGACCACACCAGCCAACATGGTGAAACCTCGTCTCTATCAAAAATACAAAAATTAGCTGGGCATAGCGGCCCACACCTGTAATCCTAGCAACTCAGGTTCTGAGGTGGGAGAATCACTTGAACCCAGAAGGAGGAGGGTGAAATGGGCCGAGATTGTGCCACTGCACTGCAGCCTGGGTGACAGAGTGAGACTCCATCTCAGAAAGAAAAAAAATACAATTGATTTTTGTATGTAATCTTAAATTCTGCAACCTTATGTATCTTGTTGATTATTTCTAATAGTTTTTAAGTGGATTCCTCAGGATTATCTATATACAGCATTATGTCATACCACTCACAAATAGAGATAGTTTTACTTCTTTCTTTTCAATCTTGATGACTTTTGTTTCTTTTTCTTGTCCAAGTGCCCTGGATAGAACCGCTAGTACAATGTTGAGTATAAATGACAAAAGCAGACAACTTTGTCTTGTTCCTGATCTTGGTGGGAAAACATCTAATCTTTCATCATTAAATATGAAGTTAGATGTGAGTTTTTCATAGATGCCCCTTATCATGTGGAGGATATGCTCTTCCACCCAAAAAAGGCCAAATGCACTTTATTCTCAAGTGCACATGGACTATTCCCCAGGATACACCACATGTTAGGCATAAAACCAAGTGTCAATAAATTTACAAAGATTGAACTCATACAATATATCTTCTCCAACCACAGTAGAATAAATTCAGAAATTAATTTCTAGTTTGTTGACTATTTTATCATGAAAAGGGGTTGGATTTTGTCAAATGCTTTTTCTGCACCTATTGAGATGTTCATGTAGTTTTGAGGTTTTACTCTATTGATAAAGTGCATTATGGTAATTGATTTTCAGATATTAAACTAACCTTGCATTCCTGGGATAAATTTCACTTGGTCAAAGTGTATAATTGATTTTATATGTTGCTGGATTCCGTTTATTATCTTGTTGAAGTTTTGCATCCATATTCATAAGCAGTATTGATCTGTGGTTTTCTTGTCTTGTGATGTCTTTGTCTGGTTTTGATATCAGAGTAGTAATGGCCTCACAAAATGAGCTGGGAAGTGTTTACTTTTCTCCTATTTCTTGGAAGAGTTTGTGAAGAATTTGTATTAATTCTTTAAATGTTTGACAGAATTCACTAATGAAGCCATCTGGGCATGGGATTTTCTTTGTGGATAGTATATTATTATTATTACTATTACTACTACTACTACTATTAATTCAATCTCTTTACTTGTTATATGTCTATTGAGATTATTTATTTCTTTTTGAGTCTGTTTCAGCAGTTTGTGTCTTTTTTTTTTTTTTTTTTTTTTGAGACAAAGTCTCACTCTGTCACCAGGCTGGAGAGCAGTGGCGTGATCTCAGCTCACTGCAACATCCGCCTCCTGGGTCCAAGCAATTCTCCTGCTTCAGCCTCCCGAGTAGCTAGGATTGCAGGCGCACACCACCATGCCCAGCTAATTTTTGTATTTTTCGTAGACCATGTTGGTCAGGATGGTCTTGATCTCTTGACCTCATGATCAGCCTGCCTCAGCCTCCCAAAGTGCTGGGATTACAGGCATGAGCCACTGCGCCCAGCCTAGTTTGTGTCTTTCTATCAATTTGTCCATTTCATCTGGAGTATCTAGTTTATTGACATACAACTATAGTCCTTTTTTTATTTCTGTAAGGTCAGTAGTAATATCCCCACTTTCATTCTTAATCTTTATAATTTGAGTCTTTTCTTTTTAATCTGTCTAGTAAAGGTTTGTCAATTTTGTTGATCTTTTTAAAGAACTAACTTTTAGTTTTGTTAATTTTCTCTATTATTTTTCTATAGTGTATTTTGTTTATTTCTGCTTTAATTTTTATTATTGCCCTTTTTTACTTGCTTTGGATTTAATTTTCTTTTCTTTTTCTAGGTTTTTAAGGTGGAAGTTTGGGTTGTTGAATTGTGATCTTCCTTCTTGTTTTATGTATGCCTTTAACAGCTATAAATTTCCCTCTAAACACTGTTTTTCCTGGATTTCTTCTTCTTCTTCTTCTTCTTTTTTTTTTTTTCTGAGATGGAGTCTCACTCTGTCACCCAGGCTAGAGTGCAGTGGCACGATCTCGGCTCACTGCAACCTCCGCCTCCGGGGTTCACACTATTCTCCTGCCTCAGCCTCCTGAGTAGCTGGGACTACAGGTGCCCACCATCATGCCTGGCTAATTTTTTATGTTTTTAGTAGAGACAGGGTTTCACTGTGTTAGCCAGGATGGTCTTGATCTCCTGACCTCATGATCTGCCCGCCTTGGCCTCCCAAAGTGCTGGGATTGCGGGTGTGAGCCACCGCACCTGACCTTTTCCTGGATTTTATAAGTTTTGTCATGTTGTGATTTTTTTTTCATTCCATTCAAAGTAATTTTTAATTTCCCTTGTGATTTCTATTTTTTGAGATAGCCTCTTTCTATGTTACCCATGCTGGTCTTGAACTCCTGCCCTCAAGTGATCCTCCTGCTTTGGCCTCTCAAGTAGCTGGGATTAGAGGCACACACCATTCTGCCCAGCTCCCTGGTGATTTCTTGTTTGACTAATTGGTTATTTAGGAGTGTGTTGTTTAATTTTCACATATTTATGAGTTTCCACATTCTTTTTGTTTTTGATTTCTAATTTCATTTTGTTACGGTTGAAGAACATATATTGTATGAGTTCAATCTTTGTAAGTTTATTGACACTTGTTTTATGGCCTAATATATGATCTATCCTCGGGAATAATCCATGTGCATCTAAGAAAAATGTGCATTCTGCTGTTGTTGGGTGGAGTGTTCTACAGATGTCTATAGTGTTGTTTAATTCCTCTTTTTCTTTCTGATCTGTTTTCTAATTGTCAATTTTTGCATTTGTAATTTGAAGCTATCTCCAAAATCACTATTTCTTCCGCAAGCTCAAACTTGCTATTTAGCCCCTCTAGTGAATATTTTATTCTAGCTATTGTATTTTTCAACTCCAGAGTTTCTATTTTTAAAAAAATGATTTCTCAGCCAGGCATGGTGGCTCATGCCTGTAATCCCAGCACTTTGGATGGCCAAGGTGGGTGGACGGCCTGAGCTCAGAAGTTTGAGACCAGCCTGGGCAACATGACAAAACCCTATCTCTGCCAAAAATACAAAACATTAGCCAGATGTGGCATGTGCCTGTGGTCCCAGCTACTTTGGAGGCTAAGGTGGGAGAATTGCTTGAGCCTGGGAGGCAGAGATTGCAGTGAACCAAGATTGTGCCACTGCACTCCAACCTGGGTGACAGAGTAAGACCCCAACTCAGAATAGTAATAATAATAATTTATATCTCTCTATTGATATTTTATACCTGGTGACACATTACAGATACAGACATATTCTCATACTTTCCTATAGTATGTAGTATTCAGACATAGATTTTTTTCATTGTTTTGAACATATTTAAATAGTTGATTTAAAGTCTTTGCCTAGTAAGTCCAATATGTGGCTTTTTTCAGAGGCAATTTCTATGTATTCCTTTTTTTCTTGTGAATACCTTTCTGTTTCACAATTTTTGGTTGAAATTAGACTTTTTAAAGCTATAATGTGGTACCCTGAAAGTCAGACTCTTCCCCCCACTCCTGTGTTGTTGTTGTTACAGTTGTTTATTTATTCAGTGACTTCTCTGGATTAATTCTGTAAAGTCTATATTCTTTGTTGTATGTGGCTAATGAAGTCTCTAGTCAGCCATCTTAGTGGTCAGTTAATGATTGGCCAATGATTTCCTTTATTAACTAGAAGCAAAAAAGTCATCCCAGTCTTTACTGAGGGGTGCTGTGTGTGCTTGTGTGTGTGTGTGTGTGTGTGTGTTGGGACACACCCTTTTTTTTTTTCTTTTTTTTTGAGACAGAGTCTCGCTCTGTCACCCAGGCTGGAGGACAGTGGCATGAACTTGGCTCACTGCAACCTCCACTACCAGGGTTCCAGTGATTCTCCTGCCTCAGCCTCCCAAGCAGCTGGGATTACAGGCACCTGCCCCCATGCCAGCTAATTTTTATATTTTTGGTACAGACAGGGTTTCATTATGTTGGCCAGACTGGTCTCAAACTCTTGACCTCGTGATCCGCCCACCTCAGCCTCCCAAAGTACTGAGATTACAGGTGTGAGACACCTCACCCAGCCTAGGAGACACCTTTAACACTCAGCCAGGTAGTGTCCATCTACACCTTAACCTTCACTTCCTACTTGCACAGAAAATCAAAATCAGCCACAAGTGAGAGCTTAGAGCTTTCCCATTCTATCCTAAGCACACACACAGCCTTACACATGTGTGTCACCTTGCAGATTTCCAGGAATATGGCAGGATTCTTTGAGGCTCCTGTGGACATCTAATTTCCCAGCTTTTCCTTTTAAGCCTTTTAGTTAGTCTGAGTTTGTGGGGGGTGGAAGGGAAGTTCTCTCTGTGTGTGTGTGTGTGTGTGTGTGTGTGTGTGTGTGTGTGTGTGTCCCAACTGTTATTCATTGCTTCAGGCAGCCATGAAGTTAAAACATTTGCCTTTAATTGTTTTCACACACATTTCTTCCTACCCCAGGAGGAAGGCTGTTCACAATGGGCTAGCTTCAAGCCAGCCTTGTAACTGGGGTCTTCCGAGGAACTACCAGACAAGCCAAATAATGACAATTTCCTTAAGCACAGGTCTTTGGAAGCGTTCCACCTCTATTTGCCTCCTCTGGTGGCTGCCAAGAGGACTTCCTAAGAGGGAATGCAAGCTGTTATTTTTCAAGGCTACTGCCAAGCTGATGAGTGGGGAATGAGACTAGGGCAAGTTAAAATGGCACAAAGTTTGCTGTTCTTACTGAGATTCAACTTTCGTTTCTTCTAAGTACACTGTCCCCAAGTAGCTGCAAGCCTTTGGTTAATTTTCAGAATTTTGAAAAAGTTGATTCTACCCATTTTTTGCCAGTTTTTATTGTTGTTATCATTTCTATTGCTGCTTATGGGGCCTCAAGGGGTAAAGTTTTGGAGGGTCTTTTGGAGGCCGTTTTCCCAATCTGCTTTTAATCCTGTCCAGTGAGTATTTATTTATTTATTTATTGAGACAGAGTCTTGCTTCTCACTATGTTGCCCAGTCTGGACTTGAACTCCTAGGCTCAAACAGTCCTCCTTCCTCAGCCTCCAGGGTAGCTAGGACTGTAAGCGTGCACCACCATGCCCAGTGCCAATGTGTCGCTGATGGTTTCTACAGGAGTAAACGAAGGGGGATGAACACAGAAATAAAGACAAATACAAGAGGATCTATTTTAAAAGAAGGGGTCAGGGGGCTCCTTGCTTCTCGTGAGCAAAGTCAGCCCTGAGCTTCCACAGCCCTTCATATTTACTAGGTGGAAAGAGCAGGGAGGGAGAGGTAAGAGTTGATCAGTTGCTTGATTTATCACAGGTATACATAATTTTTTTTTGTACAACAGGCTTCAGATTTCCTATAGATAATCACAAGGAACACTGTGCCAGGGACGTGACTGCCCTCAGCATCCCTTCTGGCAGCAGACGCAGTTGTCAGTTTTCCAACATCCTGCTTTCATGAGAACAGTTTTCTGTTTACTCATATAGCCTCCAGTGGTATACTGAGTTGGTCATGACCCCCATTTTCTTGGCCTGTAACACCAATGAGTGTTTTTAGTTTAGTTAGCATGTTTTTTAGTACAAGAATTTTCATTAGGGTGTTTTGTTTTGTTTTTGAGACAAGGGTCTCACTCTGCTGCCCAGGCTC